>NC_000003.12:137947998-138251028 GCF_000001405.40 Homo sapiens
AGAACATGGGAAAGACCCAATGCAGAGCACGTACTTATGTTAAAACAAGTTGTCAGCATGTTCTTCCCAATTTGACAGGACTCTTGATAGCAGCTCAGCTACACCTTTGGAAACCCTGAGGGCACCAGCTTGGTTTATAGGCTGCTTACTGGGCTCTGCTGACTCACATATTCCCCTTGTCAATGCTGCATCTACTCTGAGCCTGGCACTGATGGCCAACAACAAGCCTGAGAAGCAGTGTCCCATCCAGAGGAGACACATGCATTTGTAGAAAGCATAGCTGGTGGAGAAGTAGAGATGGGACAGGGAATCAAGCAGCCTCTGATGAGAGGCACCACTGTCAGAGAGCTCCAACCTCACAGACATCCACACCAGGTCAGATGAAGAGGAATTCCTGGGCTGGCTTCCCACAGAAATGGGGGAGTAGCACTATCCCCAGGCATCCCCCAGCGCTGTGCCATCTGTCAGAACCACAGACACTTCCACCATCAAGGAGAGCTAGAAAGAGGGAATGTGGTAGTGCGAGTCAACATCCGCCAGGCACATGCCTGTTTATTCCTGACACTTTAAGGCAATGTTCTGCAGAAGTAGCTCCAGCCTGCTTGGTGCAGCCCAGCCCAGCAAGTGCACAAGTAGTGAAGCCAAAAGTCACTCAATTTTAATCCTACTTGACCCTGGGACTCAAGTTTCACTATGTGCTTATTAATGCTGGAGAAGTACCTCACTGGCATCTGAAGACAGAAGGAACAAAGTGGCAACAAAATACTCAATGTTAAAGCAAGCACATTGACCCACAGAGGTCTTTACATGCAGCTGAGCCATCATCCTCATCTTCAAAGAAGGTGATTAGGGATCTCACACTGGGCAACTTGCACCTAAAAGGGTCTACTGCTGGCAAAGGCTATCTAGATCAACTTCCTGCTGTGAAATTCAGATGGCAATGGCTATCTGCAGGCTAAATGAAGAGGAACCCTGACAAGCTGTGTGTCCCTAGGAGGGAGATGGGTCCAGAGGCTATTCCCCTGCCCAAAAGTGGGTTCTTGGATACAGTGCCCCAGGGCTCAGCTTAGGGCAAAACTTAGAGTTAACCTCAAAAATTGTTCCTGGAAATGACACTAATAATCATATCTTCTACTTAAAATCATTGTACTAGGCACTTTACATTACTTCATTTAATTCTCACTGCATTTAATATCTTCAGCTTCCACATATGAAAACTAAGGTTCTGAAACGTTAACTTGTCCGAAATCAAACAGCCAGTGAGTAGTAAAGAAATTCCAAATTATGTTCCTAGCCACAGTATCTGAAATTATGCCTGTGCTGGAAATATGGTAATGGGTCCAGGAAAGAAACTATCTTTCTCCAGTCAGACATCAGAAAGCACTGAAAGTCTCTAAGGAACATCCTTAGCTTGCAGAAATGCAAACAGAGCATTTTTCAGAGAAGTTTGGAAAATTAATAAGTAGAAACTTGAGGAAGGTCTTCTCTCATGCTTCATGACTGAGGGCTTTGGAGTGGGACTCAAGATGAATAACTATAGAAGTCCTAGCAGTCGTAGTAGCAGCTATCAGTGAGGGCCTATTTAGATGTCATGCCGAGCATTCTTCTAAGCCCTTTACACGTACTGACTATTTAATCCTGTCTACAACTCAGTGAGGGTGGTGCTATTATTATCCTTATGTTACAAATGAAGAAACTAAGGTACAGATCATTTAAAAACTTGTCCAGATCATACCACTGTGCTGGATTTCCTGGATTTAAACCCAGGTGGTCTGGCTCTGAAGCCTGCAAACACAACCACTACACTGCATGTTGACATGGAATAGCAGTAGAGACCTGACCAGAGTGCCAGGATAGCAAAGGGCAGTTTGGAAGACTCATGAGGAATGGCTAGTGACACTTCTGGTTCAGGAGAATTACACCCTCTGCATCAGTTTCCTATTGCTGCTGTAACAAATTACACCAACTTAGTGGCTTAAAACAATACTCAATTATCATCTTACAGTTCCTATAGGTCAATCACAGTGTGGATGAATAGGTGGTTTCAATAGCTCCAGCACAGTATGGATGAATATGTGGTTTCTATAGCTCCAGCACAGTGTGGATGAATAGGTGGTTTCTATAGCTCCAGCACAGTGTGGATGAATAGGTGGTTTCTATAGCTCCAGCACAGTGTGGATGAATAGGTGGTTTCTATAGGTCCAACACAGTGTGGATGAATAGATGGTTTCTATAGGTCCAACACAGTGTGAATGGATAGATGGTTTCTACAGGTCCAACACAGTGTGGATGAATTCTCTACTCAGGGTCTCACCAGTCTAAAATCAGGGGGCTCTGATTCTCATCTGGAGCTCGAGGTCCTCTTCCAAGCTCACTGATGTTAGCAGAATTCAGTCCCTAGTGGTTGTAGGACTGAAGTCCCCATTTCCTTGTCACAGGGCCACGTTCGCCTTCAAACAGCAATAGCATATGCAATTCTTTTCATGCTTCAAATATCTGGCTCTGATTTCTCCTGCCACATTTCTCTGACTTCCATTTTGGCCTTCCTCTTGTGCCACCAGCCAAAGAAAGTTCTCTGCTTTTAGGGACTCATATGATTAAATTAGACTCAATTAGATAATCCAGGATAATCTCCCCTATTTTAAGGTCCATTGATTGATAACCTTAATTATGTTTCACCCCATGGCATAACACCAGAGTCTGAAAGCCAGGGGCCAACATTCTGCTCACCACACCCTTCCATGCCTGGATTCCTGTGACTCTTAGCCCAGGGAACCCAGGTTGAGCCTTATTTGCTAATAACCATTTCCTTCTTGACTTTCTCCATGAAAACAAGGACAATGTTTGTCTTGTGCATCACTATATCCCTGCACCAACACAATGCCCAGCACATAGTAGATACTCAACAAACACCTTCTGGCTGAATGGCTGACTGATCCTAACAATCATCATCAGTAATCTACCAACTGTCATTTGCTTTTGGTGACTGAGAGAAAAAAAATAATTTACCTCCATACATCAACTTTTGCATCTTCTCCCTTTCCCATAGTAGAATGAACAGATTTATTTCTTCAAAAAAATCAAGCATTGGCAAGAAAGTAAAATTATACGAGTGGCTGGAATACCCTAAATCACTCCTGGTAAATCTTTCTCCATGAGTTAATTCACCAGGTTTTTCTTGAAATGGCTTGCCTGCCTGCATCTGCAGATGGCAAAAAATAAACCCAAAATAAGATGGTGGAGTTAATGCCAATATATTAAGCATCATAATACATGTAAGCAGATTACATTTACCAATTAAAGTATAAAGATTATAAGAATTTTTTAAAGATCAACCTAAAATAAAACCAAAAGAAAGATGAAAAATAAAGGAATCCAAAAAGATATGTCATACAAATATTAGCTCACGCCTGCAATCCCAGCACTTTGGGAGGTCGAGGCAGGCGAATCACGAGGTCAGGAGACCAGCCTGGCCAACATGGTGAAACCTCGTCTCTACTAAAAATACAAAACTAGCCAGGTGTGGTGACACGCACCTGTAATCCCAGCTACACAGGAGGCTGAGACAAGAGAATTACTTGAACCCGGGAGGCGGAGGTTGCAGTGAGCCGAGGTCATGCCACCGCACTCCAGCCCTAGCAACAGAGTGAGACTCCGTCTCAAAAAAAAAAAAAGGAAGAAAAAAAAAGAAAACTAAGCAAGTAATATTAATTGCATCAAAAATGATGTTTAAGTTTTTCTTTTTAAGTTCCAGGGTACATGTGTACTATGTGTAGGTTTGTTACATACGTAAATGTGTGCCATGCTGGTTTGCTGCACCTATCAACCCATCACCTAGGTATTAAGCCCAGCATACATTAGCTATTTTTCTAATGCTCTCCCTCTCCCCGCCCCAACAACAACAGGCCCCAGAGTATGTTGTTTCCCTCCTTGTGTCTGCGTGTTCTCATTGTTTAGCTCCAACTTATAAGTGAGAACATGTGGTGTTTGGTTTTCTGTTCCTGTGTTAGTTTGCTGAATATAATGGCTTCCGGCTCCACCCATGTCCCTGCAAAGGACATGATTTTGTTCCCTTTTATGGCTGCATAGTATTCCATGGTGTATATCTACCACATTTCCTTTATCCAGTGTATCATTGATGGGTATTTGGGTTGATTCCATGTCTTTGCTATTGTGAATAGTGCTGCAGTGAACATACGTGTGCACGTATCTTTATAATAGAATGACTTATATTCCTCTGGGTATATACCCAGCAACGGGATTGCCGGGTCAAATGGTATTTCTGGTTCCAGGTTTTTGAGGAATCGCCACTGCCTTCCACAATGGTTGAACTAATTTACATTCCCACCAACAGTATAAAAAACATTCCTATTTCTCTGCAACCTTGCCAGCATCTATAGTTTCTTGACTTTTTAATAATTGACATTCTGACTAACATAAGATGGTATCTCGTTGTGGTTTTGATTTGCATTTCTCTAATAATCACTGATGTTGAGCATTTTTTCATATGTTTGTCGGCTGCATAAATATCTTCTTTTGAGAAGTGTCTGTTTATGTCATTTGTCCACTTTTTAATGGGTTTTTTCTTATAAATTTGTTTAAATTTCTTGTAGACTCTGGATATTAGACCTTTGTCAGATGGTCAGATTGCAAAAATTTTCTCCCTTTCGATAGGTTGCCTGTTCACTCTGATGATAGTTTCTTTTGCTGTGCAGAAGCTCTTTAGTTTAATTAGATCCCATTTGTCAATTTTTGCTTTGGTCAATTGCTTTTGGTGTTTTTGTTATGAGATCTGTGCCTGTGTCTATGTCCTGAATGGTATTGCCTAGATTTTCTTCTAGGGTTTCTATAGTTTTGGGTTTTACATTTAAATCTTTAGTCCATCTTGAGTTAATTTTTGTATAAGGTGTAAGGAAGTGGTCCAGTTTCAATTTTCTGCATATGGCTAGCCAAGTATCCCAGCAGCATTTAATTAATAGGGAATCCTTTCCCTATTGCTTGTTTTTGTCAGGTTTATCAAAGATCAGATTGTCGTAGATATGCCATCTTATTTCTCAGCTCTCTATTCTTCTGTTCCATTGGCCTATATGTCTGTTTTGGTACCAGTATCATGCTGTTTTTGTTACTGTAGCCTTGTAGTATAGTTTGAAGTCAGGTAGTATGATGCCTCCAGCTTTATTCTTTTTGCTTAGGATTGCCTTGGCTATATAGGCCATTTTTTGATTCCACATGATTTTTTAGATAGTTTTTTTTTAATTCTGTGAAGAATGTCAATGGTAGTTTAATGGGAATAGCATTGAATCTATACATTACTTTAAGCAGTATAGCCATTTTCACGATATTGATTCTTCCTATCCAGGAACATTGAATGTTTTTCCATTTGTTTGCATCCCATCTGATTTCCTTGCGCAGTGGTTTGTAGTTCTCCTTGAAAAGTTTCTTTACTTCCCTGTACTCCTAGGTATTTTATTCTCTTTGTAACGATTATGAATGGGAGTTCATTTATAATTTAGTTCTATGCTTGTCTGTTGTTGGTGTATAGGAATATAGGTGTATATCTTGTGATTTTCGCACATTGATTTTGTATCATTCGACTTTGTTGAAATTGCTTATCAGTTTAAGAAGCTTTGGGGCTGAGACGATGGGGCTTTCTAGATATAGGATTGTGTCATCTGCAAACAAAGACAATTGACTTCCTCTCTTCCTCTTTGAATACCCTTTATTTCTTTCTCTTTCCTGATTGCCCTGGCCAGAACTTCCAATACTATGTTGAATAGGAGTGGTGAGAGAGGGCATCCTTGTCTTGTGCCAGTTTTCAAGGGGAATGCTTCCAGCTGTTGCCCATTCAGTATGATGTTGCCTGTAGTTTGTCATAAATGGCTTATTATTTTGAGGTATGTTGCTTCAATATCTAGTTTACTGAGAGTTTTAAACCTGAACAGATGTTGAATTTTATTGAAGGCCTTTACTGCTTCTATTGAGATAATCATGTGGTTTTTGTCTTTAGTTCTGTTTCTGTGATGAATCATATTAATTGATGTGTATATGTTGAACCAATCTTGCATCCTGAGGATGAAGCCAGCTTGATCATGGTGGATAAGCTTTTTGATGTGCTGGTCGATTCAGTTTGCCAGTATTTTATTGGGGATTTTTGCATTGATATTAATCAGGGATATTGGCCAGAAGTTTTCTTTTTTTGTTGTATCTCCACCAGGTTTTGGTATCAGGATGATGCTGGCCTCATAAAATGAGTTAGGGAGGAGTCCCTCCTTTTCAATTGTTTGAATAGTTTCAGAATAAATCGTATCAGCTCCTCTTTGTATCTCTGGTAGAATTCAGCTATAAATCAATCTGGCCCTGGGCTTTTTTTTGGTAGGTAGGCTATTTATTACTGCCTCAATTTCAGAACTCATTATTGGTCTATTCAGGGATTCAACAACTTCTTGTTTCAGTCTTGGGAGAGTGTATACATCCAGGAATTTATTCATTTCTTCTAGATTTTCTAGATTATTTGCATAGAAGTGTTTATAGTATTCTATGATGGTTGTTTGTATTTCTGTGGGTCAGTGATGATATCCCCTTTATCATTTCTAATTGTGTTTATTTGATTCTTTTCTCTTTTCTTCTTTATTAGTCTAACTACTGGTCTATCTATTTTATTAATTTTTTTCAAAAAACCAGCCCCTGGATTCATTGATTTTTTGAAGGGTTTTCATGTCTTTATCTCCTTCAGTTCTGCTCTGATCTTGGTTATTTCTTGTCCTCTGCTAGCTTTGGGGTTTGTTTGCTCTTCATTCTATAGTTCTTTTAGTTATGATGTCAGGATGTCGATTTGAGATCTTTCTAGTTTTTTGATGTGGGCATTTAGTGCTATAAATTTCCCTCTTAACACTGCTTTAGCTGCATTCCAGATATTCTGATACATTGTCTCTTTGTTCTCATTAGTTTCAAAGAACTTCTTGACTTCTGCCTTAATTTTATTATTTCCCAGGAGTTATTCAGGAGCAGGTTGCTCAATTTCCATGTGGTTGTGCGGTTTTGAGTGAGTTTCTTAATTTTGAGTTCTAATTTGATTGTGCTGTAATCTGAGAGACTGTTTGTTATTATTTCAGTTCTTCTGCATTTTCTGAGGAGTGTTTTACTTCAATTATATGATCAATTTCAGACTAAGTGCCATGTGACACCAAGAAGAATGTATATTATGTTGTTTTTCTGTGGAAAGTTCTGTAGATATCTATCAGGTCCACTTGGTCCAGAGCTGAGTTCATGTCCTGTATATCTTTGTTAATTTTCTGTCTCAATGATCTGTCTAATATTGACAGTGGGGTGTTAAAGTCTCCTACTATTATTGTGTGGGAGTCTAAGTTTCTTTGTAAGTCTCTAAGAATTTGCTTTATGAATCTGGGTGCTCCTGTATTGTGTGCATATATATTTAGGATAGCTAAATGCCCCAATTAAAAGACACAGAATGGTAGGCTGGATAAAGAGTCAAGACCCATCAATGTGCTGTATTCAACAGACCCATCTCATGTGCAAAGATACACACAGGCTCAAAATAAAGGGATGGAGGAAAATTTAGCAAGCAAATGGAAAACAGAAAAAAGCAGAGGTTGCAGTCCTAGTCTCTGACAAAACAGACTTTAAACCAACAAAGATCAAAAAAGACAAAGAAAGACATTCCATAATGGTAAAGGGTTCAATTCAACAAGATGTTTAAGACTAATAGAAACAAAAAGGAGCACAACATAATAATAAAAGGCATATTCAAACAACATCCATATATAGAGGGGGAAAAAAAAGAGAGAAACAGAGACATAAAGAGAATAAGAGCTGCAAATATGCACCCAACGACATGGGCTCTGAGGCAGATTTTGTTTTCCAAACCAGTAAGATGCAGCAGCAGTAATACTAGGAAACTTCCAAGGGGCAAGGTCAGAAGAAACCTTACAACCTCTGCCTTGGTCTCTTGGAATTCTTCCCCTCCAGATACACCCTCTGGGGTGCTCCTTCAGAAGGCAGCTGCCACGTTGTGAGAAGGCCAAGACCTTGGTGAGGGGGGTGGCGTGTGGAGGTGCCCTGGACATCAGATTCAGCCTTTGAATCTCTCCAGGTAAGGTCCTAGACATGCAAGACATGCAAGTGAAGAAGTCTCCAGATGGTTCCAGTGTCCACCCACTAAGAACACCTCTAGCAATTTGCATCTTCCCAACTGAAGCCCCACACACGGTGGAGCAGAAAGAAACCATTTCTGCTGTTCTCTGCTCAAATTCTTGACTCAGAATCCATGAGCGTAACAAAAGTGGTGGTTGTGTTATGCCACACAGATATGCTACCTAGATAACCAGAACAGACTTAAGAAATAAAATGAAAACCAACTACATAGGCTCAATAAGCATAAAAAGTTATGAAATTGCAAACAAAGTTAAAGAATCTACAATCACACCTGGAAATGTTAACACAGCTCTATCAAAAACAATAGATCGAGCAAATTAAAATATTATAAGAATAAAGAAAAACAAAATTAGCAAGTTGATCTAATCAATATAAAGAAGGATTTTGAACCCACAAAATAAATAATACATATTTTTTCACAGATTTAAATGCAACATTTCCTTTAAAAATTTTTTTTAACTTGGCATTGACCTTATATTAGATAACAAAGGAAGTCTCAAGTAATTTCAAAATCAATGCAATGAATTGATTTAAATAAATGATTATTTATAATTTATATTGTATTTATATATAATATATTATATATAATTATATATTATATTATATAATATAATATATAATTATATATTATATATTATATAATTATATAATATAATATATAATTATATATTATATAATTGATATTATATAATTTGTATTATAATTTATATTGTATTTATATTATAATTTATTTATATTAAATAAATAAATAATGATTTTAATAAAATAAAATCAATGCAATGAAGATAATTTTTGATATAATACAATTAAATCAGAAATGAACAATCAGTTGATAACATTTAAAATATATAATATTAAAATATGTAAAGTGCGCATATATACAAATGCATCACTAAATTTATTGTTTAAAGAGGAAATTCAAGACGGAAATGAAAAAACTGTTTAGAACTAAACAACAATAAAAGTACTACCTGGAAAACTAGTAGGATACAGCTGAATTACTACTGAGAGGTTAATTTAAAACCTTAGATGTATTTTTTTAATTACAGGAAAATTCAAATATACACAAAAGTAGAGAAGGGAGTCTGATGAGCCTTTATGTACCTATCATCCAGCTTCAACCATTATCAGCATTTGATCATCCTGGAATATTTCGAAGCAAAATATATCATACATTTCATCTATAAATACTTTAGTATATATCTCTAAAAGATATGCATCTCTCTTTTTTAACCAAACAGCAATTCTATCATTGCAACTAAAACAACTAAAAATAATTCCTTTATAATTTTTATACAGTTTGTTTGAATCAGGATTCCAAACAAGCTCTGGTTATTGTATTTGGCTTGTATGTCTTTTACGTATCCTTCAATCTATAGATTTTACTCCCTTTTGTTTTTGTTTTTTTTCTCCTTGCTAATTATTTGTTGAAAAAGCCTGCTGTTCCTCATGTGGAATTTCCCACGGTCTGGATTTTACTGGTTCCATCCCCATGGGGTCATTTAACATGTTCCTTGGTTTCCAGTGCTTCCTATACACTGTTATTTAGATGCTGAAATCTGATTCAATAAAGTTTTAAATTTTTGGCTAGAATATTTCATAGGTGGTAGCGTGTACTTCCCAAGGCATCAAATCAGGAGGCTTTAGCAGACATTAAGGATTATTGCCTACCTTCGTATATTCGTTGAGGACTGCAAAGGGATGGCATCCTAAACATACCATTCTTTGTTTATTAACTAAACTTATTCTAAAGAGAGCTTTCCCTCAACTACTTAGTTACTCCTAGGAAAAGTTTATCTAGGAAAAACAGGAAAAATACTGACAATTTCCCTTCGTAATGGGTTTCTCAATAATGAGTTAATACCCTAATATCAAAGATTACCAAGAGGGATATTTTTAGTATCATTATGGGCTCATGGATTTTAATATACATGATGTATTTCAATTCTCTGCAGATATTATTCTTTTTGATGGTCGTATTGTCCCATTTTTGGGCAGTGAGAATGAACCTCTTTAATTAGGCTTCAGAGTCCTATTGTTATGACCCTGGTAGTCTTTGATGGCTCCTTTGTTATCTATTGTGACAGATGTTCTGGGCTCATCTTGTATATTTTCTGCCCCCGATCTCGACTAAGCCATTCTTTAAGAAGTCCTAGCTTCTTTCAATGGGAATAATAGAGAGATGTACTTTTTAATTGACAGATTGGAAATAAATTAATTATGTGATCATTTCAAAAAGCTGGAAACAGAAATCTTTAGAAAAGAAATATAAGAAAACAGTAAAGGGCAGAAATTAAGAGCTAAAAGATGGTTCCTTGCAAAAACTAATAAAATGAGTTTAACAATAACAAAATAGATAAGCCTTTAACAAGACTGAGCAAGTGAAAAGGTAGAAATAAGCAATGTTGTTGGGGGGAAGGACAAAGCTACATCTACAGTAGAGATTAAAAATCATAAATTAATATTATAAATAAATTTATCCCAATACATTAGTAAATATATATATTAGAAAAGTTCCTAGGAAAAATCTAAAAAAAAAAACAAAACTGAAGAAAAATAAAAGCCTGAATAAAACAAAAAACCATGAAAGAAATTAAATTGGAAATCAAAAGACTCTTCCACACTTCCAAAGACCCAGAGCCAGGAGACTCTTTTAAATGTTAATGGGACCATTGCCTGTCCATTGTTATATCCCAGTGACTAGAAGAGGGCCTGGCACATAGTCAGCACTCAATAAATGTGCACCAAATAAATGATCTTGATCACACACAAACTGCTCCAAAGAATGGGAAAAGATGAAAAGATAAAAATCAACTCATGGAGGGGGTAAGCATACCCTTAGTGGTAAGACATGGAAGGAAAGAAGGGAGAGAGGAAGGCAGGGAGGGCAGAAATTACATGTCGATCTCATTTATAAAACTGGATGGAAAAATCTTAGGTAAAATATTATCAAACTGAATTCAACAGTTTATCATGACAATGTAGGGCATATCCCAGGAATGCAAGGCAAGTAATATAATATACCACAGCACGAGACTGAATAAGGACTATGTGGTCATCTCAATAACTACAGAGAAAGATCTGATGAAGGTCAATCTTTTCAGAATTAAAAATAACTTCTAGCAAATTAGAAAGAGAAAATAATTTACTTAACCTGAGACAGGCATTTATCAAAACCTAAAGCAAATAATGTACTTAATAATGAAACATTAGAGCTTGTCCCTTTAAAACAAGAACAAGGAAAAAATGCCCACATCATTGCTTCTATTCACTGTTTTATTGAATACAAGCAATTCATTTCTAATACACATATAGAAATTGAAAAGAAGAAACAAAATTGTCTTTATTTGCGAATAAGATAATTTAGCAAGCTCACTAGAAACAAAATTTATATACAAAAATCAACTGAAGTTCTATACAACAGTAATAATCAATTGAAAAAGATAATAGAGAAAAATCCCATTCACAGTACAAAAATGTAAAAATCTGTAAGGAGCCTTGTAATAAATAGATGTGCTTTGTGGGAAAATATATTAAATATTATTAAAGTACATGAAAGAAGATCTGAATAAATAGAGATACTCCAGATTCACAGACAGAATGACTTAATCTCATAAAGATGTCAAGTCTTGCCCAAAGTAACCTATAAGTTTAATGTTTTTCCAATCAATATTCAATCATTACCCCAACAGGGGTCTTATTTATGGATTGTGACAAGCTCATCCTTAAATTCACAGAGAAGAGTAAAAAAAAAAAAAAACAAGAAAATGGAGAACTGATGTGAAGAAAAGGAACACATGCATGGGTGGGGAAAGAAAGAACCACAGGGCGGGACTGGGGAGGGAGGTCCTTGTCCTACCATGTATCCAGTTTTCTACGAAGTCATTATCATTAAGGTAGAGTGGTATTGATGCTAAGACAGACAAGGAAATCCAGCTCTGCCACATCTTAGGTATGTAAGCAGGGACAAAATTCTTAGCCTCTCTGAACAACTTCTCTAATCCCATCTGAAAACTTAGCTTGTAAAACATCTACATTGTAGGTCTGTTATACAAACTATAAAATAACTGATATAAACTGGTCAGTTCAGTAGGAAATAGTAGAGATATTTTTTAAAGGCAGATATACATCTGAAAATCAAAAGTAGTGATTAAGCTATAACAAGCTTTCTCAAAAATATTAACAGGGATAAATGCACTTCCAAATATTTCAGCTTCTCCCAGTCATCAGGGACTTATTTGCTCTGCTGCCAGCCCTGCATGGCCTATATATTAAGGAAAAAACTCAGAGTCTCTTGACCCAGCTCCCAGCTTGCTGCTAGGTGTTGACTACCATTCTTGTTTCTCATGCTGGTCTGCTTCAAGTACAATTCCTCACTCTCCTCTGAATCCAGAGGTTCTCATAGGTTTCTTTGTCCTGAGCACTCCCTACCTACCCAAACACATAGAATTCAGTAGAAACCTGGGTCCTTTCCCCTGACCCTGGCTACAATTCACACAAGAAGGATAACACACAGCTCATCTGTCCTGTGGCTATGGGCCAATCAGATGCTCAAGGGATCTAACTTTAATAAGAAATATAATAGTAGAAGGTATTACATGAAATCTTCAACACTGGTCATAGGTAATTTGATTTGATTTGATTTTTTGCTTAGGTTTATTTCCCAAATTTTCTATTCTTCTACAGTTAACATATTGTATAAGCATAAAAGTTAAAGGTACTTTGGAGAAATAAACAGTAACAGGGGACATATTTTATTTACTTTTTAAAAAAGGAAAAATATATTGCCATAGTACATCTCTTCCTTGCAAGGAGGGGCCGTAAGTTTTGTCTGAGTTACTTGGACAGGGTCTGGTCCATAGTACAGACTCAAGATTTCATTACTGCCATCGCCTTCCATTTCCTTAGACAGAATTTTCCTTCCTTGTGCTATAATTGGGTCAGAGAAACCAGGACTTCATTACTAAGGAACAAGAATTATAAACTATTTCTTTTTAATTGTGCGATTCTAAAGCTCATTACATTGCCACATGCATTCCTTCAACAGCACAGAACAACACTGACATCATTAACTGAGAATAACCAGTTAAAATAAGAGTCCGAAGTTGGCCAGTATCAGGATAACAACTAACACCTTCCACTGCTTCTCTGAACCCAAGAATCGCTTTCACAACCCTGGTGCTCACTAAAGTTGGTGAGCAGAGCTCCATAAAATAGTCCTGATTGGAACCTCTAGACCCTAAAAATTCCCAGCTCTTTTCTCCACCACCACACACACAATTGTCATGTCTCCATGAGGGTCATAGTCCCAAGAATCTGCTCTGATTATGGGTGGCAGCGAGATAAAATAAGCCATGGTTTATGCATCATTCCTAACAATTCCTTTCTCTACTCCTCAAGAAAGAACATTGAAGACACATAAGACAGATTTACAAGGAAAACCCTGAAACTGCTCTAGTTTTTAAACAAATCAAATTGCTCGAAATGTCACACTTTCCTTACAGTAACTCATTACTGTAACAAGACCACAGCTGAGGTTGCTGCTCTAAATATTGGGCCTCAGGCAGCAGCTTTTCTAGTAACACTACCTTACGATGACAAGGACACCTTTCTCTTCTCAGTAGTCACAAATTTCTCGAGCCTCCCCAAGAAGAGCTTGGAACTGTCTCTCTCCTCCGCACCCATGGTGGTGGTGATGGTGGTGATCACTTCCAGCAGGCACTGCAAATTTTATTGCTTGTTAACTTTCATCACAATGTCTAAATTTAATATAACGAATTCCAAAGGCTGGAAATCAAAATCCTATCTGGATTGAGTTTAGGGTTTCCTGGCAAGAGGCAACAGGAATCTTTTAGTTCAGTGGCACTTTTAAAAAGAAGTTTAATTGAAGTCTGAAATGTTGCATAAATGGAAGATATAAGTTTTAATTGAAAAATAATTATAACCACTTAATCATTTTTAAATGAGGGCTGTAATTGCAGTCAGCACACAATAGCCACATACAGACACTGAGATTTCCGCAATAAAGCAGGGATGGTACAGCTTGATTTGCTAATAGCACTTCCACTTCTCCTCCCTTTTGTCTCAAAGATTAATTCAGGCAAGGGCTATTAGTGCTGTTAATTGGTTCTGCAATTTAGACCTTGCGCCTGTGAATGAATGACTGATGCAGTCGCTCAGCCAATAAATGGGAGCACTTCGTCAATGCTCCCCATTGTCCAGCAGGGCATCATCCCGGCCTCTCAGGCTTCCTCCCACCAGTCCTTGGGGACAAAAGGCCCAGCGTCTCTTCTAGGTCACAGCTTCAGCAGGACCCACGATAGGTGAAGATGCCTTTGAAATGAGGTTGACTTATTGAATCTAATGGATATTCAACTAGCGCTCATCCCTTCTTACCAGAAGGAAGATTTTTTTGAACCCTCCTCTCACTGTTACAAGGCTGTGAAGGAATAGGAGGCCCAGTTGTTTTGAAACTTGGCAAAAGGAAGCACCAACTGTAACATTAGCTTGAAGATAAATATACCCCAGAGCTCAGGGAGAAAACCTTCTTTAATTGCTGCAGTGCCTTCTTGGCATGGGCACTGCACCCCAGGGAGGCCTTGGAGAGTTATCAGACCCAATGGGGGACCATACCGATTGTGCCTCCCCCTGAGGACTTTCAAGATAATTGCATGCTGACACACCACCAAAGAGGCATCCTGATTGAAGACTCACACTCACCAGCGGTCATTTGCAAAGCCACATTGGATTTCACTATTCAAAAAAATTTCCATTGCTCCAAGAGAGAGCACTTCCTCTACAATAGCAGGCCCCTCACTCTCTGCCACAGATATTCAGATCAATGCTTTTCAGAATTAAGATATTTAGAATCAGTGGCCTACTTGCCATTTTAGGTCCCTGGAGAAGCCTCGGGCCAGGAATTGTGAAAGATGAGGGTATGGAAGGCCCCAAACAAAAGCATTGTGAAGGGATTGAAAAAGACCTCTGTGACCCACTTGACAATGAACGTGGACATCCCCTGAATTCTGTGCAGACTGTGTACTGGGGCTACATATTCATGCCTCTGCCCAGGCAGCAGCCATGTTCAGTTTGGATCCCATTCACAGAGTGATTCTTCTCTCTAAAATAAGAGTTTAAAATCTCTTCTTTTCATGCAAGAAAAACTGCACCATACAGAAAGAAGACCCAGTGTTCAGATGACAGCAAGAAGGAAAGCCACAGTGATGCAGGGCAGACAAGCTCCCAAATCGGGGCTTATTCCAGGAGGGTTCTTGGCTTTGCCCAAGAAAGAATTCAAGGGTGAGCCAGTGGTATCAGACAGCAACTTTTATTGAAGCAGTAGTGTAAGCAGCAGCAGAGGTACTCCTCATTGTGGAGCAGGGCTACCCTGCAGGCAGTGTGCCCAGAGTAGCAAACAGCTCAAAGGCAGTTCTGCGGTCATATTTACATCCACCTTTAATTTCATGCAAATTACGGGGCAGATATGCAGACATTTCTAAGCAAAGGGTGGTAACTTCTGGGTTGTCACATCATTGCCAGGGAAAGAGGCAGTAACTTCTGGGTGTTGCCATGGCAATGGTAAACTGACATGCCACACTGGTAGGCGTGTCTTATGGAAAGCTGTTTCTACCCTATCCCTGTTTTAGCTAGTCCTCAATTTGGCCCAGCATCCGAGTCCTGCCTCCTACCTGCCTCAACAGCACCAAGAAGCAGTTTCTATAGTAACAAGTTACCAAGTACTAATCTCCAACTACAAACTCAGATGTTTAAGAAAATAACTCTTCATTTAATAACTGAGGATTATTTTTACCTTAAGCCCTTTTCACTCAATGACAGAAACTGGGCCTTCTGCTCATGTTTTTCTGAAGGTTGAATCCAAGCTCAGGAGCTTATATGGTACTAAGACATCAAGGATGAATCATCTGTGGAGAATTTAAAAGCAGTGATTAAATTCACTCAAAGTTAGTCTGCTTTTCAAGATCATTTTGCAGCATTTCTATATACTGCCAATGATAAATACTCCTCTCCAAAATATCTTTTGTTGGTTTAATGTCTAAACAATTGCTGTGGTAAGTTTCAAATTAGTACATTGCTACTATTCCCCTTTTAATAAATATTTTCTACATAGAAGTTAATTCAGAAAGTTCCCTGCTGTCCAGTTGGTCCCAACACACTGGGTCTTAGCTACACACATTTGTTTCAAGAACAAGTTCCTAAGGGTTGAGAATAATTCATGTTTGCTTCAGGCACAGTTTACTATCTCCAGCTCCTGTGGTACTACATATTTCTGCATTTAATCAAAAGATTTGAAATAAGCAATGATAGCATGGTTACTGTAAAGACACAGAACATGTGTTACTTCAATTCTGTCATTCTATGAGACAGCCTGGAGTTTTTCTTCTGTTTAAATTGTAAAAGAGTGCAGACTGCAGTGTAATTTTTCCTTTAAAAAATCCTAGTGTATGTACAAAGCATTAGTTCATTACTTTTCTCCTTTCTCTATGGTAATATTTTTATTTTTTATTTACAGGCATGATTGTATAGAGAAGTTTAATAAAAGAAAATTTTAACTGTATTTCTTTTTTGGCCATTATTATGATTTGCTTCATTTTATGATTATTACTGAAGATAATGTGGTCGTATAGAGAGAGGAAATATTAACAATCCTGTTAAATTGTCAAATATACCCAGGTACACCACAGTTAGATGGGACATGTTGAGGTGTGGCTGTTTTTTGGTTACTCCGACTTAAAGGACCTTTGCCATCTAAGAATGATTGGGAAAGATATTGGGCCTACTTGGAGTGTAATCATCCACAAGCAAGGAAAAAAATACCCCAAGGCTGGGCGAGGGTGGACCCTGGGCAAGGAGAGCTGCCTTGGGCTTGCACCTTATGGATTCAGTTCCTTCACTGCATTTTGCAAAACATACCAGAAGGAAGGAAAAAACCTGAACTTTATTCTGATTATGCTGAACTGAAACATGAGGAAAAATGCAGAAAATGGGTGTCAATGGCAAATGGTGGGCTTAGTGTAAGGACATGCTGCTGAGACACACAGAGAAGGTCCCCAGAAACCTGGCCACTGCAAACAGACCAGGAATCGGCATTCCAGACATCACTTCAGGTGAAGATTTTCAGAAGCTCCTCAGTGAGAAGAATTAAAATTGATCAGATGTATATGTTTATTGTTAATTGTATGGTAAAACAGTAAGTTGTCTCACTAACAAACTTCTTTGTAGTTTTTATAAACATCCCCCAAAATTATATCAGATAAGACTTGGACTGCCTGACTTTGAGAGTCAATGAGTGGGTACCCACAGAGTGCCCAACTAGGTTAGCAGCACCACCTTCCACCCCCCACCAAAGTCCACGTTAACAAGCTTATTTCTCTCTGAGTGAGCTTCATGCTACACTCACACTCTTAAAAAAATGAAAACACTATAAAACCTGGAGTTATACAGAAGATAAGAATCAGAAAAGTACTCTAATCTAAAACAGTAATTGGAAGCATTAATTTTATATATAATTGGGGGGTAGAGACCTCTGCCCACCAATTTGACATTAATTTCACCAAAAGAAGATATTAAAACATAACCTTGTAATGGAATTATTAATCTGATTAAAACTTTCTTCACCAACATGAACAATAAAATGAAAAGAGAAGAAATTTAAACTGCCCACAAATGCAGAAAAAGGTGCTTATCATCAGACAATAATCCAAGAACTTATAGTTTAAACTAAGACATTACTTCCACCCATTCTCTCTTGAAAATAATAAAAATATTGATGATCTTCAGTTTTCAAGGATATGGAAATTTGTCATTAAGCATAGTTTGTTAGCAAGAGTGTTAGCTGATCTAACTTTTTGAAAGACTAATATATAAAAATTTTTAACATTCTTTTTTAAATGTTCATACAAAATATTTCACTTTGAGGAATATATCCTAAGAAAATAATGAAAGAAGTGGGGAAATATTAAGGGTTTAAGATATCAATATCATTATTCTTTATAAGAAAAAAACATTGGAAATGACTAAACATACATTAATACGGAATTAACTGAATAAAGAAGAATAGAGTTACATGATGGAAAATCTTTTTTTTTTAATTTTTTTTATTTCAATAGGTTGTTGGGAAACAAGTGGTGTTTGGTTACATGAATAAGTTCTTTAGTGGTGATTTCTGAGATTTTGGTGCATCCAACACCTGAGCAGTGCACACTGTACCCAATGTGTAGTCTTTTATCCTTTGCCACCCCTCACCCTTTCCCCCATGTCCCCAAAGTCCAAAGTATCATTCTTATGCCTTTGCATCCTCATAGCTTAGCTCCCACATATGCGTGAGAACATACAGTGTTTGGTTTTCCATTCCTGAGTTACTTCACCTAGAATAACAGTCTCTAATTTCATCCAGGTTTCTGCAAATGTCATTATTTCGTTCCTTTTTGTGGCTGAGTAGTATTCCATGGTATATATATATACCATATTTTCCTTATCCATTCGTTGAATCATGGGCATTTGGGCTGGTTCCATATTTTTGCAATTGCAAATTGTGCTGCTGTAAACATGTGTGTGCAAGTATCTTTTTCATATAATGACTTCTTTTCCTCTGGGTAGATACCCAGTAGTGGGATTGCTAGATAAAACAGTAGATCTACTTTAAGTTATTTAAGGAATCAAAAGTTTGAGGTAAATCTTGATGTAGTTGAATTTTAAAAATTCTGTGGTATATTAAGTAAAAGATAAAAAGTTTACAGAATACTGGGTGTGACCAATACCTTGAATAGACACTACTGTTGACATAATAAAAATACAGTTTTATTTTGGGTCTTTTATTGTCATTTTAAAATTTGTTCAGTGGGTGTACATTTCTTCTGCAACTAGATGAAAACTCCAGCAGGTCCATGATTTTTCTGCTCACTCTTAGTTAGTAGACAATCCTATGGTCATTTTAAGTTACGATTACTGTCTCAATGCAAAAATCAGAATGGTTGTCCATGATATTAATAAAAACTCCAAACCCAATTTAATGTTATTTATATATAAGACCTATTAACATATTAACCGTTTGCCTATTTGCCCCAGTTTGTCATTTGTCTTTTGGCTTTGTTTTTGATGTTTTGCTATATAGCAAACCTGTTTCAGGCCAGAAGCCTATAATGGAAAAGGAGGGTAGAGTTGTTGTTGTTTTAGACGGAGTCTTGCTCTGTCACCAGGCTGGAGTACAGTGGCACGATCTCAACTCACTGCAACCTCCTCCTCCTGGGTTCAAGCGATTCTCCTGCCTCGGCCTTTGGAGTAGCTGGGACTACAGGCATGTGCCACCAAGCCACACTAATTTTTTTTTTTTCTCTTGACCGCATGATCCGCCCATCTTGGCCTCCGAAAGTGCTGGGATTACAGGTGTGAGCCACTGCACCCGGCCAGTGGAGATTTTTTCTTTTTATTTATTTATTTATTTATTTTTAATTTTATTATTATTATACTTTAAGTTTTAGGGTACATGTACACAATGTGCAGGTTAGTTACATATGTATACATGTGCCATGCTGGTGTGCTGCACCCATTAATTCGTCATTTAGCATTAGGTATATCTCCTAAAGCTATCCCTCCCCCCTCCCCCCTCCCCCCACCCCACAACAGTCCCCAGAGTGTGATGTTCCCCTTCCTGTGTCCATGTGTTCTCATTGTTCAATTCCCACCTATGAGTGAGAATATGCGGTGTTTGGTTTTTTGTTCTTGCGATAGTTTACTGAGAATGATGATTTCCAATTTCATCTATGTCCCTACAAAGGACATGAACTCATCATTTTTTATGGCTGCATAGTATTCCATGGTGTATATGTGCCACATTTTCTTAATCTGGTCTATCATTGTTGGACATTTGGGTTGGTTCCAAGTCTTTGCTATTGTGAATAGTGCCGCAATAAACATACGTGTGCGTGTCTTTATAGCAGCATGATTTATAGTCCTTTGGGTATATACCCAGTAATGGGATGGCTGGGTCAAATGGTATTTCTAGTTCTAGATCCCTGAGGAATCGCCACACTGACTTCCACAATGGTTGAACTAGTTTACAGCCACACCAACAGTGTAAAAGTGTTCCTATTTCTCCACATCCTCTCCAGTACCTGTTGTTTCCTGACTTTTTAATGATTGCCATTCTAACTGGTGTGAGATGGTATCTCATTGTGGTTTTGTTTTGCATTTCTCTGATGTCCAGTGATGCTGAGCATTTTTTCATGTGTTTTTTGACTGCATAAATGTCTTCTTTTGAGAAGTGTCTGTTCAAGTCCTTCGCCCACTTTTTGATGGGGTTGTTTGTTTTTTTCTTGTAAATTTGTTTGAGTTCATTGTAGATTCTGGATATTAGCCCTTTGTCAGATGAGTAGGTTGCAAAAATTGTCTCCCATTTTGTAGGTTGCCTGTTCACTCTGATGGTAGTTTCTTTTGCTGTGCAGAAGCTCTTTAGTTTAATTAGATCCCATTTGTCAATTTTGGCTTTTGTTGCCATTGCTTTTGGTGTTTTAGACATGAAGTCCTTGCCCATGCCTATGTCCTGAATGGTAATGCCTAGGTTTTCTTCTAGGGTTTTTATGGTTTTAGGTCTAACGTTTAAGTCTTTAACCCATCTTGAATTATTTTTTGTATAAGGTGTAAGGAAGGGATCCAGTTTCGGCTTTCTGCATATGGCTAGCCAGTTTTCCCAGCACCACTTATTAAATAGGGAATCCTTTCCCCATTGCTTGTTACCATGATCAAGTGGGCTCCATCCCTGGGATACAAGGCTGGTTCAATATATGCAAATCAATAAATGTAATCCAGCATATAAACAGAACCAAGGACAAAAACCACATGATTATCTCAATAGATGCAGAAAAGGCCTTTGACAAAATTCAACAACCCTTCATGCTAAAAACTCTCAATAAATTAGGTATTCACGGGACTTATCTCAAAATAATAAGAGCTATCTATGACAAACCCACAGCCAATATCATACTGAACGGGCAAAAACTGGAAGCATTCCCTTTGAAAACTGGCACAAGACAGGGATGCCCTCTCTCACCACTCCTATTCAACATAGTGTTGGAAGTTCTGGCCAGGGCAATCAGACAGGAGAAGGAAATAAAGGGTATTCAATTAGGAAAAGAGGAAGTCAAATTGTCCCTGTTTGCAGATGACATGATTGTATATCTAGAAAACCCCATTGTCTCAGCCCAAAATCTCCTTAAGCTGATAAGCAACTTCAGTAAAGTCTCAGGATACAAAATCAATGTACAAAAATCACAAGCATTCTTATACACCAATAACAGACAAACAGAGAGCCAGATCATGAGTGAACTCCCATTCAAAATTGCTTCAAAGAGAATAAAATACCTAGGAATCCAACTTACAATGGACGTGAAGGACCTCTTCAAGGAGAACTACAAACCACTGCTCAATGAAATAAAAGAGGATACAAACAAATGGAAGAACATTCCATGCTCATGGGTAGGAAGAATCAATATCATGAAAATGGCCATACTGCCCAAGGTAATTTATAGATTCAATGCCATCCCCATCAAGCTACCAATGACTTTCTTCACAGAAATGGCAAAAACTACCTTAAAGTTCATATGGAACCAAAAAAGAGCCCGCATCGCCAAGTCAATCCTAAGCGAAAAGAACAAAGCTGGAGGCATCAACGCTACCTGACTTCAAACTATACTACAAGGCTACAGTAACCAAAACAGCATGGTACTGGCACCAAAACAGAGATATAGATCAATGGAACAGAACAGAGCCCTCAGAAATAATGCTGCATATCTACAACTATCTAATCTTTGACAAACCTGAGATTTTTTCTTTATTTTTCTCCACATAGAACTTGGAGTTATCCCCTTCCCTAAGCAACCCATCCCTTCCCACAAAACCCTGCAGGACTTTCACTAGTGAGGGGGCAGGAAAGGCATTATATGAACTGGTCCAATGGGAAACTCCTTGGGGATCAAAGAACTTAAATCAGAAACCAGGAGTGAAACAATAGGACACCAAAGACAAAATCTAACCTGAAGTCAGAGGGAAGCCAGTGAGGCTGTTGGTTTAGCAGCCTAGCTCTGATAAATCAGGGAGAGAAGAAGGGAGAACACGTCAAGTGGAGGACAGTGATGAACAGTTGTGGGTAGGTGAGAAAGAATGACCTGTGCAAGAAACAATCAGCAACACAGGGAATTAGGAAAGAGGGAGAAGATAGGGAAAGGGAAGACCAGGGCTACCCAGCCCTTCCTCTGCCAGGTGCCTTGTATATATTACCACTTCCTGAGCAGAGGGTCTTATTAGTCTCCTTTAATAAATATCGTAACTGAGGCTCAGAGAAACTGAGTGAACAACAAAACAAGAAGTTAAACCCAGGACCCTGAATTCCAAATCCCCTGTTCCTTCCACTTTCAATGGTTTCCAAACAATACCCTACAAAAGCAGTATCAGGCTGGCTGCTCAGAATCACCTGGAGAACTTCTTTAAAATTCATGGTTCATAATCCTGGCCTCATCCTAGTCCTACTGGATCAGAATCTGTGGGAGAGAGGATCAGGAAACAGGATTTATTCATAAGCTCCTTAGGGGGTCCTGTGTTGCAGCCAGGTTTGGGACTAATATTTTAGGGGTATCACATCACCTTCAACGTATTTGTAGGAGAGGGGGAAAATGAACTGTTATTTTCCGAGCACCTACTTTGCTTTACTTTATTACAAACACCTCCTGGGCATGGTTCTAAGCATATTATCACACATTGCACTTCCTCAACATGGTTGTGAGATTGGCATCATCTTCACGCTAGTGAGGAAGCTGAGGACAGTTGTGTGACGCCCTGAAAGACTTTAGCTAGTAAGGATCAGAGCTGGAATCCAGGCCTCAACCTGTTGGACTCCCGGTTCCTAGTCTTTGTACCTTCCCACACTAGTAAAGGGGGAAGACCTTATGATAGTGGGAGGAGGAGGAAGGGATCAAGATACTGCAGGTAATAGGGATAATTGTGGAACAGTGTAACAGAAAGATCCACAGGAGTGGCCCAGACTGTGGAAAATGTTGGCTGGGAAAGCGAGTGTGAGGGAAGCTGAGGAATGGGTCCAGGCGCGGGGCATGTAAACTCGCCTAGTATTTCCTGATCCCTGTCTAGTGAGACTTTAGGCGACGTCGAGAAGGCGCTTGTATTCCAAGGGGCTGGCTCCCTCTTGTGGCGGCTGCCGCTCATCACCAAATGCTGTGACCAGGTAGCCCTGCCAAGCGGTGGTGGCAATCTGGCTGCACATTGGAATCGCCTAGGAGCTTTTAAAACGTTCGCATTGCCCAGGCCCATGAAAGCCAAATACCTGGGATGATCTAGACCTGTGCTGTTCAATGCACTAGGCACTAGCCACATGCAGCTCTTTAGCACATGAGTTGTGGCTACTTCGAATTGAGATGATGGAAGTGTAAAATACACACTAAATTTCAAAGACTTAGTATAAGAAAAGAATATAGAATACCTCACTAACAATTTGATATTAATTATATGTGGAAATAATATTTTTAATAAATAGGATTAAATACATTATTTAATTTATCTGTTTTTACTTTTTAAAATACAGACACTAGAAAACAGAATTACACATGTGGCTCACATTTATGACTGGGATTACATATGTAAGATTGCCAGATGTAGCAAATAAAAATACTGGATGTTCAGTTATATTTGAATTCCAGATAAACTCAAGTAATTTTTTGGTATATTTAGTAAATTTTCAGTATAAATGTGTCTCATGCGATACCTGGGATATGCTTATACTAAAAGCAAAATTCATGGTTTATCTAAATTTCAAATTTAACTGGGTGTCCTGTGTTTTTTCTGGCCACCCTAATATGTCTACCAGACAGCACCAATTACACTCTTGATACTCAGAGTGTGGTCTGAGGACTAGCAGCATAGGTCTTAACTGGGAGCTTGTCAGAAATGCAGAATCACAGGCCTCACCTGTAGCCACCAAACTAGAACCTGCAGTTTAACAAAATTCTTAGGTGATTCATGTGGACACCAAGTTTAAGAAGCCCTGAGCTTGAGAGCCACTAGCTGAGTGGAGGCATACAGGAGAAGAAATATGGAGGTCTCCAGCACCCTTGGCCAAGGCAGACAGCCCTGAACTCCAAACCCTGAACCTAACCGCCTCTCTCCTCATCCCCACAATGCCCAGCACAAAAGGTTGGTTGAGTAAACAAATTATTTGTAAATGGGTAAGTGAATGAATGGATAAATAAATAGATGAGTGGGTGGCCAAATTGATGAATGTTTGAGATGGTGAATAAATTCAAGAGCAAATAGCCTGAATGGAGAAATTCCCAGTGAACTCTGGGAACTCTGGCCTACTCAAGGGCCAGCAGAAGGAAGCAGATGGCTCAGATGGAAAAGCAAGCCAAAAAGCTGTCCCTTCCCTGGCTCAGGACAAGACCATGAAAAGAAATGCACTCCTTCTGGCCCAAGATCCACCATCTGCAGCCCAGGTAAGGTAGATAGGAAGGACTTTCCTTCCCTACCTATGCCAGCTTACCTGGAACTCGTGGGACCTGAATGCATATCCCCTTGCTCACCCAGCCCTGGTCCACTCTGCCCCCTGGAGTGGCCTACTACCAACTTGTTCTCTCTCAAACCATCTGAAGTTGCAGGAAATGTTTTGGATTATCCTTAATTATATAAAATGGGTCAGATTTTAGTTAATAAATGATCATTTCTTTCTCGATTGTTATTTGCATTACAAATGTAGTACATGTTCCTGTAGAAAGAAAGCCCCACTACTATCCTTCTAGACATTTTATACATTTATCTATCTATACATAAATATTCTTGTATAAATGATATCACACCAAACATTATTTTATGAACTCCTTATTTACTAAACAGTACATCTTTCATATCATCCAAAGTATACACATCTATCTCTTATAAATGGCTGCGCATTATTTTTCTTTTTTTTATTTTTTATTTTAATTTATTTTTTTGGGTGGGGGAGACAGAGTCTCACTCTGTTGCCCAGGCTAGAACCTCCACCTTCTCAGGTTCAAGCGATTCTCCAGCCTCAGCCCTCGCGAGTAGCTGGGATTACAGGTACATGCTACCATGTCCGGCTAATTTTTGTATTTTTAGTAGAGATGGGGTTTCTCCACGTTGGCCAGGCTGGTCTCGAACTCCTGACCTCAGGTGACCTGCCCATCTTGGCCTCCCAATGTGCTGGGATTATAGATGTGAGCCACCGCGCCTGGCCAGGCTGCACATTATTTCATCATGTGGATGCACCATAATTTATTGAAAAAAAAAATCCCCTGTTGTTGGACATTTTGGTATATCTAAAGTTCATTCTTATTATAGGCAATGCTATTTGCTCCTGGCCACCTACCCCTCTTTTCCTAGTGAATATCTGCTCATCTTTCACATCTCAGCTCTATTTCCACTTTCTCAGAGAAGCTTTCCCTGAACTCCCCAGACTAGCGCAAACCACCCTATTATATGCTATAATAGCACCATGAGCCTCTCCCTTGTGCCTCTTATCACTGTTATAATTTCAGGTTTATAATTGTGATGTGATTAATGTCTCTCTCCCTATTATTCTATCAGCTCAATGAAAACAGGTTATAGGTGTTTTATTCACCATTGTATCCTCTGCACCTAGCACAGAGTCTGGCTCAAAGAAAGTTATTTATAAATAAATGATGGGAGAAAGGAAAGAAAAGAGGAAGGAAGGGAGAGAGGGAGGGAGGGAGTAAGGAGCAAATAGAGAGCAAATAGAAGGATGATTAAATGAGGAAATGTATAGTGGATTCTGAACTCCTCAACAGCTTCAGGAGGCAGATGGCTCAGAGAGAAAATAAATTGAATGAATGAATAAAAATGAATAGTCTGTATGAATTTTCTGTTTGCCTAAACTCTGGCTTAACCCCATCTATTTTCTCAGGGACTTCAGTGTCTCAATTATCCCTCTGTTTTCTGAATCTGTCTCTTCTCTCCTAGTTTCCCATCACCATTTATACACTCTAGCCATGCCTTCCCCCCTTCATCCCCAATTTTCCTTCAACCCCATGCTCCTTTCCACCGTTGTTTCTCCTTTCATGGACAAACTTACGGGAAGACACATCTTCTGTGCTTCTCTTCCCTTTCCGACATCCTATTCACTCCTCCACTCCCTATATTCTGGCTTTCTTCCTTATCACACTATTAAAATTATCCCCTGAAGAGTCACCAATGACCCCCTTGTCATTCAATCTACTGGACACCCCTCAGTCCTCCGCCTGCTTGACCTCTACCGGCATTCAACAGTGTCACACTCACTTCTCCTCCAAGCATTCTTTTATCTTGCCTTCCATGATCCCACATCCTCAATCTCCTCCCAATTCTCTGGTCAACACTTGCCAGTCTCTTTGCTGATGCCTCTTGCTCTGTCTGTCCTCTAAGTGTTGGTAGTATTCCTAAAGGTTCTGTCCTTGACTCTCCATGCTACAGATTCTGCAGTCTCTTCCTACATGATTTTGTTTCTCTAACAACCATCTTGTCTCTCTCAACATATGTCATTCATACGTTGATGACTCAGAAACCTACACCTCCAAATCCCTAAATCTAACTATTTATGAGACATTTCTATATGCACAGACCAAGATACCTCATAGTCATCCCATACCCAACTGAGCTCATCCTCCCCTTTCTCCAAACTCCAAAGTGGTTTTCCTTCTGCCATGTTTTTTTATTTCAATATAATCTACCACAATCCCCTCAGATACCACACCAGAAGTTAGACATCTTTCTTAACACCCTCTTCTCTCTTACTCTCCTCAACCACGGAAATCTATTGACCCTGCCAGCTCTGAGACATGTACTGCAGGCTGGTTCATTCAACAACATTCCAGTTACTTTCTAGCATTCCTTCCTGTACAAAGGTTGTAGATATCTCTTGCTTCTTTGTCACTGGGGGTATGTATATGATTAAGGTTCTTCTAATTAGATGAACATGCATGAGGCTTTTATCATAACTGCATTAGGCAGAGCATGGGGCATTCATGTTGCTGGTATGGATA
Organism: Homo sapiens; assembly: GCF_000001405.40. Classification (NCBI taxonomy): domain Eukaryota; kingdom Metazoa; phylum Chordata; class Mammalia; order Primates; family Hominidae; genus Homo; species Homo sapiens. The sequence goes on from NC_000003.12 coordinate 137,975,244, forward strand.
GTAGCAGAGGCCATGTGGTTCTGGGTTTTGTAGTCACAGGCCAGCTTTTTGACCATGATGAAAGTATTTCTCTACCATCCCCATTAGAGTATTTTTCCAAAAGCTCAGACTAGTGTCTATTGGGTGAGCCTTCCTAAATTTTCTGTGAGCTACCTAATATCCTATAATAAATCTCTTCCTGATTAAATGTCCTGGAATAGATTCTGTTGTTTGCAACTAAGAACCCTGATCAATACAACCTTCTGAGTATATTTCAAATCCATCTACTTCTCTCCATTGGCATTGAGACTCCTGGAGTCAAGGACACTGTAAGTTCTTGCCTGGCCCATTCAGAGCCTTCTGGGTTTCCTGCTGTTAGTCAGTTTCCCACTAGTCCATTTCATCCTCCATATGCAACCAAAGTAACCTTCTAAGATGTAAATATGATCATGTCCCTTTTCTGGCTAAACCCTTCGTTGGCTTGCCATTACCCTTGGGATGAAGTCTAAAATCTTTAACAGGCCTACAAGAGCCTCCCTGGCCTACAAGAACTCCATGTCCTTGCTTTTGCCCAATTCCCTCACCCCTCTCACCATTGACCCCCACCTCACTCTGCTGCAGCCACTCCAACCTCCTTTAGCACCTGGCCTCATCAAACTCACCCTTCATTCTCAGCCTTTGCACCCACTGCTCTCTGGTTCTTCTCCCATTTTCTGGCTCACTTCCAATCATCTCTCAGGTTTCCATTAGATAGCACTTCATTCAAGAAGTTTCCACAACTACAAAGATTAAATAAAATTCTCTGGAGTACCACTCTGTACCTCACCTAATTCATGTTTTTGGTAATTTCTTTTTTTAATTTTGTGTTTTAATTTTTGTGGATACATGTATCTATATATAGTAGATATATATATTTATGGGGTAAATGAGATGTTTTGATACAGGCATGCAATATGTAATAATTACATCATGTAAAATGCAGTATCCATCCCCTCAAGTATTTATCCTTTGTGTTACCAACAATCCAATTGTGGCATTTCAGTTACTTTGTAATATACAATCAAGTTATTATTGACTGTAGTCACTCTGTTGTGCTATCAAATAGTAGGTATTATTCATTCTTTCTGAGTATTTTTTTTTGTATGCATTAACTATCCCCACCTCCCCACTCCCACCTTCCCACTACCCTTCCCAGGCTCTGGTAACCATATTTCTGCCCTCTATCTTCATGAATTCAATTGTTCTGATTTTTAGATCCCAGAAATAAATGAGAACATGTGATGCTTGTCTTTTTGTGCCTGGCTTATTTCACTTTGCATAATGACCTCGAGTTCCACCCATGTTGTTGCAAATGACAGGATTTCATTCTTTTTTATGGCTGGATACTACTCCATTGTGTATATGTACCCATTCATCTGCTGATGGACACTGAGATTGCTTCCAAATTTTGGCTATTGTGAACAGTGCTGCAACAAACATGGAAGTGCATATAACTCTTCGATATACTGATCTCCTGTCTTCTGGGTATATACCCAGCAGTAGAATTGCTGGATCATATGATACCTCTATTTTCAGTTTTTTGAGGAACCTCCAAACTGTTCTCCATAGTGGTTGTACTAACATACATTCCCACCAACAGTGTATGAGGGTTCCCTTTTCTCTACGTCCTAACTAGCATTTGTTATTACCTATCTTGCGAATATAAGCCATTTTAACTGGGGTGAGATGCTATCTCATTGTAGTTTTGATTTGTATTTCTGTGATGATTAGTGATGTTGAGCACCTTTTCATATGCCTGTTGCCATTTGTATGTCTTCTTTTGAGAAATGTCTACTGAAATCTTTTGCCTAGTTTTTTATCAGATTCTTAGATTTTTTTTTTCCTACAGAGTTGTTTGAGCTCCTTATATATTCTGGTTATTAATCCCTTGTCATATGGGTAGTTTGCAAATATTTTCTCCCATTCTGTGAGTTGTCTCTTCACTTTGTTGATTATTTGCTTTGCTGTGCAGAAGCTTTTTAACTTGATGTGATTTCATTGTCCATTTTTGCTTTGGTTGCCTGTGTTTGTGGGGTACTACTCAGGAAACTTTTGCCCAGACCAGTGTCCTGGAGATTTTCCCAATGTTTTCTTGTAGTAGTTTCATTGTTTGAGGTCTTAGATTTAAGTCCTTAATCCATTTTGATTTGATTTTTGTATATGGCAGGAGTCTAGTTCCCTTCTTCTGCATGTGGATATTCAATTTTCCCAGCACCATTTATTGAAAAGACTGTCTTTTCCCAAGTGAATGTTCTTGGCACCTTTGTTGAAAATGAGTTCACTGTAGGTGTGCGGATTTGTTTCTGGGTTCTTTATTCTGTTCCATTGGCCTATGTGTCTGTTTTTGTGCCGGTACTATGCTGTTTGGTTACTATAGCTCTATAGTATAATTTGAAGTAAGATAGTGTGATTCCACTGGTTTTGTTCTTTTTGCTTAGGATCATTTTTGCTATTCTGAGTCTTTTGTGATTCCAAATAAATTTTAGGATTTTTTTTTCTATTTCTGTGAAAAATGTCGTTGTTTGTTTGTTTGTTTGTTTGTTTGTTTTTTGAAATGGAGTCTCACTCTGTTGCCCTGGCTGGAGTGCAGTGGCATGTTCTTGCCTCACTGCAACCTCTACCTCCCGGGTTCAAGCGATTCTTCTGCCTCAGCCTCCCAAGTAGCTGGGATTACAGGTGCAAGCCACCACGCCTGGCTAATTTTTGTATTTTTAGTAGAGATAGGGTTTCACTCTCTTGGCCAGGCTGGTCTCGAACTCCTAACCTCAAGTGATCCACCTGTCTAAGCCTCCCAAAGTGCTGAGATTACAAGCATAAGCCACTGTGCCTGGCCTGTCATTGATATTTTGATCGGGGTTGCATTGAATCTGTAGATTGCTTTGCATAGTATAAACATTTTAACAATATTGATTCTTCCAATCCATGAACATGGAATATCTTTTTATTTTTTGGCATCTTCAATTTCTTTCATCAGTGTTTTATAGTTTTTATTATAGAGATCTTTCACTTCTTTGATTAAGTTAATTCCTAGGTATGTAATTTTATTTGTGGCTATTGTAAATTGGATTTTTTTTAAATTTCTTTTTCTGCGGCCACCACCACTAGGACTTTACTGGGTCAGACATGAAGCCAGCACAACACTGGGTCTCACCCAAGGCCTGCTGTAACCACTCCCTGCCTATGACCTATGTTGACTCAAGACCCTGGGGCTCTACAATCAGCAGGTGGCAAAGCCAGCCAGACTTGTATCCTTCCCTTCAGGGTGGTGAGTTCCTCCAGGCCCCAGGCATGTCCAGATGTGCTGTCTGGGAGCCAGTGACTAGAGTCAAAAACCTTAGAAGTCTACCTGATGTTCTATTATACTGCAGCTGAGCTGGCACTCAGACCACAAGATGCAGTCCTTCACATTCTCCCCTTCCCTTTCCAAAGGCAGAGGAACCTCACCCCATGGCCACTGCCACCACAGGCCCACAGGGAGTACTGCCAGACTACCATCAATGTTCTCTTAAGGCCCAAGGACTCTTCAGTCAGTTTGTGATGAATGCTTCCTGGCCTGGGACTCGCCCTTCAGGGTAGTGGGCTCCCCTCTGGCCCAGGACAGGTCCGGAAATGTCATCTAAGAACCAAGTCCTGGAATCAGGGCCCCCAAGAGCCTGCTTTGTGCTCTACCCACCTGTGGCCAAGCTGGCACTTAAGGTGCAAGACAAGATCCCCTTGCATTTCCCTCCACTTTTCTCAAGTGGAAGGAGTCTCACCCCATAGCCACCACATCTGGGAATTGTGCTGAGCCTCACCTGAAACCAGCAAGTCTCATGAGATTCAACCAAGGTCCTCAAGGTAGTACCTGGGCATTGCTCCTGGTTATACAGTGCCCAAAGGCTCTTCAGTTAGCAGGTGATGAATCCTGCCAGGACTGGGTCCTTCCCTTTAAGATAGCAGGTTTCTTTCTGGTCCAACATGTGTCCAGAAATGTCTGAGGACTAAGGCCTGAAAAGGGGGTCTCACAACTCTGTCCAGTGCCCTAAACTGCTGTGGCTGAGCTGGTATCCAAGATGCAAGACAGTCCTCCCCAAGCTTCCCTTTTCTCTCCTCAAGCAGAGGGTAAAAGTCTCTTTTGAAGCTGTGAGCTGCTCAGCCTGGATGAGGGGAAAAATGATGCCAGCATTCCCTTAGCTGCCCCAGCTGGTGTCTCAGGAGGTCATACCCCTGCAACCCCAGTCCACTGGCTCTGGGTGCAGTTCAGCACTCAGACTCACCCAGGAGTTCCAGTCTGTGGGGCCTAGACTGCCTTTCAAGTTTATTCAGAGACCTGGAGTACTTTAGCCCTTGGAGGCGAGGCTTGGAGGAACTCAAGTCTGGACTACAGGGATCAACAATTGTCCTCTGGCAAGGACTGGTTTAAATGCTCCCTCCATGGGTGGGTGTCAGCTGAGTTTGGTCCAGTTTTGTTTTCTGTTATCAAAGGGCAGCACTGAGTTCAATGCCTCACAAATACTGTAGTCTCACTTCCCTGGAGTCCAGAGACACTCTTCACACCACACTGCCACTGCTGGGGGATAGAGGAGGGGTAGCATTGGTGATTCAAGACTGTTTTTCCAGGGGTGGTTCCAAGATGGCCAAATAGGAACAGTTCCAGTCTACAGCTCCCAGCGTGAGTGATGCAGAAGACCAGTGATTTCTGCATTTCCAACTGAGGTACTTGGTTCATCTCACTGCGGCTTGTCAGACAGTGGGTGCAGTGCACCGAGTGTGAGCCGAAGCAGGGCGAGGCATCGCCTCACCCGGGAAGCACAGGGGGCCAGGGAATTCCCTTTCATAGCCAAGCAAAGCTGTGACAGATGGCACCTGGAAAATCGGGTCACTCCCACCCTAATACTGCACTTTTCCAATGGTCTTAGCAAATGGCACACCAGGAGATTATATCCCGTACATGGCTTGGAAGGTGCCACACCCACGGAGCCTCGTTCATTGCTAGCACAGCAGTCTGAGATCGAACTGCAAGGTGGCAGTGAGGCTGGGGGAGGGGTGCCCACCATTGCTGAGGCTTGAGTAGGTAAACAAAGCGGCCAAGAGCTCTAACTGGGTGGAGCTCACTGCAGCTCAAGGAGGCCTACCTGCCTCTGTAGACTCCACCTCTGGGGGCAGGGCATAGGCAAACAAAAGGCAGCAGAAACCTCTGCAGACTTAAATGTCCCTGTCTGACAGCTTTGAAGAGAGTAGTGGTTCTCCTAGCACAGAGTTTGAGATCTGAGAACAGACAGACTGCCTCCTCAAGTGGGTCCCTGTCCCCTGAGTAGCCAATGTGGGAGGCACCCCCCAGTAGGGGCAAACTGACACCTCACAAAGCCAGGTAACCCTCTGAGACGAAACCTCCAGAGGAACGATCAGACAGCAACATTTGCTGTTCAGCAATACTTGCTGTTCTGCAGCCTCCACTGCGGATACCCAGGCAAACAGGGTCTGGAGTGGACCTCCAGTAAACTCCAACAGACCTGCAGCTGAGGGTCCTGACTGTTAAAAGGACAACTAACAAACAGAAAGGACATCCACACCAAAACCCCATCTGTACGTCACCATCATCAAAGACCAAAGGTAGATAAAACCACAAAGCTGGGGAAAAAACAGAGCAGAGAAACTGAAAATTCTAAAAATCAGAGCGCCTCTCTTTCTCCAAAGGAAGACAGCTCCTCACCAGCAACGGAACAAAGCTGGACGGAGAATGATTTTGACGAGTTGAGAGAAGAAGGCTTCAGATGATCAAACTCCTCTGAGCTAAAGGAGAAAGTTCAAACCTATCGCAAAGAAGTTAAAAACCTTGAAAAAAAATTAGACGAATGGCTAACTAGAATAACCAATGCAGAGAAGTCCTTAAAGGGCCTGATGGAGCTGAAAACCATGGCATGAGAACTACATGACAAATGCACAAGCTTCAGTAGCTGATTCGATCAACTGGAAGAAAGGGTATCAGTGATTGAAGATCAAATGAATGAAATGAAGTGAGAAGAGAAGTTTAGAGAAAAAAGAATAAAAAGAAATGAACAAAGCCTCCAAGGAATGTGGGACTACATGAAAAGACCAAATCTACATCTGATTGGTGTACCTGAAAGTGACAAGGAGAATGGAACCAAGTTGGAAAACACTCTGCAGGATATTATCCAGGAGAACTTCCCCAACCTAGCAAGGCAGGCCAACATTCAAATTCAGGAAATACAGAGAACGCCACAAAGATACTCCTCGAGAGGAGCAACTCCAAGACACATAACTGTCAGATTCACCAAAGATGAAATGAAGAAAAAAGTGTTAAGGGCAGCCAGAGAGAAAGGTCGGGTTACCCACAAAGGGAAGCCCATCAGACTAACAGCTGATCTCTCAGCAGAAACTCTACAAGCCAGAAGAGAGTGGGGGCCAATATTCAACATTCTTAAAGAAAAGAATTTTCTATCCAGAATTTCATATCCAGCCAAACTAAGCTTCATAAGTGAAGGAGAAATAAAATCCTTTACAAACAAGCAAATGCTGAGAGATTTTGTCACCACCAGGCCTGCCCTACAAGAGCTCCTGAAGGAAGCACTAAACATGGAAAGGAACAACCAGTACCAGCCACTGCAAAAACATGCCAAATTGTAAAGACCACTGAGGCTAGGAAGAAACTGCATCAACTAACGAACAAAATAACCAGCTAACATCATAATGACAGATCAAATTCACACATAACAATATCAACCTTAAATGTAAATGGGCTAAATGCTCCAATTAAAAGACACAGACTAGCAAATTGGATAAACAGTCAAGACCCATCAGTGTGCTGTATTCAGGAAACCCATCTCACATGCAGAGACACACGTAAGCTCAAAATAAAGGGATGGAGGAAGATCTACCAAGCAAATGGAAAACAAAAAAAGGCAGGGGTTGCAATCCTAGTCTCTGATAAAACAGACTTTAAACCAACAAAGATCAAAAGAGACAAAGAAGGCCATGACATAATGATAAAGGGATCAATTCAACAAGAAGAGCTAACTATCCTGAATATATATACACCCAATACAGGAGCACCCAGATTCATAAAGCAAATCCTTAGTGACCTACAAAGAGACTTAGACTCCCACACAATAATAATGGGAGACTTTAACACCCCACTGTCAACATTAGACAGATCAATGAGAGAAAGTTAACAAGGATATTCAGGAATTGAACTCAGCTCTGCACCAAGTGGACCTAACAGACATCTACAGAACTCTCCATCCCAAATCAACAGAATATACATTCTTCTCAGCACCACACCGCACCTATTCCAAAATTGACCACGTAGTTGGAAGTAAAGCACTCCTCAGCAAATGTAAAAGGACAGAAATTGTAACAAACTGTCTCTCAGACCACAGTGCAATCAAACTAGAACTCAGGATTAAGAAACACACTCAAAACCACTCAACTACGTGGAAACTGAACAACCTGCTCCTGAATGACTACTGGGTACATAACAAAATGAAGGCACAGATAAAGATGTTCTTTGAAACCAACGAGAACAAAGACACAACATACCAGAATCTCTGGGACACATTTAAAGCAGTGGGTAGAGGGAAATTTATGGCACTAAATGGCCACAAGAGAAAGCAGTAAAGATCTAAAATTGACACCCTAACATCACAATTAAAAGAACTAGAAAAGCAAGAGCAAATACATTCAAAAGCTAGCAGAAGGCAAGAAATAACTAAGATCAGAGCAGAACTGAAGGAGATAGAGACACAAAAAAACCTTCAAAAAATCAATGAATCCAGGAGCTGGTTTTTTGAAAAGATCAACAAAATTGATAGACCGCTAGCAAGACTAATAAAGAAGAAAAGAGAGAAGAATCAAATAGATGTAATAAAAAATGATAAAGGGGGTATCACCACCAATCCCACAGAAATACAAATTACCATCAGAGAATACTATAAACACCTCTATGCAAATAAACTAGAAAATCTAGAAGAAATGGATACATTCCTCGACACATACACCCACCCAAGACTAAACCAGGAAGAAGTTGAATCTCTTAATAGACCAACAACAGGCTCTGAAATTGAGACAATAATTAATACCTTACCAACCAAAAAGAGTCCAGGACCAGAAGGATTCACAGCCGAATTCTACCAGAGGTACAACGAGGAGCTGGTACCATTCCTTCTGAAACTATTCCAATCAATAGAAAAAGAGGGAATCCTCCCTAACTCATTTTATGAGGCCAGCATCATCCTGATACCAAAGCCTGGCAGAGACACAACAAAAAAAGAGAATTTTAGACCAATATCCCTGATGAACATCATGCAAAAATCCTCAATAAAATACTGTCAAACCCAATCCAGCAGCACATCAAAAAGCCTATCCACCATGATCAAGTGGGCTTCATCCCTAGGATGCAAGGCTGGTTCAACATATGCAAATCAATAAACGTAATCCAGCATATAAACAGAACCAAAGACAAAAACCACATGATTAGCTCAATAGATGCAGAAAAGGCCTTCAACAAAATTCAACAGCTTCATGCTAAAAACTCTCAATAAATTAGGTATTGGTGGGACATATCTCAAAATAATAAGAGCTATTTATGACAAACCCACAGCCAATATCATACTGAATGGGCAAAACTGGAAGTATTCCCTTTGAAAACTGGCACAAGACAGAGATGCCCTCTCTCACCACTCCTATTCAACATGGTGTTGGAAGTTCTGGCCAGGGCAATCAGGCAGGAGAAAGAAATAAAGGGTATTCAATTAGGAAAAGAGGAAGTCAAATTGTCCCTGTTTGCAGATGACATGATTGTATATCTAGAAAACCCCATCGTCTCAGCCCAAAATCTCCTTAAGCTGATAAGCAACTTCAGCAAAGTCTCAGGATACAAAATCAATGTGCAAACATCACAAGCATTCTTATACACCAATAACAGAAAAACAGAGAGCCAAATCATGAGAAAACTCCCATTCACAATTGCTTCAAAGAGAATAAAATACCCAGGAATCCAACTTACAAGGGATGTGAAGGACCTCTTCAAGGGGAACTACAAACCACTGCTCAACGAAATAAAAGAGAACACAAACAAATGGAAGAACATTCCATGTTCATGGATAGGAAGAATCAATATTGTGAAAATGGCCATACTGCCCAAGGTAATTTATAGATTCAATGCCATCCCCATCAAGCTACCAATGACTTTCTTCATAGAATTGGAAAAAACTACTTTAAAGTTCATATGGAACCAAGTCAATCCTAAGCCAAAAGAACAAAGCTGGAGACATCACGCTACCTGACTTCAAACTATACAAGGCTACAGTAACAAAAACAGCATGCTACTGGTACCAAAACAGAGATGTAGACCAATGGAACAGAACAGAGCCCTCAGAAATAATACCACACATCTACAACTATCTGAGCTTTGACAAACCTGACAAAAACAAGAAATGGGGAAAGGATTCCCTATTTAACAAATGGTGCTGGGAAAACTGGCTAGCCATATGTAGAAAGCTGAACCTGGATCCCTTCCTTACACCTTATACAAAAATTAATTCAAGATGGATTAAAGACTTACATGTTAGACCTAAAACCATAAAAACCCTAGAAGAAAACCTAGGCAATACCATTCAGGACATAGGCATGGGCAAGGACTTCATGTCTAAAACACCAAAAGCAATGGCAACAAAAGCCAAAATTGACAAATGGGATCTCATTAAACTAAAGAGCTTCTGCACAGCAAAAGAAACTACCATCAGAGTGAACAGGCAACCTACAGAATGAGAGAAAATTTTTGTAATCTAATCATCTGACAAAGGGCTAATATCCAGAATCTACAAAGAACTCAGACAAATTTACAAGAAAAAAACAAACAACCCCATCAAAAAGTGGGCGAAGGATATGAACAGACACTTCTCAAAAGAAGACATTTATGCAGCCAACAGACACATGAAAAAATGCTCATCATCACTGGACATCAGAGAAATGCAAATCAAAACCACAATGAGATATCATCTCACACCAGTTAGAATGGCAATCATTAAAAAGTCAGGAAACAACAGGTACTGGAGAGGATGTGGAGAAATAGGAACACTTTTACACTGTTGGTGGGACTGTAAACTCGTTCAACCATTGTGGAAGACAGTGTGGCAATTCCTCAGGGATCTAGAACTAGAAATACCATTTGACCCAGCCGTCCCATTACTGGGTATATACCCAAAGGAACATAAATCATGCTGCTATAAAGACACATGCACACGTATGTTTATTGCGGCACTACTCACAATAGCAAAGACTTGGAACCAACCCAAATGCCCAACAATGATAGACTGGATTAAGAAAATATGGCACATATACACCATGGAATACTATGCAGCCATAAAAAATGATGAGTTCATGTCCTTTGTAGGGACATGGATGAATCTGGAAACCATCATTCTCAGCAAACTATCGCAAGGACAAAAAACCAGACACCATATGTTCTCACTCATAGGTGGGAATTGAACAATGAGGACACAGGAAGGGGAACATCACACACCGGGGCCTGTTGTGGGGTTGGGGGAGTGGGGAGGGATAGCATTAGGAGATATACCTAATGTAAATGATGAGTTAATGGGTGCAGCACACCAACATGGCACATGTATACATATGTAACAAACCTGCATGTTGTGCACCTGTACCCTAGAACTTAAAGTATAATAAAATATGTATATATATACATATATATGTATATATATACACACATATATGTATATATATATACACACGTATATATATATACACATATATATGTATATATATATACACGTGTGTATATATATATATATATACACATATATATATATATGTATATATAGACTGTTTTTCCTACCTGTTCAATGCCTCTTTCAGTGATATAAAGTTAAAACCAGGTACTGGGGTGTTTGCCTTCCTTTTGGTTCTTATGAAGGTCATTTTTTTGTGTAGATAGTTGTTAAACTGGTGTCCTTGTGGGGTGGGGAGAGGATCGGTGGAGACTTCTATTCCACCATCTTGCTCTGCTCCCTCTAATAATTTAATTGTCTGTTTCCTGCCTCTCAACTGTGGGCTTCCTGAGAGCCAATACCATGTCTGTATTTTTCTCCATTGAATCCCCACCACTTTGCAAAATTATTACAATGCTTACTAATCTTTTGAATAAGTGAATGTTTTAGTAAACATACTTCCATATAAATTGTACCTAATCTCTCAGTACCTCACTTTCTTTACCTGTAAAGTTGGAATATTTAGAATGCCCATCTCATAGGGTTGTTATGAAGATTCAATCGAGCTATGCCTCTGAAGTTCTTGAATAATGTCTGGTACGGTGTAAGTACTCAATAAATGTCAGCGGCCGTTATTATTATTTCTTCACATTTAGATGATCTGTGTGAATTTGCATTGTGTAAATTGAGGAAGAAGCTGGATGTGAGATCTGGGTACACATGGTATGTAACAGGGACAGGTGCAAGGAAGCAGGATCTCAGAGGCAGAGATGATGAGAACCAAGCTGCTCAGGAAACTGCAGAAATCTTGAGTGGGACTTTGGAGATCCATGAGCTATAGAATGAGTGATAGAACTATCTTATCTAGATCTTAAGAGGCCAAGTGCTCTGGGTAACCAAGTATGTACATAGACATGCATAGCCACATTCAGGAGAACAAGTCTTTCTTTAGGCATAGAGCAGTTTCATTTCAAACTGAGAAAAAAAAATTTTTATACTCCATTTACTTCTTCTTACCAAACAAATAAACATATTCTGCAGAGATACAACTCTGACTCAAGCATACACCAAAAAAAAAAAGAGAGAGAGAGAGTTCCTTACACATCAGTACACTTGGATTATAAGTATACAAACATCTACGTTATGGTTGGGTATAACAATGCATTTTCTCCCCAAATAGCAAGTGGGTATGTATTTTATATATGTGTAATTATAGTGTGTTAGTTACGGTGGTGCCCAGAACAAAATTCAGCTTATGCTGAAGGACTATTACAGCATATATCTCTAGTGAAATTAAAAATTGCTTACAACTTAAATGCTAGGTTTTTTTCTACTTCTTCCCATCAAGATTTCAAAAATCAAAGATTCTAATTTTTCAAAAAGTAAACACTGGTAAAAACCTAAATAAACAGTGGGAGAAAGGTTAAATAAATATGATACATCTACATGATAACATATTAAAATTTATGCTTGCAATGGGTTTTAATGAAGAAAATATTTTTGACAAATATAAAGTTAAATGAAAAAACATAATAAAATGTGTATGTGCAGTCTGATCCCAAATATGTAAAATGTATGTATTCAGGGAAAGAAGACAAGAGGTAAATAAAGACAAAATGTTAACAATAGTATCTCTTACAGGAATCTATGCTTTGTTGGCTTGAGGAATATTTTTCCTTTTATTTATTTATTATTAGAACTTGCTTTTTTAGAACAGTTTTACGTTCACAGCAAAACTGAGAGGAAGGTAGACATATTTTCCATATACACTGTGCTCCTATATCCTACACATTAAGAGCCTCTCCCATTATCAACATCCCCCACAGAGTGGTACATTTCTTGCTATTGACAAACCTTCATTGACACATCATTATCATCCACAGTGCATAGTTTACTTTAGGGTTTACTCTTGGTGTTGTGCACTCTATGAGTCTGGACACATGTATAATGACAAATGTGTAATATATCCACCATCATAGCATCATACAGTGGTTTCACTGCCCTAAAAACCCCCTGTGCTCCACCTATTCATCCCTCCTTTGGGTTTTTTTGTAAATTTTTTATTCTCTCACTTTTATATTACCGTTTATATTACTTTTGTGAAAATAAAAAAATAAACATAGTAACTTAAAGAAAACCTTTGTGAAAGAAAATGCAGGTTGGAGTCTTAGTTGTCCTCATGACTCAAAAACCCTTTGAGTAAGTTTTTAGCTCCCCTGAATAAAAGCACCTAAAGGTGAACCTGCAGTTGATGTGTTGAACATTGGGAGGTGGCAGGAAGGCGAGCAGGCCTACAGCTAGTCAAACAGAAACCAGCCCTCCCTACCTTGTTTGCTCTCTTGTCTCACCCTCCTCGTGATTCCTGAGAGCAGGAAACAGAGTCCGCTCCTGATACTGAAAGCAGCTTAGATAAAGCATGTGTGGTGGGTAAATGAAAACCTCTATGGCCATCAGCCCTAACACTTCCCACACGGGGGATTTCCTCCCATCTTAGTGTCATCACAAAGTTATTATACACATTAACTAGAGGTGATTTAATTTTATATTTTAAAAAAAAATTTTGAGACAGGGTCTTGCTCTATTGACCTGGCTGGAGTGCAGTGGTGCCATATTCACAGTTCATTGCAGCCTCGACCTCCTGGGCTCAAGTGATCCTCCCACCTCAGCCACCCAAGTAGCTAGAACTACAGGCACACGCCACCATGCCCAGCTATTTTTGTATTCTTTTGTAGAGATGGGGTTTTGGCATGTTGTCCAGGCTGGTCTCAAACTCCTGAGCTCAAGCAATTAGCTCACTTTGGCCACCCAAAAAGCTGGGATTACAGGTGTGAGCTACCGCGCCTGGCCTAAAAAAAAATGTCTATGTACCCTAAGAAGTCAGAGGGGAAATGCCTCCTCCATTCATGCATTTAAACACTTTGGTTTGGAAAACACAGTCCCTCTATGGGACCTTTACTACGAATGTTTTGAAGCACCACTGCCTGAAACTCAGGGGTTTTCTGGGACCTGGGACTTTCAGTCACATAACCAGGACAGTCCTGAGCAAATCAGGATGACTGGTCACCCTAGTGCTGTTATCAAGTGACTCAAAAAGCTAACACTGAGCCACAGTGCCCTGTGACCTATAAGCCTATCAGAATCAGTGCAAGATTCTCCCTTGAGATTTACGGGTTTCCCTCTTTCCAATCTCACGTAAGCCCTTCCCACACTGTACTCTGCAATTGAGCACAAGCCGTCAGTCATCACTGTATGACTATGGGGTGTACCTCATATGAACAATAGGTAAATCACAAGCCAGCCTCATGCTGCTCACTTAGCTGGGTCCACATAAGCCAGATCCACTCCAACCAGAGTTTCTAGCTCCCTTTCTCTCCATAAGCTCCACCTCAATGAGCACTCACCAGTTCTTTTAATCACCCTACTTATTCCCCCAGCCCCAAGCTACACATCCTTTCTTCTCTTCTTTTTGCTCCGTTTCAGCTTACTGCATTCTTTTTCCCTCTTTTCTCTTTGGTCCTAAGAAACTCATGCCACTCTCTCTTTGAGCCCCATGTCTGTGCCTTAGCCTCATGGCGCTATTCCTTTCCCCAAAGCCATCAGCCCTCCTACTTGCCAGTCTCCCTCTCTCAAGTTGCTCACACCTCATTTGGCCAACAATCTCTAAACAGGGAGTGTACACAGCCCAGGAAAATAATCCACAGGAAGATAATCTCAAAACTTCTATTTATAATCATTTTTGTATTGTCCTCATTTAATTTTCATGTCAGGGTATGTTTTATAATGTATCTAATACATAAAATATATTAGCACATATACAGTCATGTGTCACTTAACGATGGGGATACATTCTAAGAAATGCATCATTAGGTGACTTTGTTGTTGTGTGAACATCACAGAGTCAACTTACACAAACCTGTATGGTATAACCTACTACACACCTAGGCCATATGGTATAGCCTATTGCTCCTAGGCTACAAACCTGTACAGTATGTTACTGTAATGAATACTGTAATCAGTGTAACACAATGGTAAGTATTTATGTGTCTAAACATATCTAAACATAAAAAGGTACAGTAAAAATATGATATAAAAGATTTTTTTTAATGCTGCACCTGGATAGGGCATTTACCATGGATAGAGCTTACAGGACTGTAAGTTGCCCCGGGTGAGTTAGTGAATGAGTGGGAAGTGAATGTGAAGGCCTAGGACATTACTGTAGACCACTATAGACTTTACAAACACCATACACTTAGGCTACACTAGATTTATTTTTTCAAATTTTTTCTTCAATAATAAATTAATCTGAGCTTACTGTAACATTTTTACTTTATAAGCTTTTTAATTATTTTTAACTTTTGGACTCTTGTAATACTACTTAGGTTAAGACACAAACACATTTTGTACAGCTGCATAAATTTTTTTTTATATATTAATTTTTCCTTTTTTTTTACTTTTTAAACATTTAAAAAAAGAATTAAGACACACACGCATTAGCATAGGCCTACATAGGGTCAGAATAATCAATATCATTGTCTTTCACTTCCACATCTTGTCCCACTGGAAGGTCTTCAGGAGCAATAACACTCATGGAGCTGTCATTTCCTGTGATAACAATATAGCCTTCTGGAATTCCTCCTGAAGTACCTGCCTGGGGCTGTTTTACAGTGAACTATTTGTAGTAAGTAGAAGGAGTACACCCCAACAATAAAAAGCATAGTATAGTAAATATGTAAGAGTAGTAACATAGTCATTTATTTTCACTATCAAGTAGTATGTATTGTTTGTATATAATCGTTATGTGCTGTATACTCTTATATGACTGGCAGTGCAGTAGCTTTGTTTACACCAGTATCACCATAAACACGCAAGTAATGCATTATGCTATGATGTTATGATGGCTGCAATGTCACTAGGCAATAAAAGTTTTTCAGCTCTATTATTATCTCTAGGGCCTACCATCATAAGTGCAGTTCATCATTAACCAAAACGTTGTTATTCAATGCATGACTGTATACCATTTATAAATAATTACACATATCTGAGGACAAAAATTGTACCTTAATAATTTCCATAGCCCCAGCCCTTAGTGCATTACCTGACTCAACAATTGCTTTTTAGACAAATACATTCATGAATTAATCAAACGAATCTCATGCAATCAATCAATCAACCAATGTTCCTTAGTCCTTGTCCACAGAACATTCTAAATGAGCCACTTGTGAGTTCATAGTCATGGTCCTTAGGGACTTTTCATTGCTTTTCTTCTCTTCTGTCCCTGATGTGAATGACTTTTCACCAGACACCCTGTCCCCACTTCTACCCACCTCAGTTCCTGCACCCTCAGTCAGATCATCTGGAGTCCTCAAGATCTTCTCTCTTTGCCTGTCTACATATTCTCCCAAATTCAGCATCTTTCCTCAAGATCACCTGGACCTCAAAAGTCACACTTCTGGCCCCCCTATCCTGGCATTGCTCCTCCTCAACAAACTTATTAGCAAGCATCTCACCAGCTGAAGGTCAGCTACTAACCCTGCAACTCCAAGCATCTGCACCCATGCTGGTTCATGGACTATGTTGGTCCATGATGATGGTTTCCTTATGTGAAAAGAAATTAGATAAAAAATGAGGACAATGTTAAACATAGATACAAATGATATATATCATTTATATATTATATATATCATCATACATATATCATTTGTACCTATGTTTAACATAGGTACAAATATATATATTATAATATATATTTTATATATATCTTACCTGTTGAAGACTGTCCTTTATTCTGAGATTGTGGTTTTCTATCATTTCACATTAAAATATTATTTATCTTATAAATGATGTGATATGGTCATTAGTTATTGTCCTTACTTAACAAAATAATGATTTGCCAGTCCTCTTTGAGTCCTGGAATCCTTTATATAAAATTTACTCATTTATAAAATCCAAAAGTCTAGGGATTGCCAAACCACCAGCAAACAGACAATGTTTTGTTTGATTTGTTTTTAAGGTGGAGAGAGAAGTTGATTCCCAGGGTAAAATATAAATAATTCAGAAGAGGTTGCAGACGAAGCCTTCCTGATCATGCCTTAGCACATCTCTTTCCTACTGGCATATTTTAGAGATGTGAGAGCACATGAGGACCTGGGGCAATGAGCATCCATGAGGAGGAAAGTTCTCAGAAAAAGACAGACAGATGAGGGTCGGGGAGCCTGAAGATCATGTGTGGTGTCATCACACCCTTGCCAAAGGCTGATTCTGTCTTAGAATTCTTGTCCTAGAAAGGCCTCCTGTATCTCAGGGTACATCTTAACATAGACATGTGCTGGCAACTGGGAAAACATGGTATTATGGATAATGTTCATAGTTTTGTTGCATCTTGCTTTATGTCAATGGAAGCAATGTTTGAGTTTACCAACCAAAACCCTGCTTGGCAAACAAACAGATCTATTTCGTGTCTAGCCTGAGAAAATACATATTGTTTAAATTCTTTCCAAATATGCCTGAATTTATGAACTGCTTTTAGGTGTATTTTTTATCGAAAATCCATATGCTATTAGTCACTCAAACTGGGGCTCAAAAATATAGCAAGAACTAGGAAGCCAGTGAATAATACTGGGCATATTTTGGTTTGCCATGCTTTCTGGCTTTAGAATGGAACCTTGAGTCTGCAAATTGGGGAGGGTGCTTGAGCCATTTATACCTCCTGTCTACAGTCAAGGGAGTGATGTCTTGTTACTCCCACAAGCCAAACCAAGTGGAAATGAGTCACTACTTAGCTGAATGCTGTCCTTAGAACGCCCACCTTAGGCTGAAACTCGGAGTTCAATGGTCGTTTTTCTGAGTTATATCTGACCCATGAGCTTATGACAAGAACATTCCGAGTTTCCCCTCAAGAATCTGGGATGGGCATTTTTTTCTGGAAAGAGCAGGTGGGCTCTCTCTTCTGGAAAATTGAATTTTTTTTCAGAGCCCACACTTAGTGCTAGAGACCTCTGAACATAGTGGTATTTAGACTGTTATTTTTCAAACTGTTCCTATACTGTAGGTGAGAAATATTCTCTATGTGCCTGGGAATAAGATCAGTAAAATGGGGCAAATAAAATCCCTCAACACCGTTAGAGTTAGCACAGACACTTAGATTGTTTCTGCATCTTGGCTATTATAAACAGTGCTGCAATGAACATGAGTGCACAGATATCTCTTTGAGGTTCTGATTTCATTTCCTTTGCGTATATATCCAGAAGAGGGACTTCTGGATCTTATGGTAGCTCTATTTTTAATTTTTTTGAGGAAACTCCAGAATGGGTTTCCGGGATGGGTGTAACAATTTACATTCCCACCAACAGCGTACAATAATTTCATTTTCTCCACATCCTCGCCAACACTTACTATCTTTTATCTTTTTGACAATAGTCTTCCTAACAAATGTGAGGTGATATTTTATTATTGCTTTGATTTGAATATCCCTGATGATAATGATGTTGAGCACTTTTTCATATATCTGTTGTCAGTTTGTATGTCTTCTTTAGGAAAATGTCTATTCAGGTCATTTGCCCATTTTTTAAATCCAGTTGTTTTTTTATTTGCTATTAAGTTGTGTGAGTCCCTATATATCTTTTATATTAACCCCTTATCAGCTATACTGTCTGCAAATATTTTCCCCTAATCTAGGTTGTCTTTTCATTTTGTTAATTGTTTGCGTTGCTGTGCAGAAGCAAATGTAGTCCCACTTGGCTATTTTTAGCTTGATGTAGTCCCACTTGGCTATTTTTCCTACTGTCGCCTGAGCTTTTGGTGTCATATAAAAAGAAAATTATCAAGATGAAAGTCAACAAGCTTTTTCCTGATGTTTTCTTTAAGGAGTTTTATGGCTTCAGGCCCTACATTTAAGTCTTTAATCCAATTTGAACTTATTTTTGTATATGGTATAAGGTAAGGGCCCAATTCTATTCTTTTGTATGTGAATATCCAGTTATCCCAACACAATTTACTACCCTTTCTTTTTTGTGTATTTTTGATGCCCTTGTCAAAAATTAGTTGACTGTATATTGCTTGGAATTATTTCTGTCCTCCATATTTTGTTCCACTGGTCTATGTGTCTGTTTTTATGTCTGTACCATACTGTTTTGATTACTATAGTTTTGTAATATAATTTGAAGTCAGGAAGTGTGATGTCTCCAACTGTGTTCTTCTTCCTCAAGATTGCTTTGGCTCTTTAGGGTCTTTTGTGGTTTCATACAAATTTTAGAATATTTTTTCATTTCTGTGAAAAATGGCACTGGAGTTTGATAGGGGTTATGCTGAATCTGTGTATCACTTTGAGTAGTACGGACATTTTAACAATATTAATTCTTCCAATCCATGAACAAGAGACATCTTTCCATTTATTTGTGTCTTCGATTTCTTTCATTGATGTTTTAGAGTTTTCAGGCTACAGATCTCTCACCTCCTTGGTTAAATTTACTCCAAAATATTTTATTCTTTTTGATGCTATTACAAACGGTATTTTTTTTCTTGATTTCCTTTTTGGATAGATCATGATTGGTGTAAAAATGCACAACTAACTTTTGTGTTTCTTTTGTATCCTGCAACATTACTGAATTCATTTGTTAGTTTTAACAGGTTTTTTGTGGAGTCTTAAGGAGTTTATATATGGGATCATATTATCTGAAAACAGATCATTTTACCTCTTTCTTTCCAAATTGGATGTATTTTGCTTCTTTTCCTTGTCTGATTGCTCATGCTAATTCTTCCATTTTAAAATCAGGTTGTATTTTTTTTATTGCTGAGTTTTAAGAGTTCTTAGTATATTTTAGATAAGAATCTTGTACCAGATGTCTTTTGCAAATATTTTATCTCAGTCTGTGGCTTGTCTTCTCAATGTTTTGAGTTAGTAATTATTTTTATTATCAGTCTTTAAAGATATAATTCTATTCTTCTGGCTTCAGTTGTTGCAATTGATAAAATAGCTGCAATTCCTTTCTCTCAGGATTTTACAGATGTAATTAAAGTTACTAATCAGCTGACCTTAAAGGTTTTAAAGGTTTTTCTCTTTGACTTTGGTGTTTTTCAATACTACAATACATCCAGGTGTGAATTTGTTTTTATTTACCATTCTTGGAACTCATTTAACAACATTAACATGGAATTTATGCTTTTCATTCATTCTTGAAAATCCTTAGCCAATAACTCATCAAATATTTTTTTCATTCTATTTATTGTCTTCTTATACTCCTATTAGATGTGTGTTGGAATTTCTCATTCATTTTTCCATTCTCTTACTACTGTTTCATGTTTTCCACCTCTTTATTTCTCTGTCTACATTTTGCATAATTTTTTCAGTTCTATTTTTTACTTTATGAGTATTACCTTCAGCTGTGTTTAATCTGTTAATTATCTGTTTTTAGTTTTCTACTGCTGTCATAACAAATTTCCAGAAACTTAGCAGCTTCAAATAACACCCATTTATTATCTCACAGTTTCTATAAATCAGATGTCTAGCATGATATTGATTTTTGCATATGGTGTAAGATAAGGGCCCAATTAGTTTTGGGATATTCTGTTTAAGGAATTGCTGAGCTTCAATTAAGGTATTTGCCATGCCTGTGGTTCTTATATGGGACTTGGAGGGTTCTTCCAAACTCACTGTTGGTTGGAAGAATTCAGTTCTTTGCAGTTGCAGGGCTGAAGTTCCTGCTTCCCTGTCATGTGATCTCCTTTCATCTTCAAGGTAAAAATTGTGCATCAAATCCTTCTCATTCTTGAGATCTCTCTAACTTAACTTTCTGCTACATCTCTCCCACTCCATGTTCTACCTTTTTCTGCTGCTTTTTAGGGTTTATATGATTACATTGGGCTTTCCTGGATAATCTAAAATAATCTCTTTATATTAAGGTCAGCTGATTAGTAACTTTAATTACATCTGTAAAATCCTTTTTGCCATGTAATATATTATAGCCATGGGAGTAACACAAAGGCCAGAGATCACTGGGAAAGAGGGCAAAATTGTGCCTACCACACTATCCATTGAAGTTTTGTTTCATTATCTATATCCTTAATTTCTAGAAATTCTAGTGGGGAAGTTGTCAGATCTTCCTGTTCTTTTTTTATGGTGACTTTTATTTACTTATGGTTTTAGTTCCTTCTTTTATGATTTAACTGTATTATCTGATTCAAGAAGGGGTTTCTTGTAAGCATTAAAGTCTTATGATAGTATTCATAAGTAATGTGCCAGAGTCAGCTTGCAAGAGTTGATTCCATGCATCTCTTCCCATCTTTGCATTTAGTGACTTTACATTCACATTAGTAGATTGAAATCAGCCATGGTAGGAGAATTGGCAAAGACTACAAATCAGAGTAATTCTTTTTTTCTTTTTAGAGTTGGTTTACTAGTATACCACTGGGTTTACTAGTACACCACTGTTTATAGCAGATTTTGAATTTTGGGTTTTGAGCTCAAGTTTGACAGGACTTTAAATGTCGAAATCTTATGCAACCTGCATTGAGGGTTTTGCAGTTGCCTCTGCAAATCATTCTAGATGTGTTATCAGCCTGGAATCACCTTTTAAAGCTACTTTCTTAGTGTAGGAGCTCCAGGGCCATGATGTTCAGGGTACAAATTCAAACCCCAGTCACATTACAGAAAGAGGCTTTTGGTAATATAGTCTCAGAAGATTTTTTTCAATTTTTTTCACACATGGACCAGCTCAGGCAAAGCCTAACAAGCTTCCTTGTTTTCTCTCTGGGCCAGTGAACTGATTTTTCTAGTTCGTTTCTTCACTGTATGAATTTTTTAATAGATTATTGAGGGAATCTAAGACAATAGTTTTCAAATTATGTTCCCTGGATCCCTGTGGGATTCTAATAAGTGATCTTAGAGGCTACTTCATGGAGCAAGAGAAAAGTTTCTTCATCCCATAAATCAGAGTAGCATGCCCTTCCTCCTGCCCTCCCACTGCCACACAAGCATATACATGCACACACACATGAATGCACACACACACACACTTTTAATCTAAACGATATATTTGTCTTCCTGACAATATCATAGTCAAAGAAAGAGGTACCTCTTTTTTACAATTATGAACTAACATATTCCAAAATCTTAACTTTAGAAATGGAAAGACTAGAACACAGAGATGTTAGCCAACAACATATAATATAGCTCTGTGAGTTGGTGAAAAAAGTTGAGACTTGAGTCCAGGTTCAAAATAAGTAGGAATAATATTTGGACAAAAAAAAACCTTTAAGCCTTTTTGTAACTAGAGACACTTTGTGTGAGTAGGCTGCAGTTTAATTTCTGGATCAATGTGAAGAAACACAATGTGAGAGTGATCATCAATTGCTACAGCTTTCAATTATATTATCAGTCTGCCCTAGTAATATTTCCTAGTATTTTCTGAGTACAGTGCTCCATATGTAATGCTCAACATTTCACATGTATTTTCACATTTAATGTACAAAACAATCCAGAGAGATAAGCACTATTATTACCTCATTTTACATATGAAGATAATGTGGCTCAAAGAGGTTAAGTATTTAGCTGCTACCCATCCACAGCTAGTAAGCAATGGAGTGGGGCTTGAACCCAAGCTGTGTAGTTCCAGAGCCCAAAGCCCTTCTTGCTTCTTACCTCTGCTATCTTCCTTCCTGCATGGTTTCTCCATTGATTAAGGCAGTCAGGTGCCACAGAAGCTGCAAACAGTTTAACCACATTAACTAGTCAATTCTATCAAATAACTACTACAGCTGATTCTCATTAACCATGTGTACCATATTTTCAAATTTGCCTACTTGCTAAAACTTATTTTAACTCCAAAATCAATACTCATGGCACTGCTGCAGTCATAACAGCATGTGCCGAGGGTGAAAATTTTGCATTGCCCAAGTTGCATGTTCCCAGCTGAGGTCCAGTAACGTGAAAATCTTCCTTCTTTTTTCAGCTCTCATACGGTAAACAAGTGTCCTCTTTGAAGTATGTGTACCGCCACGTTTTTCACATTTTTGTGCTTTTTGTTGATTTCACTGTTTAAAATGGCCCCCAAGCATAGTACAGAAGCACTGATTACTGTTTAGAAGCACAGGCAGGCTGTGCTGTGCCTTATGGAGAAAATATGTGTGTTAGATAAGCTTCATTCAGGCATGAATTTCACTGCTGTTGGCTGTGAGTCCAATGCTAATGAACCAACAATTTATATTAAATAAGCTGTTTTTAAACAGAAATACACATACAGTAAGTTTATCTACTGATGATGAAAATGTTGTGACCAGAGGCTTGCAGGAGCCTGACCCTGTACTTCCCCTATGGGCAATGATTCAGTATTCACTAATTCGGTGTTCTTTGTGACTTTATAGAACGTAACTACCATGATTAACTAGAATCAACTATACCTTATTATGCCTCATAACCGGCCTTGCCTAAGTTTTTTAACTAAGGTGGCAGCATGTATCTCAGTCCCCAGGGCCACATGGATGAAGCCCTTGTATCTCCAAGTATTTTGTGGCTTAACTACTGGAAGCCCTGCCTGACCAATCTGCAGTGCCTTCCGGGCAACCACCTCTGCACTTGCTTTACCCTCTACAGAGGGGAGCCTGGTTAATCAGGAAAGAAACTCCCTCAAAAGGTAAACAGTGAGTAGAGTGTACATATGGTGGAAAACAAATGACTCTTGGTACCCTATTGTGGGAATTATCTCACTTCAATAGATAAAGGAGTAGGGCAAGCCCAGGTGGCACTGGTGAGTAACCGCCTCCATTACATGGTCCGTTCCTGACGTGTACACCAGCCTCTCAGAGAAAACTCCATCCCTACACTCGGTAGTCTCAGAATTGCGCTGTCCACTTGTCGTGTGGCTCTGTGTCGACACTGTGCGCCACCATGGCCGTGACTGCCTGTCAGGGCTTGGGGTTCGTGGTTTCACTGATTGGGATTGCGGGCATCATTGCTGCCACCTGCATGGACCAGTGGAGCACCCAAGACTTGTACAACAACCCCGTAACAGCTGTTTTCAACTACCAGGGGCTGTGGCGCTCCTGTGTCCGAGAGAGCTCTGGCTTCACCGAGTGCCGGGGCTACTTCACCCTGCTGGGGCTGCCAGGTAAGGGCCAGGTGTCTGGCTGGCTGGAGGGAGAGATTGGAGGTGGAGAGGAAACTGCAGGCTCTGTCTGGGCACCACGACAGGGACTGCTGGGGAGGGAGGAACTGCGATTCGTGTTTGACAGGGGCAACAGCCACCTGCACCAGGGTGGAATAGGAGGACGGGAACCTTAGGGAGAGGAAGTTTCTGGAGCTGTCTGAGCTCCTGTTCCCCTAACTGGATGGTGCCCAATTCTCCCAGAGGAACTTATTTTTTCAATAACTCCTATGTGAGCAATGGCATAGTCTCAATCACCCATAGGAACAGGACTCAGGAGGCCCAGACTTCGGCCACTTTGTTCCTTCGGCCCCGGGATTCCCCCTCACTGAGTTGGGGACTGCCTATCTCCTGAACAGATTCCATCTTCAGGCCTCCTTGTGCCTGAACTCAGCTTCCAGGGACACCTAAGTAAGCAACAGCAATAGAAATCGGGCAGAGGAAAAAGGCAGAGAAAAAGAACTAGGTGGCTGTGTTTCCCTGGGACGTCAGATGGGCCCCTGCACTGGGGCTCCAGGTTCCCGATCTCCAGAAAATATTGGTGACAAGGAACCAGACTCAGGGCGCTCTCTGCACAGGGGATTCTGCTGTGGCAAATGGGCGCTGCCATGCAGGGAAAGGTATTGCAGGCTGCCGTGCCCCCTTCTAGGGATTGGCATATTCAATACACAAGGATTGTGTTTATTTGCTTAGTAGATTGGTCATTTTAACTAGAAGAAAAATTCAAGTCACAAGAGTAGAGAATGTTAAAAATGTCTTTCACTCAGATAAGAGAGTAAGACAATGAATAAATTTGTCGTTTTTATTTTTGCTTGTTTCTTTCATAAATACATATTGAAGTCTTGAGAGGGGCATTGATCTAAGGGGGGCAATGTAAACAGGATCAGAAATGGAAAATATGGGGCTTTCTCCTCCAGGAATTTGCCATTTGACTGCAGGGTCAAGACTTAGACACACAAAAAAGGTAACAACAGAAGACTTGAATCATACGGTGATTTATTCTTTTATACATTCAACACTTATTTACGGAGAGCTTCCTATAACCTTGGGAATCTGTGGGCCTACCATTCCCAAAAATATAAAAGAGTGCACCAGGCTGGATATGACAATATGCCAAGTGAGGGAGACAGAGGGCCAGTGTGGCAGGAGAAGAGGGTGAAACTGCAAGACTCCATCAAGGTAGAAAAACCACAAGTGTCTTGTGAAAAGGAGTTAAGATTTGGAGATGGCAGCAATACAGAAAGGAAAAACAGCATGGGCAAAGCCATGAGGGTGCCACCGCCCAAGTCTTACTCAGGGGCAATGAGAGAATGACCTTGGCGGGAGAAGAAGGTTTATGTGGGGATGATTATGGAGAGCAATGGGTGCCAGGCTAAGGTGTTTGGAAGCCATTGAGAGGTTGGTTGTTTGGTTGGTTGGTTGGTTGGTTGGTTTGGGATTGTGGTATTTCAAGGATATTAATCTGGCAAGAAGATGCTAAAGAGATTGAATCAGTAGGACAGTCAAAGGCAAAGGCAGTAGAACCAAAGTGAGAAGGAGGGACTGGGTATAAACAGCGGAACGTGAGCCAGATGGGTGGGTAACTGGCAGCTGGTCAGTGAGGTCTCCCTCCACTAAGGACCAGAAGGAAGATGAACCTCTTCCACGTTCCCATGTCCTGCTGACCCCTCCTTAGCTCTTGGTCTAACCATTTGCCACTGAGATTCTCCCTCACTGCAGATACGAAGTGCCCAAAACCTGCCCAGTGGCTAGGACCTCGGTCCATGCAGTTACAGGCCATAGTGGGGAGAATCAGCCTATGGCTGACCTCATGCCACACACAGCACCTGCAGTGATATCTGAGGGCTTCATTCTGCTTCACAAAGGGAAAATAACAATGACAAATCATGCACTAGCACTTGAGTAGGCAACTGCCTTACAATATTTTGTATAATCTCTACAGCCACCTTGTTAGTTTGGTACTACAATTATCATTTTTGAGACAAGAAAACTGATTCTGAGTAACTTGCCCAAGGACACTTGCAGATGTAGCCAGAGCTAAAACCCTGTCCTGTCCGCACCTAAGCCCTGGCTTGCAGCCCTAATAGGGAGCCCTAAACACAAAGCAGAAATCTCTCCTGACCCAAGTAGAAATTCCCAGTGCAGAAGCACCTTCCTGTCCTCATCTCTTGCCTAAGTCTGATGCTGCAGGCCCATACAGAATTCTCCTTGAATGGGGTCCTGGACTAACAACAGCTGTCAATATCCCCCCATTCTTTTTTTTTTTTTTTCGCATTTTTAGTAGAGACAGGGTTTCACTGTGTTAGCCAGGATGGTCTCGATCTCCTGACCTCATGATCCGCCTGCCTTGGCCTCCCAAAGTGCTGGGATTACAGGTGTGAGCCACCGCGCCCGGCAACATTCCCCCATTCTTATGCTGGAGAGATAGGGAGATGGAGGCTCAGAGGAGCAAGGTGATTCGCCCAGGCTCAAAGATCTAAAAACGAACCAGATTGAATCTACCTGTTATGCCTTCTCTTAAAACGTGTGTGCGCATGTGTGTGTGTAAAATAAAACTCTTTGACTATTTAATAGATAGTTTATAGAAGTATTTTTCAAAGAGAATATAGATTATAGAAGCCCTTTTAAAAGAAAAAATTCTTGCATACCATCAAGGTTGATCTAAAGTATACTTACTTTAATGTTATTTTAATATATACAAGTATAACAATAGACTTCAATTCCTTATGCATATGTCTTATACAAGTACAAAAACCACATTTGCAAATGTAAGATACATAAAACTAAAAAACTAATAAGCCCAAATTTAAAATGTAACTGAGTGTGAGAGATAGTGTTCATTTTCATTTGGGGTGAAACAGGACAAAGAAACAACCTCAAACAAGTGGATTTTTTTTTTATTTCACCTGTTTTAGTGTTCAACCTTGATATTAATGACATAGATTCTCTATTCACATAGAACTGTTTTACAAAATAATATTAACTTTAAGGTAATCATGCCTCACACTTAGCCACCACCCTCTCAGCGAAGCATTCTCTGATGTCTGGGGTAGTGAGGTGTCTACGACTTGGTAGTTCTCTGCAGTGGTCTTCCTTGTTTAAGGAAAGATTGTATTGTGGTGCTCCTGAAATCCAGTTTGAATGGCTATCTTAACCCACTTATTTCTAGAATTAGACGGAAAAAAAAAGTTGTTTGGTGTGTATTTACTGCCAATAATTGTTGCAATCAGGTCTGACCAAAGACAGGCCTGTGAAATGCTTGCAGGTGATGCTAATGTACTGACCGCCAGCGTGCAGGCATTTGAGTTTGGAGTTCCCCCAATTCTGTTTTCTGTTTAATCTACATGACTCTGTTCATTAGCAGTTGAGGATGTCATTTGGCTGTCCTCTGGTGCAAATACGATCATAAACACCAACATAAACATAATCCATAAGTAGCCAGCCAAAGGATCTGGAACATTCTTGTTTTAATTTGTTTCTCATTTCCATTGAAATGAAAGTATGGAATTTTTAAATTTCCATTGAGAAGTTAACATACCCTGAGGATGGAAACACAGACACTTAGGCTCAGAGGGAAGAAGACAGACAAAACCAAATCTTCCAGAGAAACCCTAGGCATAGAACTGGTGGTCACCTTCCTGGGCAAAGTCATTTCACTAGGCCCATAACCAGTAGTCAACCTTTTCTGGGCTGATTGGGTTTAGACAAAGTCCCTTCTTGGAGAGATCAAGGAACAAAAAGCAAAGGTCTTTGGTCCTTTCACACACATGGAAATAATAAGGAAATAAACAACAACATAGAAATTGTGGCATTAGAAGAAATATTTATTCATTCAACAAACATTTATTGAACACCTACTATGTCCCAGACTGTCTGCACATAGGGAATATAGGTGTCAAAGGGCTCATAAATCTAGGAAGACAGACATACAGTAAACAGTCTCAACGTCAGCCCTATTGACATTGTGGGCCATATAATTCTTTTCTGTGGGAGCCTCTCCTGTATACTGTAGAACATTTAAAGGCATCTCTGGCCTCTACCCACCAGACAAGAGTAGCATCAATACCCACCCACACCAGTTATGGCAACCAAAAGTGGCTCCTTCCATTGCCAAATGTCCTCTAAGGGGCAAATCATCCCTGGTTAAGAACCACAGCAATAAATTTTAGTAAGTGTCATGTCTGGTACAGGGTGCAGACCATGAAGAAAGGGAAGGCTTCCAAAAGGAATGACAGCTGCACTGAGTTAATAACAACAGATATGAATTACCCAAGAAGATAAAGAGGCAAAGGGTTTTCCAGAAAGAGAGACCATCATCTTGGAAAATCACAGTGGCACGAGAGAATGTACTATGTTAAGAAAATTAAAAGGACTTAGTTCTGCTTATATGTGATATGGGCTAGGGCAGGTGGAGTGCACAGTACAATGAGATACGTTAAACGCTTAAGAATAATATGCTTAAATATTTGGCAAAATCAAAATGAAAGAAGTTTTACTAACAAATTGTTTAAAGATTTCGTGGAAATATATAATACAGGCTTCTAGATGGGGCTATTATTAAAATGTAAATTTGTCCCTAATTAATGTGTAATGATAATAATAATAGAATTTATTAAGACCTTGCTATGTGCCAGGCATTGTTTTGAGAAATTAACATATGCCTGCTCTGATTTAGTTGGAGAGACAGGAATAATAAAAAAATTTTTTAAAGAAATTAATATATGCCTGTATTAATATACATAACTTATATAATTATAAAAGTTTAGGCCCGGCACGGTGACTCACACCTATAATCCCAGCACTTTGGGAGGCCAAGGCAGGGGAATCATTTGAAGTCAGGAGTTCGAGACCAGCCTGACCAACATGGTGAAACCCTGTCTCTACTAAAAATACAAAAAAATTAGCCAGGTGTGGTGGTGCACGCCTGTAGTCCCAGCTACTCAGGAGGCTGAGGCAAGAGAATCACTTGAACCCTGGAGGTGGAGGTTGCAGTGGGCCAAGATTGCACCACTGCAACACAGTGAGACTCCATCTCAAAAAAAAAATTTTAGATAAATTACCTATACATATTTTAATCTTTGCAACTACCCTATGAAGTAAGTAGTAGTATTATCTCCATTTTATAGGTGAGGAAACAGGCACAAAGAGGTTAAAATATTTGCCTAATGGCACTGTGGTAGTAAATGGCAGGATGAAGATTCAGACCATACAGGCGTTCTTCAGAGCCTCAGCTCTTCTCCTTTACAAGAATTCTTATCAAAATACCGGCAAGAGTTTCCCCATGGGAACTTGACAAAGTGTCTAGGTATAAGAAGAAGCAGACAAAAAAAACGAAAGTTTTTTTTTTTAAGTATAATAAAGTGATGGGCTAACGCTGCCAGATATTCAACCAAATTTTAAAGCTTTGAAAGTTAAAAGTATGCTTTGGCATAAGGATGGACAAACAGATTAATGGAATAAAATCTAAAATCAGAAAGACATATATGTGAGTTGAATACAAGATAGAGGAGGTTTTACAAAGCAATGAAGAAAAAGGAAGTTTATTTAGTTAATGTTGCAGAAGTCATTGACTAGCTTTTTTTGAAGGAAAAAGTAATTACAGTATAACTAACAAATATACCAAAATAAATCCTAGATTAATTAAATATTTAAAAATATAAGATAATTTTAAATATTTTAAAATTATAAAATAATTCTAGAATAACTATCTCCTAAATGGAAATTATTCTCTAAGCATAGAAATAGTGGAAGAAAACACAAAGAAAAAGTAAATTTATTTGACTACATCATTCAACAAATATTTATTGAGCATACTTTATGTACCAGGCACCAGGAAGCACATAAAATAAAATACATTATATGTTTTTTTCTAAATCATGTATGGAATTTAAAAGCAAATAATCAATGGGAAAAGATGTTTTTAGTAATTACAGCAATGTATTAAAATCCTTAATAAATACATAGCTCAGATAAACTGATAGAAAAAGTGCTAAAATTCTAGTAAATCAATGAGGAAGGAATACAAACTGACAATTCAAGAAAAGAACAAAAATCAAATGCTTCATACAAACTTGTTGGGTTTTTTGTTTTTTTTCTTTTCTATTTTTGATGATGAATATTTTTTATTATTATTATACTTTAAGTTCTGGGATACATGTGCAGAACGTGCAGGTTTGTTACATAGGTATACATGTGCCATAGTGGTTTGCTGCACCCATTAACCATCTACATTAGGTATTTCTCCTAATGCTATCCCTCCCCGTGCCACCCACCCCCCTAACAGGCCCAGGTGTGTGATGTTCCCCTCCCTGTGCCCATATGTTCTCATTGTTCAACTCCCACTTACGAGTGAGAACATGAGGTGTTTGGTTTTCTGCTCCTGTGTTAGTTTGCTGAGAATGGTTGTTTCTAGCTTCATCCATGTCCCTGCAAAGGACATGAACTCATATTCGTTTTTTTCAAAAAGGCTCAAACTCAGTAATTAAAGAGATGCAAGTTAAAACAAGTAATCATATACATATATAACTTACCAAATTCACAATGTAGACTAGGATGTAAAGAGATAAGAACTTTCAAACACTGCTGTTAGGATAAAATTCATAGAAAGCAATATGGTTGTGTATAAAAAAAGATTTTTTAAAACTTCACAGTTTTTGACAACTTAATTTCACTCCTAGGAATCTATCCTAAAAGAGTCATCAGAAATGCTGACAAAGAGTTATATGTAAGATGTTCATCATAACATTGCCTTTTATTCAAAAAAATGGGGGAAGGTACAATCTAACTATATAAAAATAAGTGAATAATAGCACTTCTATATAATGAAATACTAACACACTCATATTAAATGATGTTTACAAGAGCTTTGGTGAAACTAATACAATTAAGTGAAAAGAGCAAAACATCAAACTATATTATCCTTTAATTATGTAAAAAAATACATACAGATAATTGATAAGAAGGAAGTATGCCAAATATTTTGTCTAGGGCTTAAAATTGTGAGCAATTTGTTCAAATTCTCTCCAAATTTTCTATTATGAACACCAAAAGGTGAAATTAAAAATTAGGGATATATGTGGTAATATTTTTGAAGAAAAAATTAATAGATGTGTCAATTATTTTTCTCACTAGTATATTCATTTTATTTCTTCCTAATTCCTAGCTATAATATTTTCTATTGTTATTTATGCCACCATTTTTGCCTAATTACCATAGACAGTGTTATAAAAAGTGGTGGAAATGTTTTCTCCAATGGCAGTAAAATAATATAAGCTCTTGGAAACTTACAACCTGAAATGACACTGCCAGGGCCGTATTTAAACCTGAATGCAGGGATGATTTCCCCTAGGAAGTCAGCAAAAATTCAGCTCCATTTTAAAGGTGATTAAACAAAGTTTACCAACCCCATTATTGTTAAACAGAATCAGACCTGGACTTATCTGGTAGAGATACATTGATATGTTTCAATAAAGCCTATTGCCATAAATGAGAAAGTCATATTTTCCTCTGCAGACCCCCATTCATTTTTTGGCAGATACGGCTAAAATAGTAGTCTGCTCAGAGCCCAGAAAACTTACCAGGAAGTGAAAAATCCTATCTTCCAGGTGTTTTAAAACACATCAGTATTTATTTCACACAGAAGAAGTGTGTAGATTTACAATTTCACTCCTCTCATTCAGTATTCTGCCTAGGTAGAGATAGTCTTAGTTTATCCTTTAAAATTAACTTTTTCTATTTTCAAAAAAGTGTCACTGTCACCATTTCAGCCAAGAAAGAAAATTTAATTCCTTATTATCTGAATAACATTTTTCCCTATTTTGAAACTCTGCATGAAAACATTTGCATAGGGAAACTGGGGGGGGAATTGCCATAGATGAAAAATAGATAACTTTAATCAACAATTTTTTTATTTTTCCATCTTCAATCTATGTTTTTGGTGGTATTCTAACACATGTATATGTATTGTCGGGGGAAGGTTAGACAAATGTCATAAATTGAACATCTGAAAATCAAACCAATAGAGCTTTTTAAGAATAAAAGGATACAATTTGACCTAGCAATCCCATTACTGGGTATATACCCAAAGGAATATAAACCATTCTACTATAAAAGCACATGCACACATATGTTTATTGCAGCACGATTTATAATAGCAGAGATGTGGAACCAACCCAAATGCCCATCAATGATAGACTGGATAAAATGTGGTACATATACACCATAGAATACTATGCAGCCATAAAAAGGAATGAGATCATATCCTTTGCAGGAACATGGATGAAGCTAGAAGCCATCATCCTCAGCAAACTAACACAGAAACAGAAAACTATACACCACATGTTCTCACTCATAAGTGGGAGCTGAACAATGAGAACACATGGACACAGGGAGGGGAACAACATATACTGGGGCCTGTCGGGGGTCGGGGGGGTGAGGGGAGGGAACCTAGATGATGGGTCAATAGGTGCAGCAAACCACCATGGCACATGTATACCTATGTAACAAACCTGCACGTTCTGCACATGTATCCTAGAACTTAAAGTAAAATAAATTTTTTAAATGAAATAAATTTTTAAAATGAGGATTAAAAAGCCTGCCTGTTGGTTGAAATAAAAGTAAGATAGACTCTGTCTATGGAAACAGTGGTAGAATCATTCCTGAATTATTCCAACAACAGTTTTCAACCTAATTGGTCAATCTATGCCCACCAGCAGAAACCAGTGTCACTTCTAACTGTTCCCTTCCCTCCTTTTAGAATTGGCCTTGTAACAACTCAAGGGACACACTGCCATCAACATTCCTTCACTGTAGATCATGTAACTGTTGCTTACCCTCTTATTTTAGGCTTTCTGGCTCATGCTTCACTAGAAACACTGATCACAGAACCTAAAGTAAGGTGTGCAGTGAAGGGGAGTGTTGCCTCCATTCAAATTAGAGGTAGTTCTTCCCTATTTGCTTTCTGTGTTTGCTGGGAATAATGCAGTGGGAGCAGAGGCTGGGTGCACCCAAGATAACAAAATGTCCAGACACAGAGGCTCGTTTCCTGGAGAACCTGTAAAGACCTATAAAGGTTAAAGATTGGAGTATGTATGTGGGGGGGGAGTGTGGGGGTGTGTGGGGGTGTGTGTGGGTGTGTGTGTATGTTTCAGGGCCTTGAGGTCCAGATTTTGGAGAGTGTCATTAAAATGTCTCCGGAGGGCTGGGCACAGTGGCTCACGCCTGCAATCCTGGCACTTTGGGAGGCCGAGGCAGGCAGATCATTTGAGGTCAGGAGTTCGAGGCCAGCCTGACCAACATGGTGAAACCCCATCTCTACTAAAATACAAAAATTAGCTGGGTGTGGTGGCAGGCGCCTGTAATCTCAGCTAGTCAGGAGGCTGAGGCAGGAGAATCGCTTGAACCCAGGAGGTGGAGGTTGCAGTGAGCCAAGATTGCGCCACTGCACTCCAGCCTGGGCGACAGAGTGAGACTCCCTCTCAAAATAAATAAATAAATAAATAAAAACAAAATATATCTGGAAGCCAGGCACAGTGAGTCACGCCTGTAATCCCAGCACTTTGGGAAGCCAAGATAAGCAGATCACTTGAGCTCAGGAATTCGAGCCCAGCGTAAGCAACATGGTGAAACCCTGTCTCTACTAAAAACATAAAAATTAGCCGGGTGTGGTGGTATGCATGTATAGTTCCAAATACTCTGGAGGCTGAGGCATGAGAATTGCTTGAACCCAGGAGGCAGAATTTGCAGTGACCCCGATGACAACACTGCACTCCAGTCTGGGCAACAGAGCAAGACTCCATCTCAAAAAATTTTTAAAAAGTCTCTGGATTCAGAGGCCAGACATACCTGGCCCCCATATCCGTCAACCAATTCTCTAGCAAAATTTAGTTGTATAGACAAAACATAACACCTGATGTCTTCAGCCAAGTCTCTCTACTGTGATTATACAATTCCTAATATTTTGACCAATTCTAGTGAAAACTTTTCTGCAAAATGTAGAAGATAGTGTATGAGATCTGAAAAGGCTCTGGAGTGTTCTAGTTTAGATCTCACATGTTGTGGATGAAGAACCTGTGACCTACAAGGGCTTAGGAGTTTGCCCCCAACCTGCCCAGCACACGACAAGTTAGGGGCAGCATCAGGAGCAGATCCTAAGCCTCTCCGTGACCAGGCCAAGGACTTCAGCCCAGCTAACCCTGGTCCCTCCTCTGGCCTTTGTGGGACCTCCTGTGTCAGCCACAGAGTCCTCATGTGGTTCTTGTGGCACGAGTGAAAGCATGACATGGAAATCAACGGGGTCCCTGGCTTCCTCTCATCCCAGTTCCAATGCTTATGGACCAAGAGCATAGATCTAGGATTTGGCTTCGTGTTCTCAAAAGTGGGGACAATTTTGCCTGCCCCTGCTGCTCCATATGGAAACAGAGAAAGAGCGCTGGACTGGAAGCTGAGGTGGGAGCCCCACCCCTGCCGTTTTTAGAGTATCTGTGGTTCCAGGCACTGGGACAAGTCCCTTAACTTATCTGTACTTTTCTTGACTCACCCCCAAAAAATGGGGATAATAGTGCCTGCCCTACCCATTTCTGTAAGATCAAAATGGAAAGATGTAAGTGAAAAAAGTCGTTCATGAGTTGTGAGGAGAAAATGTGAAAAGTCTGGTTTAAGACAGAGCACGGTGGGTGCTTCCCAGGGGCCATCTTAAGCGAGGTCAGCCAAAGTGGTCTGCAGTCACGTTCCCCGTGGTGGGGACACGTCAGCCTTTTCTCCAGATGGCGGCGCTCTCCGGAGGAGCCGGAGCTGGAGGGAGGCCGGTCTGGCCCGGAGCAGGGAGTCCTTCTGCTCCCTGGCACGGCTCTGCGCTGAACCCACCCGGCCTGCGGAGAGCAGACAAGTGCCTCTTGGGCCCGCTTCTCTAACAAATGTAAAAATAATGCCCTTGAACCAGGAGCGAAACTGAGCTATCTAAGGAAAACACTGTGAGCAAATACTGAGAGCCTAGGGAAACCATCTGATTAGAAGAGCTCCCCTCAGGAGCGCGTTAGCTTCACACCTTCGGCAGCAGGAGGGCGGCAGCTTCTCGCAGGCGGCAGGGCGGGCGGCCAGGATCATGTCCACCACCACATGCCAAGTGGTGGCGTTCCTCCTGTCCATCCTGGGGCTGGCCGGCTGCATCGCGGCCACCGGGATGGACATGTGGAGCACCCAGGACCTGTACGACAACCCCGTCACCTCCGTGTTCCAGTACGAAGGGCTCTGGAGGAGCTGCGTGAGGCAGAGTTCAGGCTTCACCGAATGCAGGCCCTATTTCACCATCCTGGGACTTCCAGGTAGGCACCGTGCACCCCGGGGTAGAGCCAGGTGAACCAGGTGAGCAGGGAAGGGGGCGTTTGCGTTAAGCCCCACTCCCACCTCTGGGTGAGGACCCTGGCAGCTCTGGCTCAGAATGAAAGGTGTGAATAAAAGGAGAAGCTGGCTCGTGTCTAATAGGGCAACAGTCATGCAGGAGAAAATGGGAGGGTTAATACTCAAGGCGAAGGAATCGCTAGTGAGGAGGCAGGCCTCAAGAAGAATGGGTCTATTGTAAGGGTATGTTCATGATACCTGGAATAAACTCGTGTTTCTCAAGGAGAAAATAAATTGTGTGCATTACTTGCATGTGGCTTGCTCCTGCCTGCACATACATGGGAGCAGGGAAGCAGGATGCTGAGTATTTTGTTATATCTGGAAAAGTTTATTGAGAGCTAATTTAATTTTCTTTCCATTTCAATTAAATTTTTCAAAGTTGGAGTCTCTGTGGGTGCCAAAAAGAATATTGCCATTAAATTATAAATATCCTTTTGCTGCATTTGTATTAAGAATATCTTGTATACTGTCCTAAAAATCAATGTATATCAAAATATAATTACAGAATTATAATTATATTATGTCAGAATATAAATATAATTATAAATGTGACATCCTTTCACCCCTAAAGATGAAATAAATTAAACCCCTGCTTTTAATATAGATAATTACTTCAAATATGCATCATAGCAACTTTGCATTCTGAATAATATGGGAGCTCTATTTGTATTTTTAAAATGCAAACAAGAAAATAATAGCT
Source organism: Homo sapiens (assembly GCF_000001405.40). Classification (NCBI taxonomy): domain Eukaryota; kingdom Metazoa; phylum Chordata; class Mammalia; order Primates; family Hominidae; genus Homo; species Homo sapiens. The sequence continues at coordinate 138,011,222 of NC_000003.12, forward strand.
CTAGCTAATTAGTGGCTCTAAGGGGTGGCCAAGATGTGAGTGTGATGGAGAAAGGAGAACAATGTCTCTGAAACAAATACCTTTTATAAACAAGTAGATGGAAATAAATTTGCAAGAAATTGTGAAGAGGCTGTAGAGCCCTTGAAACTGAATTGAATTGTGAAAAGCAATTCAACTAATCCAAGTTCATTTTCAGAAAGAAATAGAAGATGGGTGTCAGAGTAGAAGAATTTGATTATTTATTCCATTTTTTGGAAGCCACTTATTGCAGGACCAACAGGATGACTGACTCCGGGGAAAGACCTGCTTAGGGAAGCAAGGGAGGTAGAACCTGGCCAAAAGAAAGAGAACCAGACTGAGGAGGGATTATGCTGTAGTGGGAGGGGAGAGGTGAGATGCAGGAAATGCCACACAGAGTGTTGAGTTGCTAGTTATGTCTAATTTTAACTATCATATAAAGAAAAAATATTGTCCTCATATTCAAAATTAAGGCATGATGTCTTATGACTTCATGTTCAATAACCTCTCCCCAGGGCCCCACTACATATTATCAATCTCTTGCTCACTGTGTATCACAGTCTCCATACATGGGGCTCCTGAATATTCCCACTCTCCTAAATGGGCAAACCCCATTGCGTCCACTGTGACTTGTCACTCCTATTCTGTCAACGGATCTTATCTCCATGACACCCTCTCAGAATAGCTCCACCTCTCCCCCTTGATGGAACAAGATTATCTTCCCTGCTTTCCTGCTAAGGTCAACCTCTCCTGCTAAGGTCAACCTCCCCAGCAGGGCTCTGAAGGCCTCATGCCACCTGTCTGGGATCATGCCCTGTTGGTCAGCCCCTCTCCTCCTTGCCTCTTTCATCTCTTCTCCTCACTTATGCATATGGCCTCCTTCCTGGGGAAATCTGTTGATCCTGATCATTGTCAAGTTCTGTCTCTCTCCTGGGTCACTGACAAACCAAATTAAAAGACTAAGTTTTTCCACTACCTCTCACCCTTAACCTTTCTCAGTCTGGTTTCTATCCTTCATCTCTATAGAATGTTTGCTTTTTTGACCATAGCAGAGGATGAAGGGGAGTATTTCAGTCACCAACTCCTAGTTCTCAGTTCTCATCTCCTTAGACATTTCAAAACCCAAACAACTTCCACGGTTCCCCATTCCCAGCTTAACTAGGTGCACACATAACAGCCTGACACCAAGCCTTCCTAACCCCTCACCTACCTTCCTTGGCAGTCTCTTACTCCCCCATCCTGTTTCTTCTGTCCTTTCAGTATACCTTGGACTTGGTCCTGGACATCCATTGCTCCTGCTCCCCTGAATTCCCCCCTCCACCACCCCAACTGTCCTCTCACAAATCTTCCTCCAAACCTCCTCAAGCCCCCAAATTGAATAAAGATTCCACAAGTCTCTGTACCAAACCCAGAGCATTCTCATAGCATTGAGCATATTCACCCCGCGTGACACTGCTCTCAAATCTGAGAAGCATTTATTGCATACCTACAAAGAGTACACAACACAAAACTGGCCTTGTCGGCACCGTAAATTCCAGCAGAGGGGACAGGCATGTGTGTGAATATCAAAGCAAAGGCAACACATGTCATGGGGCTTTGACACAAGTGTTTGGAGCCCAGGAAGAAAGTGGTTATTCAGTAGGAAGAGTCAGGAGGGGAGGAAATCAGGACAGTTTTGCTAAGGGAGTTCTGTTTGAGTCTGAACTTTAGCTTACTAACTTGGTTATTTGTACATTTGTGTCATTCAGCTTCTATGTGGTGTTTCCCTTCAGCTGGATAAGAATTATTTCCCCATTTCCCAGAAAAGCGCCTGGTAGAGTGAGTATTTAGCAAAGGATTGATAAACTAAGTTGAATTAAATAGTACGAATAGTTCATTTTAAGTGTTTATGCAAGCCATTGAACTAAAAACAGGTTAAGGTCTTCCCCAAAAAGGACAGTAAATCATTTTTGTACTATAAATTTTTTGTTATTATGGCTCCATATATAGAAAAGGACCTGGTCCTCCTCCTGCCTGGAACAGATTCATTTGTTCATCCAATCATGTATTTAACAAATATCTCTTGCATGCCTACTGTGTTGCAGAGACTAGAGTTCAGGAACTCTATTAGTCAGAGTAGTTAATGTCTGCTGCTGCAACAAACAAACCTAAACATCTCAATGGCTTGACACAACAAAAGTTTACTTCCTGCCCACATAAAGTCCACTGTGGGAAGAGCAGCCTCCTTGTAGCTACACTCTTCAAAGTTGCTGGGGCAAGAGAAGAAAGGCTTGAAGGAGGCACAACAGTTCTTAACTGCTTCAATCTGAAAGGAACACATGTCACTCACAGTGCGTTGGCCACAACTAGCCATATGGCCCCAGGAGCTGGGAGATGTAGGAGCACATAGCTATTGGGTGAGCACCTACTGTCTCTACCACAGGGAGCATTTGAGTAGTAACTTCCTGGGCTGCAACACATCAACCACACTAATTTCAGTTCTGCCAGACAGATAATTCCCTGAACATCAAATAGTCAAAACCAATGAGATTGCAAAAGAAGATATACCATTAATTTATATTTAAACAAATATGATAGAATTATATGTGTAAACTATCATCTGACACAAGATAATATATAGCGTGTAATTTCAGAGCTAGACATTTTGGTGGGGATGGCCTGGAATCAGGAAAGAGGAGGGGTTTAAGGTAAATTTCTGCAATGTAAAAATTCCCTAACATTTAATAACAGAGGAATGTAAATATGGCCATGGGGGTGGGGGCGGAAAGCACATTTTTTTCAAAAAGTAAGGAGGAAGAAAGGAACAGTGGGTGAGGGAGAGAGGGAGGGAAGGTGAGAAGGAAGAAAGTAGAGAGGAAGAGAGGGAGGAAGAGAGGTGGGAGAATTGGTGATGCTAGGTACTTTTATTCCGTGTCAGGCCAGACAAAGAGCTCTTAGAGAGAGAAGCCAGTTGCCACTCATGGAACCCTGAGATGTTTCAGACCCACGAAAGGAGAGGTCCTTGGCTCTCTGAGAAGGATTTTAGGGAAGCTGGAAGAAATGACTTTCCTCAAATCCCAGCTGGAGGACAGCAAATGTGAATGTCAGGGCCAGTAGCCATGCACTGAGGGCTCTTGGAAACTGTTGGTCACAACACCATCTATTGGTAAGCTCTGTCGGTGGTAAGATTGTGGCCAGAGGACTCTGATGTGCCCGTCTTGCATCTCCTACAAAACCCAGCATGGCACACAACAAGCATAGGGGGCTGGGGGAGGGGGAAGTCGGTGCTGCTCTGTGTCCTGTCTCCCAATTGTGCTGTGAAAAACCAAGCTGGACTGAACCACCATGGGAACTGGGGGATAGTTCCCAGCAGCCACCACAGAAGTATACCCCAGTTCTGCCTATCTGAGTTGAGGGAAGAGGATTTCACCAAAAGCCAGAAAAAAACACTTCTTGGGATTGAGTTTGCAGAAAAGGAGGTACTTGAAATCACTGAAAATCTGTGGCCTTCAAGAAGACTGTGGACTTAAAAGCAGACAGTCCTCATGCAGCAGGAGTGGCTACACTACAAATTGGCACCCCAAAATACAAATATCTATTTGATGACTTAGATAAGGAATGGGCAGGAGCTGGGAGTGGTGACTTACCCCTGTAATCCCATCACTTTGGGAGGCTGAGGTGGGAGGATTGCTTGAGGCCAGGAGTTCAAGACCAGCCTGGGCAACAAAATGAGATCCCATCTCTACAGTAACAAAATTTTTTAAAACTAGCTGGGCACAGTGGTGTATGCCAGTAATCCCAGCTACTCAGGAGGCTGTGGCAGGAAAATCACTGGAGCTGGAGTTAGAAGCTGCAGTGAACTGTGATCATGCCACTGCACTCCATCCTGGGCAACAAAGTGAAACTCCATCCATCTCTAAAAATAAAATATTTTTAAAAAAATATTTAAAGAGTGTAAGAATGGGCAGGAAGATTACCAGGAGGAAAAGGCTTGAAAGAAACTCAAAAGCTAAAGGCAACAATGCAAGGAGATAAAACAGCCCGAGATGACACCTGTGGGGCTCCTAAAGGAGCTGGAAGGAGTAACAACGAGCCAGGACCTAATGCCTAACTTCTCATCAGAAACAGCTGTGTAAAGTATTTTCTTGTGCTTAACGAGGAAACTGGGGAAGAGAGACCTGAAGCAGAGGAGCTGGATGAAATGCCTGGAGGGAGAAATGTAAGTTTGCAATGATTCTCCCAGAGAGTTTAATTTTGACCTAGAACCCAGAAAAGTATCACTCTTTAGCAGAGAAGTAAGCCTTAAAGTGTTTACAGAAAGGCAAAAAGCAGATACCTATAATACTTTAGTTAATAATCATAATTATCACTGGGTACAGTGGCTTGCACCTGTAATCCTAGAAATGCAGGAGGCTGAGACAGAAGGATCATCACTTGAACCCAGAAATTCAAAGCCACGGTGATCATGCCACTGCACTCCAGCGTGGGCAACAGAGCAAGATCTCACCTCAAAATATATACATAAATAAATAATTATAATAATCATTGCCAGTTATTAAATTCTTCCTAAGTGCAATCTCTGTTCTTGCAAAATCTCACTTAACTTTTCATTCGTCTGACAAAAATGTATCATCATGTCTCTTTGGAACTTACAGCTATAGAAGAATGTAATTCAATGCAACAAGTTGTATTGTATAAACTACAGATAGATTAATGAGGTAAATGGTGGTGGTAGCAGGACTGTATACTTGTATATTACCAGCTCTGTATAACTGATACCTCAAGATTCAATCTCATTGTATTCTACACAGTCAATACAGCATGCAGTACTCTGAGGACAGTGCCAGAAATAAAAATAACTACTATTTATTGAGCTGCATATTGGCTCTTCAGCTTAATCTTTACAAAAATCAGGAAAATATGTATTAGCTTTAGGTTTAAAAAGTTGAAAACTGAGGCTGGGGGTGAGGGAAGGACATGCCCAAGGCCTCGTGGATAGAAGATGGCAGAAACAGGAAGTGAACACAAGGCAAAGCTTCTAAGTCTGCATCCTTTTCCCCTGCCCAGACCCTGTTTCTAAAGGCAGGAATGGGCTGCCTTTAGAATTGAAGAGCTTGGTCTAGGCTTGAGCACAATAAGCGCAGAGGGTATATGGGGGTTGACCCATTTGTAACAATATAATCAATGATGTGAAATTAGGAGTATGAATTAAGTTTAAAGCATGGATGACCTGCATCCCATTCACACATGCCTTCCCTGGAAACAGTAGAAGGGATGAGCAAAGGGCCAAAAATGAGCAGAGTGGAGAGGGGGCAAAGATATGGCAAACTCATGTCCCTGGCTCCATCATGTCCCTGGCTTGACATCACAGTCAAGTAATGCTTTTTCTAAAGTGTTTGCAAACATTTGGGCTAAATTTGGTAAAGTGGTAAGCCTTACAGTTAGAGGGAAGTGAGCTGGAATCAAGGGCACAATTTGGCCACCTACATATCTGGACCTCACTTTCCCCATTTGTGAAATGCCTCACAGTAAGACATTTATATGAAAGTGCTGGGCCGGGCTTGGTGGCTCACTCCTGTAATCCCAGCACTTTGGGAGGCCAAGGCGGGTGAATCACCTAAGGTCAGGATTTCGAGACCAGCCTGACCAATATGGTGAAACCCTGTCTCTACTAAAAATATGAACAAATTAGTCAGGCATGGTGGCATGCGCCTCTAGTCCCAGCTACTAGGGAAGCTGAGACAGGAGAATTGCTTGAACCCAGGAGGCAGAGGTTGCAGTGAGCTGAGATCGCGCCACTGCACTCCAGCCTGGGTGATAGAGTGAGACTCTGTCTCAAAAAAAAAAAACAAAGAAAGAAAGTGCCCTGTGACCCATTTACAAGATCTAGCTCTTGGTATCACTAAATCATCACTGCTGTGTCTACATCACTCGGGGCTCTCAGTTAGGACATTTGTTCTTCTAGCCTTTTTTTCCTCCAAACTCAAAAACATTTTATGAATTCAAATATCCAAAGTAAAGATCACTTAAGGTTCTGTGTTCTCCCTTCCCATCCCCATCCTACCCGTGTTCTGAGCACCTCACTATATCCCAGCCCCTTTGCAGGCACTGAGGGTCTTGATTTTTTTTTATATGACTATCTACATTTTCCCCTTTCTGCTTCAGTGTGTAAAAACAACAGCCACTGGAGAGTTACAGAGTTTCCTATCAACCTATAAATCATATTTACAGACACAGGAATGAAGTTTTAAACCAAACCACATTTAACCAGAGAACAGTTTCACAAAACCTTCACAAAATCTAAATCAAAAATCCATAAGGGAAAAAAATGAGACTTCTCATAAGTATCATTTTTAAAGGAGCTTGTCTGTTTATTTCTCGCTATTGGCTGAATGGTTTCACTGGTTGCGAAACCAGTTTGTCTTTCCCCATTTTCTGGTAGAGGAAACCAGCCCTAGAAGGTGAAGTGATTATAAGTTAGTTATAAAGTTGGGGAGTCTATTGGTTTTCAGTCAAGCTGCTTTCCCTCTCTTCAAAAGAGAAAAATATTTCAGCATCAGCATGCCTCTTCAAATATGTAGACAAACATCTAAATGTTTACACGTTATTGTACATATGAAGAAGACACCACAGGGAGCTGAGAATGGGCCTACACAGCTCAAGAGAACCTGCAACTTAGGTAAATGAGGCTGCTTGCCCTGATTTCTCAATGAGAAAAGCTAGGAACCAGAATGCCTGCTCAGCTTGTGGCTGTAGTGGTCCCCATTTAGATGGCAGAGGCAGCTACCACAAAGCATCATGCCCTAGGATGGCCTAGTCAGTGGTGCAGCATCATTTCATGGTGGGGAGACACATCATCAGAGTTGTAGTTGCATCTCACCTTAGAGGATGTCTTAGATGGTTCCTGCTGCTATAAGAAGATTATCTTAGGTTGGGTAATGTATAAACAACAGAAATTTATTCTCACAGTTCTGGAGGCTGGGAAGTCCAAGATCAAGGTGTCAGCAGATTCCATCTGGTAAGGGTTCACGCTCTTCAAAGATAGTGCCTTTTGTTGTGTCCTTATATGGCAGAAGGGACAGAAGGGCAAAAGAGACAAACAGGCTCCCTCAAGGCCTTTTTTTTTTTTTTTTTTTGAGACGGAGTCTCGCTCTGTCGCCCAGGCTGGAGTGCAGTGGCGGGATCTCGGCTCACTGCAAGCTCCGCCTCCCGGGTTCACGCCATTCTCCTGCCTCAGCCTCCCAAGTAGCTGGGACTACAGGCGCCCGCCACTACGCCCGGCTAATTTTTTGTATTTTTAGTAGAGACGGGGTTTCACCGTTTTAGCCGGGATGGTCTCGATCTCCTGACCTCGTGATCCGCCCGCCTCGGCCTCCCAAAGTGCTGGGATTACAGGCGTGAGCCACCGCACCCGGCCCTCAAGGCCTTTTATAAGGCCTCAACGTCATTCCTGAGGGTACCTCCTACAGACTTCACCTCGTAGTAGTATTGCATTGGGGATTACGTTTCAACATATAAATTTTGGAGGGAAACACACATTCAAATCATAGCAGAGGTGAAGAGGAAGGTCAATGAGGATAGAAACCCACCTATGCTGCCTCTCCCATCAGCTAGCTCCCTGCTCATTGAGGGTCTTCTGTCCATTTTTCCTGATCTTCTCCACTACTTAGATGCTGCTAGATTCAGGCCTTTCTTTTCTTCTTTTCAAATTTTCTTCCCCTCTTGCCCATAGCAATTCACACACCTGGCTGTTTCAAATCCTCAACCATATTTTATCATTATGTGAGAGGATTCACATTTGTATACAGTTAGTACAAGTCAAAGCTTTGTGGAGTTGCCAAGGGATACGTTGTTTTTAGGGAAGGAGAGGAAACTGATATTTATTGAGCCTGGCTTAGGTTTATGCCAAGTAGCATCTGATCCTCACAGATCTATGCAAGAGATATCTTTGACTACCTCCAGAATTGAGGACTTGTTTTCACTGAGCTTAAATGACTTACCTAATAACACTCACCTGGTATCACATTGTTCTGTAGAATTTTACAAGGTACAAACGACCTCTGTGTCGATTCCCTGGAATCTCCAGAGAATCTAGCCTCTCCCATATTATTCTCAAGAGCATTTCCTCTGGGGTCTGGCCTCAGACTACCATCTTCTGAGCTCCCCGACTTTGGGCTCCTCCATTAGCCCTCTTATCTCCAGTCTAGGACCAAGCTATGCCTGAAGGTATGGCTCCTCCCATCCGCCTACTCCACCAGGGCCCCAGTCCAGGCCTTTGGCTGCTGGTGAACTGCTGTCCCATCATCCTCACTCCCACTTCCACTTAGTGATGCCAGCTCCTGAGAACCCTCTTTCAGTCCAACTCTCCACTCTGAGTACCTCTGCTGAGCCCTTCTTGAAAGCTGTTGTCTCACATTATTCCTTGAAATTTTGCTTTGAATAATTAAATGAAAATCTCTGGGGATGAGAACAAACATTAGTATTTCTTTAAAAGCTCCCCCAGAAGATGCTCAGGTGCAGCCTGTGTTGAAAAAAAACCACACCTAAGGGCACCTCACCTGTCAGTTCACAGCTACTTGGGGAATTAAGGTATTTTGCAACAGGAAGGGAACACTGAGTTCCTATTTTTCTGTTTGCTTCTTTCAGCCCTGAATCCTGCCCACCCTTCAGGTCTGATAACACTTCATTGTTCATTGGGAAGAATGCTGTAGTCACACCTTTGGTGCAGGGAATCAGGCTTTAGAGCCTGTTGACTCACCTGTTATCAGCTGATAAGCCTCTTGATCAGAATATCAAGTAAGAGACAGAATGGCTAAAAGAGAAACCTACCTGCTACTTGCTTTGTGGCAGTTTTCTCTGTTTACTTATCGATAGAGAAGATTAGGATCCCAGAGGGTAGGACCATGCAGGTGCAGGGGAAGGTGAGTTTACCACCATGAATCTCCGTGGTCATTACTAGACATAGGGGGTTTCTGGCAATGAGCAGTGGAGCCAATTTCCTCCCACTTACTGGCACCTGCTCCCATGACAGTTGCCAGTGGGACCAAGACTGTTGATCGTTGTTTGTAGAATTCTCTTCCCAGCAAAGAAGCAAAGTTAAAATCAGAAGTTTCTTTAGGAGAAGAGAATCAGAATCAAGTATATGGAGATCAATGGGATAGAACTAGAATAGGTGGACACTGTCATTCATACTTCAGACAGATATCTGGTGAGAAGGCTGCTAGGGCCTCTGCTCCTCAGATATTGCAGGAGGCACTTTAACAAGTTCTACATTATCTAACTCTCCTTTTTCAAAATTTCTCATTGATTGCCGATTCTTCTGGCATGAAAAATTGCTTTATGATACATACACACCTTAGAGTGAATATGCTGGCAGCTCCACTGATGTTAGCTGTTGTAGGAGAGGGAAATCTTCCCAAGGTGACTGGAGAGAGTTCTCTCCCAGGACTGCTGGAGGAGATGGGAATGCTGTCATCTTGAGAGTTACATTTATAAATAATCTACCAGGCCAGCTTATTCCCTAAGAAGATTTGGAGAATGTTTTCTTCCACATTCTTAGCATCCATTTCGGAGGATGATAGTTTATGGTTGAGTCTCCAAATTTGGAGGATACATTCTGTAAGAGTATACAGATCCTTGTACCTTGATGGAAGCCAGGACTTTACCTGTTTTTCCAGAATAAGGTGCCTCAAAACAATGTGCTGTGATGGAAAAGTAATGATTTTGAGGCAATTTTGGATTTGACTCCCAGCTCTGCCTCCTTTCCCTTGGTGTGTGTCCTTAGGCAAGTTACCTCACGTGAGTCTCCATTTCTTCAACCATAAAATGGGTGATAATTTTATTACTTACATTGTAGGGGTTTTTTCCCCATGGATTACATTTTTGAATGTCTGAAAATTCCTTACTAGCTTTCACTAAAAAGTAGCAACTGCCTATGAAAACTAGGGCTGGACAGAACTCTGTTTTGTTTACAGTTTCCTCTGAGCCCTTTGCCTACAGCCCTATAGGCAGATTCCCTCAGTATCTCCTTCAAAGAGAAAAAAAAAAAGTGTTAAGCATTTCTCCTGTTTTTTTTCCATTCCCAAATTTTAATTTTGCCTGGATGTTATTAACTGGTCTCACTGAGGGTAGGAATGACACCTCCTTTGAATGTACCCCACAAGCCCCTTCTAGTTAAAACTTGGCAAGGTCTCCATCTGCATTTCTAGCTGGCTTCTGACTTGCTCCCTTGGGTCTAGGTAACAGGAGGAGCCTCATTAGGGTTTTGTTTCTCCTTTTTAAAAAATTCCTTCCTGGAAAACTACCCACCAGGATGCTAAAGGTGGCTATCTCCAAGAGTTGGAATAACAGGTTATTGTTTTTCATTTCCTGTTTATGGTTTTCTATACATCCTGAAATTTTTATATTGAACAGTTATTGCTTATATAACTAGGGAAAAAAAATCAGCAATTTCCCAAAAAAGAAAAATTATGCCCTTTACCTCTTCTCTGACACCACACTGTGGAATGCGATGTCTTTGCAGCCATAAGACTTGGCATGAGAGGTCCCCTCACATCTGCAAGGGGCTTCAGCAGCACTCTGGTAATGGCTTCGAACCTGGAGGGGTGGAAACTCTCCAAAAACAATAAGACTTTAAAGGTTAGCATGTCTAGACACTGATGAAACCATCTTCCATAAGTTAGAACCACTTGATTTCAAGTAACAGAACCCCAACCTGAATTAGTTCAAACAGGTAGGGATTTAAAAATAATAATAATAACAATGGTGCTGGGATAGCACCTGAAACCTAAGGAAGGAATGTATGTGGACCATAGGAAAAGCTGGAGTCAGGAGCTCAAACACTGTCAGGGCTCTCTACCTCACTGTTGGGTTTCATCTGCTTGCCATTATACAGCAGCTCACCACCTGAAGGAAACCACGGACTCCCAAGGACAGCATCTTACACTTTCAGCCCCTGGAGAGAGACTGGCCTGATGCTCTCTGTGTCCAGCACAAACATTCTGTATAAGGGTCTCATCTGCCCAGTTTGACTCAGATGCCCATGCTGGATTAATTTGCCATGGTCAAGGGCACCAGGTGTAAAGTCTGGGCCTGAGAGATCAAGGTCAATATTACTACTCAAAGTAGGGCCTGTGTACCAAGCTGGCCCACAAACTATGTGTTACCCACCTGAAGAGTTCTGGTACCGAAATCAAGAATAAATATTTCTAAACATTTATAACAATTTGACATGCCTGTGACACTCAAGCAGGTGATTTTGTATTTTGTCAGGATGTCAATTTGTGACAGATTAGAAATTTAAATTTTTAAGTAGTTTGAAAAGCACTGATGTAAGACACAGCAACTCCTTCAGAAATCACGGACTTAAGAGGAAAAAAGGGGATATACTGGAGGGATAAAACAATTGGTGTCTAGCACATAAGCATCTCCACACAGTTTTGCAGTTCAGCTCCACCAGACCAACCACACTAGGGGCCTTGCCTTCTGGAACACATGAAGGACTAATTTGTCTTCCTTGTTAAATTAATTATACTTGTAATAGACATGCTTAGTGACTGTCATTCGCCACTTTGGCATAAGCTCCATGACAACAGAGACCATGTCTGACCTGTTGTTAACTACTGTCATCCCATGGCCAGTCAGGAGGGCTCAGTAAACAATTGTTGCTATGAGTCACTGCAATTTAAGGATGCACTAGAAACAACTTTGGATATATCTGGAGGTGAAGGCACTGCAGAAGAGTCCCTGTAGGGCCTATAGCTATGACTGATTCCTAGAAAGGAAACTGCTGATAAACTGTAGTCTAGATGAAAGGCCTAATATTGTTATATTGTTTTATATACATCTGAAACCTACAGCTCACCATAATCTTAGTAGTTCCTTCTGGAAAGGGACAAAATTGAGTATCCTTGGTATATCACTTAGCAACCTTGACTTCATCATATGCAATAAATGAATTCCGGGTTTCCTAAAGTGGACACAACTATGTGAAACTTTTAGCGCATATGGAAACACAAGAGAAGAAAAATATTTAGGTTAGAAGTCACAGCTATAAGCTCTATCAGTAATTTGAACTCTTACCTTAGGCAAACTATTTTCCCCTTTCCAACCCCCAGATTATCAAGCTTTAAAAATGAGGAAGCTGAAATAGATACAATCCAAGGGCCCCCCCAAGTTCCAACCATCCATAATTCTCTGATTCTGAAGACATCTGAGTGCATGTCCTTCATCAGTCAGAGAATTGTAAGCAATGTATTTTGTATTTCCCACAATTCCACATCCTTTGACAATGGCAAGGTTCACAGTTTATGGACTTTGCTGTCTCTCAGAGGTTTGGTGCAGGTTAGTTGTGGTTGCTTTGTTTTATTAAACCACAGCCTAATCAAGTGTGCTGAGTTGGTCTTATTTGTCTGCTTGTGTCTTGCCCCTTGTCCCACAGCCATGCTGCAGGCAGTGCGAGCCCTGATGATCGTAGGCATCGTCCTGGGTGCCATTGGCCTCCTGGTATCCATCTTTGCCCTGAAATGCATCCGCATTGGCAGCATGGAGGACTCTGCCAAAGCCAACATGACACTGACCTCCGGGATCATGTTCATTGTCTCAGGTAAACACAGAGCCTGGAGTTCCCACTTCTGCGAATGTCAAAGCAAAATTATTCTGGTAGAGAAAACATGACTCCTCCCTACTGCTGAATGTGGTTCAGAACTTTTCATACTGAGATTCATGATCTGAGTGTGGAGGTCCAATTGTGTATCATGAGTACTAAGGTCCTTCTTAGCTGCCACTCCAACCCCAATATAAGAGGTTCTTAGCTGGGTGCAGTGGTTCACATCTATAATGTCAGCACTTTGAGAGTCCAAGACAGGAGGATCACTTGAGTCCGGGAGTTCAAGACCAGCCTAGGCAGCATTGTGACACCCTATGTCGATTAAAAGAAAATTTTTTTATTAAAAAAAAAAAACTTAGTTAGCTTTTGAATCTTAACTTAAGCTGAAAAAAAAGAGGTTCTCAACCCTAAAAGAGTCATGTGACTTGATCCCTAAAAGGCATTTTCTTGGCGAGGCTTTAGAAAACGATTTTAAGGGAAGATACTTTGACATTACCAAAGAACCAGACTGAAAATATTTGGAATATTGAGCCTTGGTCCCAAGATGCATGAAAAATTTCTTTCTGTACACACACATATCCTTCCACAATTAGCGATATAAAACATTCTAAGCACCTATCACAATATTTAGCACATAGCAAGAATTCAATAATCAATGCTTGGTTATAGGGATACAATATTCTGCAGCCTACTCATCTAAACTCATCTAGGCATAAACTGCCTCAGAAACATTGTAATCCCTTGAAACTAACTCTGGAGTTTTCTTTTTCTTTGCCCACAGGTCTTTGTGCAATTGCTGGAGTGTCTGTGTTTGCCAACATGCTGGTGACTAACTTCTGGATGTCCACAGCTAACATGTACACCGGCATGGGTGGGATGGTGCAGACTGTTCAGACCAGGTAACCTCCTAATCTAGGTCTCGGCATTCACCATGATGAATATTGTTATAAGAATCTGATTAAACACATGCACCTAATGTGACTGTCAGTGCCTGAAATAGCAAAAATTATCAGAGACAACCATGCCATATCATAAATCAACAATCACCTGTAAATTCATAAACTTCATTTCAGTGAAATATCCTTGGTGATATGACTTGAGGCTGATCTGACATTTGCATTGAAATACAGTGACAGTTCATAGTATTTATCTAACACTCTTACATAAGCCCCATTGTGGTGGCAATGAAACAGGCACTATTAACCCAGGCAAGTAAATGAACATCAACTTACATCTACAGTCCATAACTGGAACCTGGCTAGGAACAGGGAAACGTTTGAATAGAAATTAGCAAGGTGAAGTATGGGTGAGAAAAGTGATGTTCCTTCCTGGTATAGCTGCCTCTTTCTCTCATTCATTAATTCATTTATTCTACAAATGTATTGATCACCTGCTGTAAGCCAAGACATGTTCAGAGTGCTGGAGATACAAAGTCCCCACTCTCACAGGGGGTACAGTCTGGCAGAGGGAGATGAAACCCCACTACGATTTGGTGTCTGAAGGAGAGTAGAACTTTTAAAAGATGGAAAAGCAATACCAACGCCCATATTCATTTAGTCACTTTAAAGGGATAGATCTCATAGCAAGAAGCTGGAGCAAATTCCTGAAAAAGAAAGATCTTGTTCTTGAGAAGAAATATAAATATTAGACCTCAGTGACCTGTCATCTCTGGATCATGCACTTGGCATTTTTCCAGCCACACCAACATGGGGTACAGACGGAGAGGGAGGGTGTGATAAATCCATTACCCTCTGGCTCCCTGGAACTCCAATCCCCATTCATTTTTCTGCTTTATTTCAAGAATGTAAAGGAAATGATCCCCAAAAACTTCCCTGATCCTACTCATGGTCTCTTAGTTACAGGTGCAACTTAGAAGTAGGTTGACCAACTCATTCCAGTCTGCCTGGGACTTTCCCAGTTTTAGCATTATGGGTTCCACATTCTGGGAAACCCCTCTATCATGGGCAAACAAGAATGATTGCTCACCCTACTTAGAAAAGCCCACCTTTCCCAGAGTATTTGGGTGCCTGGGGTCATTGCCCTTGCCCAGAGGAGCCATCTACCAGCCACTTTGCAGTTAGCACTAATGCCTGCCATCACTCTCTCACATCATCTCCCTAGCACCAGCTCCTGTCCCACAGGCAGGCAGCTTCAGTCCTGGAATTAAGACTATAGAATTCTGAAAGGCCTCCTGAACTTCTCCCTCCATGGATGGGCAGCTGTCTTTCCCTTTCTTTTGTCTTCTCATTTTCTCCACCCAGAAGTCTTACAAGACAGCCCAGCTGCCAAGAAAGACCTTGGCAGTAACCTTGATGGAGCTTTGGTTCCAGTGCCCCACTTGGTCCTGGGACCCCCCTCCTTCTCCTGTTCCCCGACTCTGTTATTGCCGTGTTGTATGTAACAGTGGCAGAGCCTAAGCCCCTGACTAGAGCTGCAAACTGCCTGCCCTCACACTGTACACAGTCTGCAAGGTGTTTTGTATAAAACATTTCATTTTATAATCTGAACCAATTACCAACTTCTAAAAATTAGAAGGGTTAGGCTGGGCGCGGTGGCTCACGCCTGTAATCCCAGCACTTTGGGAGGCCAAGGTGGGTGGATCACAAGGTCAGGAGTTCGAGACCAGCCTGGTCAATATGGTGAAACCCCATCTCTACTGAAAATACAAAATTAGCTGGGCGTGGTGGCAGGCGCCTGTAGTCCCAGCTACTTGGGAGACTGAGGCAGGAGAATCACTTGAACCTGGAAGGCAGAGGTTGCAGTGAGCCGAGATCGCACCACTGCACTCCAGCCTGGGTGACAGAGCAAGACTCCATCTCAAAAAAACAAACAAAAAAAAATTAGAAGGGTTAAGGGCTGGTTTTCTCAGAAACAGATCCTGAGAAGAGGATCCCAGTGCCAGAGTTCTTTAAGAAAAGGGAGATGGTTAGTGGGTGAAGGAAACAGGGACGGGAAGGAAGGGAAGCCAAGCACGGGCGTGATTTCAGGTGAAGCCCTGAACTCAGCCTGATCCTGAGGAGAGCTGTGCAGTGTGAATTATACGCCAGAGTTGTCTCAACTCCAAACTAAAGAGCTGAGCTTTCATACCTCGGTGCCAGTCAGTCCCTGGGGGCAGAGTGGCTTCAGTGGCTAAACCAAAGCCAGAATTCCAGAGGCAGCCACAGGGGCCAGCAGGTAAAGGAAAAGGAATACACAAGCTGGAGAAGAGACCCACAGAAACGGTTAAAGGGTAGAGCACCACTAGTGCCTACTACAAGGAGACTTCACCCCACACACACATACACATACTCTGCTTTTCCAGCTTTGTGTAAAAAATCAGAAGATCTGGCAGCATTACACTGGGCCCTCATTCTCATATGACCTCCATCTCTGCAGCTGAGAGGCAGCTGCCCTTTTGGCTAGGACTCACTCTGTCCAGTTTACCACAATCCCCACTATGCCCAAATAGCCCAACTCATGCTTATAGGGATTTTTCCCATATATTACAGTTGAAAAAATGAAATATGTTCTTCTATCTAGCTCACTTCACATTTAAGTTTCTTGCCTGTCCCAGGTAAGTATTTAGGTTTGCTAACCTTGACCCAGAGTGTCTAAGTTGAGGAAAAGGACTTTGTCCCTCATGCTCAGAAGATGCATTAACAATGAGAGTTTTGAAGGCAAAGTGACCTGAATTTGAATCCTGATGATATCGTGTCCTTCCTGGGTCATTGGAGAAGTTACTTAACCTTGCTGAGCCTCAATCTCTTCATCTGTAAAATGCAAGTGACAAATACTATCACAGTGGCTATTGGGAGAATTAAACAAGATAGTGGTAAAAAAGTGCTTATCACAATATCAGTAAGGGCTTAATAAATGGTAGCAATTGTTGTTATCATCATTAGCATTAAGCAATCACTCAACCATCCATAGGGGTATCAAGGACAGGGGCTCTGTCTGTGTCAGGGCCCATGGACCAGAGCTGTCAGCAGGAAATCACCTAGGGACCCCCTAGGAGAAGCCCCAGGAAAAGATCCGCTGTTCAGCTCCCAGCCACACTGGGTAGGATGAGGGGGCAGGGCTCTTCATGCCAAGGCAGAAGCCCTTAAACCAAATTTCTGTCTTTTTCCCAGTCCAAGGAAATAAAAATAGCCTACAGGTAAATGTTCTCCCAGAACTTTTTCAAGGACTGAGCTCAGTCAACTATACTTGATCATGAAGCTTACATTGTTTACTTTAATCCTGCTAAAGTGTGTGTGCTTTCTTTTTTTTTTTTTTCTTGAGACGAAGTCTCACTCTGTTGCCCAGGCTGGAGTGCAATGGCGCAATCTCGGCTCACTGCAACCTCCGCCTCCTGGGTTCAAGCAATTCTCCTGCCTCAACTTCCCAAGTTGCTGGGATTACAGGCACCTGCCACCACACCTGGCTAATTTTTGTATTTTTAGTAGAGACGGGGCTTCACCATGCTGGCCAGGCTGGTCTCAAACTCCCTACCTCAGGCAATCTGCCTGCCTCGGCCTCCCAAAGTGCTGGGATTATAGGCGTGAGCCACCACACCCAGCCAATGTGTGTGCTTTTAAAGCACATCTAAAGTATTGTATTTTCTTAGGTTGCAGAGGTTTGCACACATATTACTTGTCTTCCTATTGTTGGTATAACGTTCTTAGCTTGTGTCGTAGACTTTAAACATATTAGTAATTCACAGAGTTCTACAAACAGTCCCCATGCTCTTTGAGGAACACAAAGGGAAACTTCCAAGAGAAGGCACTCCTTTTCCATGCTGAGCTCTCCTTTTCTGCAGAACTCATGGAGCCGGAAATCAAGTTATCAGCTGGCATTAAAATACGCACTGACATCCTAATAGTTTTTGGTCACTTGAAGAAGGATACTGCTCTCCACCATCCAAAAATATCCATTTGGGATCACAATTATTTTTTTCTCAGGAGATTTTGTTCCCAATCCTGATCTGATGTAATTGAGTCCCATTGGAGGCAGCCCCCCTAGGCAAAGGGCACCAGCTTTGGAGTCAGACCACCCCAAGTTAGAATTCTCTTGTGAGCTGGAACAGAAGCACCACGAGCACAGGGTCTCTGTCTACCTTGTTCGCCCTGTGTCCCAGTACCAGGGCAGGGCTCTGCACATAGTAGGAGCTCAATAAAGACTTGTTGAACAAATAAGTAAAGACATCAATAAAAGAATGAATAGTCACTTCAACTTAGTTCCTTCTGAAGGTAATAGCTCTACCTGCATGGAGGGTTGTAAGGATTATTTGAGATAAGTTAAGATGACTACTCGTTGGCCCATACTGAGAACTCAAAGAACTAAAATTCCTTCAGAAATAATAACTTGAGATTGATTTTTTTTTTCAGAGTCTCGCTCTGTTGCCCAGGCTAGAGTGCAATGGCACAATCTCAGCTCATTGCAACCTCCACCTCTCAGGTTCAAGGAATTCTCGTGCCTTAGCCTCCTGAGTAGCTGGGATTACAGGCGTGCACCACCACACCCAGCTAATTTTTGTATTTTCAGTAGAGACAGGGTTTCACCATGTTGGCCAGGCTGCTCTTGAACTCCAGACCTCAGTTGAAACTTGGCCTCCCAAAGTGCTAGGATTACAGGCATGAACCACTGTACCCAGTCGAGATTGATTTTATATCTTTCAAATTTCTCTTGCCAAACCTTCAAGACACTTTCTTTTGCCAGTAGAGAGGGGAGGGAGATTTCTTGAGATGTGTCACAGAGATAAGATTTATAATTTTATGGTTGAGTGATGCTAGAATCCCCCTGCTGTTTTGCCCCCTAACTTTAGTCCCAATTCTACTCTCCAGGGTACCTGATCAGTTGGCTGTGACCCACAGGAATGTGTGTTCAGGGGCATGGTCAGGGATGGATGTGGAATCCAAAAGTGGGGACAGAAAGAACAGGCACAGCCAGGTGCAGTGGGTGGAGCCTGGAGAGTTGAGTCAACCATATTGACAGCCACCATCTCCCTACCCAGGTACACATTTGGTGCGGCTCTGTTCGTGGGCTGGGTCGCTGGAGGCCTCACACTAATTGGGGGTGTGATGATGTGCATCGCCTGCCGGGGCCTGGCACCAGAAGAAACCAAGTGAGTCTCCCTGTTCCGCTGCAACCAGACGTTTTATTTGTTCAGGGTCTATTTTAATGTATAACTTGCAGCCAAAAAAAAAATCAGTCTAGGTATATGGATGAACTTTATTTGACTTAAGGATTATCGAAGCTTCTCTTTTAGGGGGAACCTAAAGAACAGAATGGGAATATTTCAGCCTAGACTGATTTAAATGTGATCCTATTTGAAAGAAAAATCCATCCTTCTTTGTTCCTTCTGAGATTGTTTTGTAACTCCATGGTTCTCAACTAGGAGCAATTTCCCCCCCAGGGGATATCTGGCAACACGTGAAGACATTTTTAACTGTTACAATTTTGGGAGGGTGGGGGAAAGTGATACTGGCCTCTGGCGGGTAGAGGCCAGGGATGCTGCTGAACACCCTACAGTGCACAGAACTGTGCCACAGCAAAGAAGCATCTGTTCCAAAACGTCAACAGTGCTGCTGCTGAGAAACTCTGCTGTAACTTCCTAAATTGAACTGGTGTGGGGACAGCTGGATTCCAGTGTGGTTCTGCTACTGACCAGCCCTGTGACCTCCAGCAGGTTGTTTGCCCTCTCTGTGCCTCTATCACCTCATCCATGAAATGAGCAGCTTGAGGCAATGGGCTGAACGTAGGTACCCTCCAGCTCACAAATTCTATGATCCTTTGACGTAACAATGTTCCCCTGGACATTGTTTCTGGTTCAGCTGTATTTTTATTGATTGAAAGAGGGAACTCATTAGTTACCGAGGATTTGGGGATACCTCTCTCCACCATCCAAAAATGTCCATTTGGAATCACAATTATTTTATTCTCAGGAGATTTTGTTCTCGGCTCAGCAAAGCTCTAAAACAGTGCAAGAACTTCTGTTCCACTGCAGAGGCAGTAAAACCAGTGTACCAAAAACTAAGGTTACTAACTATCCTGGTTTGCCCCGGACTGATGGGTTTCCAGGGACACTGGACTTTCAGTGCCAAGACTGAGACAGTTTATGGTAAATAGGAGGTTGGTCCTACTAACAAAGACATCTACAATCATGGAATGTTTATTTTTCTTTCAGCTACAAAGCCGTTTCTTATCATGCCTCAGGCCACAGTGTTGCCTACAAGCCTGGAGGCTTCAAGGCCAGCACTGGCTTTGGGTCCAACACCAAAAACAAGAAGATATACGATGGAGGTGCCCGCACAGAGGACGAGGTACAATCTTATCCTTCCAAGCACGACTATGTGTAATGCTCTAAGACCTCTCAGCACGGGCGGAAGAAACTCCCGGAGAGCTCACCCAAAAAACAAGGAGATCCCATCTAGATTTCTTCTTGCTTTTGACTCACAGCTGGAAGTTAGAAAAGCCTCGATTTCATCTTTGGAGAGGCCAAATGGTCTTAGCCTCAGTCTCTGTCTCTAAATATTCCACCATAAAACAGCTGAGTTATTTATGAATTAGAGGCTATAGCTCACATTTTCAATCCTCTATTTCTTTTTTTAAATATAACTTTCTACTCTGATGAGAGAATGTGGTTTTAATCTCTCTCTCACATTTTGATGATTTAGACAGACTCCCCCTCTTCCTCCTAGTCAATAAACCCATTGATGATCTATTTCCCAGCTTATCCCCAAGAAAACTTTTGAAAGGAAAGAGTAGACCCAAAGATGTTATTTTCTGCTGTTTGAATTTTGTCTCCCCACCCCCAACTTGGCTAGTAATAAACACTTACTGAAGAAGAAGCAATAAGAGAAAGATATTTGTAATCTCTCCAGCCCATGATCTCGGTTTTCTTACACTGTGATCTTAAAAGTTACCAAACCAAAGTCATTTTCAGTTTGAGGCAACCAAACCTTTCTACTGCTGTTGACATCTTCTTATTACAGCAACACCATTCTAGGAGTTTCCTGAGCTCTCCACTGGAGTCCTCTTTCTGTCGCGGGTCAGAAATTGTCCCTAGATGAATGAGAAAATTATTTTTTTTAATTTAAGTCCTAAATATAGTTAAAATAAATAATGTTTTAGTAAAATGATACACTATCTCTGTGAAATAGCCTCACCCCTACATGTGGATAGAAGGAAATGAAAAAATAATTGCTTTGACATTGTCTATATGGTACTTTGTAAAGTCATGCTTAAGTACAAATTCCATGAAAAGCTCACTGATCCTAATTCTTTCCCTTTGAGGTCTCTATGGCTCTGATTGTACATGATAGTAAGTGTAAGCCATGTAAAAAGTAAATAATGTCTGGGCACAGTGGCTCACGCCTGTAATCCTAGCACTTTGGGAGGCTGAGGAGGAAGGATCACTTGAGCCCAGAAGTTCGAGACTAGCCTGGGCAACATGGAGAAGCCCTGTCTCTACAAAATACAGAGAGAAAAAATCAGCCAGTCATGGTGGCCTACACCTGTAGTCCCAGCATTCCGGGAGGCTGAGGTGGGAGGATCACTTGAGCCCAGGGAGGTTGGGGCTGCAGTGAGCCATGATCACACCACTGCACTCCAGCCAGGTGACATAGCGAGATCCTGTCTAAAAAAATAAAAAATAAATAATGGAACACAGCAAGTCCTAGGAAGTAGGTTAAAACTAATTCTTTAAAAAAAAAAAAAAGTTGAGCCTGAATTAAATGTAATGTTTCCAAGTGACAGGTATCCACATTTGCATGGTTACAAGCCACTGCCAGTTAGCAGTAGCACTTTCCTGGCACTGTGGTCGGTTTTGTTTTGTTTTGCTTTGTTTAGAGACGGGGTCTCACTTTCCAGGCTGGCCTCAAACTCCTGCACTCAAGCAATTCTTCTACCCTGGCCTCCCAAGTAGCTGGAATTACAGGTGTGCGCCATCACAACTAGCTGGTGGTCAGTTTTGTTACTCTGAGAGCTGTTCACTTCTCTGAATTCACCTAGAGTGGTTGGACCATCAGATGTTTGGGCAAAACTGAAAGCTCTTTGCAACCACACACCTTCCCTGAGCTTACATCACTGCCCTTTTGAGCAGAAAGTCTAAATTCCTTCCAAGACAGTAGAATTCCATCCCAGTACCAAAGCCAGATAGGCCCCCTAGGAAACTGAGGTAAGAGCAGTCTCTAAAAACTACCCACAGCAGCATTGGTGCAGGGGAACTTGGCCATTAGGTTATTATTTGAGAGGAAAGTCCTCACATCAATAGTACATATGAAAGTGACCTCCAAGGGGATTGGTGAATACTCATAAGGATCTTCAGGCTGAACAGACTATGTCTGGGGAAAGAACGGATTATGCCCCATTAAATAACAAGTTGTGTTCAAGAGTCAGAGCAGTGAGCTCAGAGGCCCTTCTCACTGAGACAGCAACATTTAAACCAAACCAGAGGAAGTATTTGTGGAACTCACTGCCTCAGTTTGGGTAAAGGATGAGCAGACAAGTCAACTAAAGAAAAAAGAAAAGCAAGGAGGAGGGTTGAGCAATCTAGAGCATGGAGTTTGTTAAGTGCTCTCTGGATTTGAGTTGAAGAGCATCCATTTGAGTTGAAGGCCACAGGGCACAATGAGCTCTCCCTTCTACCACCAGAAAGTCCCTGGTCAGGTCTCAGGTAGTGCGGTGTGGCTCAGCTGGGTTTTTAATTAGCGCATTCTCTATCCAACATTTAATTGTTTGAAAGCCTCCATATAGTTAGATTGTGCTTTGTAATTTTGTTGTTGTTGCTCTATCTTATTGTATATGCATTGAGTATTAACCTGAATGTTTTGTTACTTAAATATTAAAAACACTGTTATCCTACAGTTGAATAGCTTCTGCTCTTTTTTCATATGTTTTGGGAAGTGGAGGTGGGAAGTCCCAGCACCTCAACGCTGGATGCTTCTTCATGGGAGTTTTTCTGCTTTCAGAATCCATTTCTGCTCAACAGCAGCCTAGCTACCTAGAGCTAGGTGTCGTTCCAGACCAGTTTGTGGTTTCTGCAAGTTGGGAAGCCTTAATGAAGAGGAGTTCCCAGAGCAACCAGGCATGCAGCATGGGGTCCAAGGATCCAGTTTAGCCTGTCTGACCCTAAGCGCACAAGCCCGAAGTGTCTAATGTCATTGTCCTGTTTGTGGGCCAGTAAAACAAGAGAGCCAATGCCTGCCCTCTTGATGCTGCCAAGGTTGGGTTGACCAGCTCAATAAACTGAGGCTGTATCCAAGCTACAAAAGCAGCATAAGCTATATAGTCAGAACAACCCAACCTCAAATCCAGGTCATACTACTTTGCAGCTATGTTAGCTTGAACAAAGCCCTTAAACTTTCTGAGTCTCCATTTCCTTATCTGTAAAATAGGGATGATAAGAATAATGGAATAATACAAGTAAAGGACCCACTTAAGTGACAGTAAACCAAGCTTCACAACTTTAAGACAAAGAGGGCAATGCTTATGTAACTGGGGTATCTGAGGTCAGGGTTGGCTTCAGACACAGCTGAATCAAGGGTTATGATTAAGACTCTATTTTTCTCTGCCCATATCTCAGTTCTGCTGTCTTCTCTGTTGGTTTGCTTCTCAAGAAGATTGTGAGTTGTTGTGTTGGCTGCTTATATTTCTAGCCATAAAGCCATGTTTCAGCTATGGGAAACCTAGCCAAAGGGAGGCATCTCTTTCCTTCTATGCATAGGAGAAAAACCCTAACAAAATACATTAGATTATTTGAGTAATGTACCCATCCCTAAACCTCTTCCTATAGCCAGAGCAGTGGTATCTAGTTTGATGAAGCCTGGGTCCCCCAGTCAAAACATGGAGATTTGTCATATGCCATGAAGACTTGTATTCTGAGGAGCCGGGGTCCTTAGAAATCAGGTAAACTCATTGCTTTGCCTCATTTTTTTCTTCTTTTGGATGAAACTGAACTCCAGAGAAAGCTTCAGAGATATAACTTCTGAGCTTCTCTGACTAGTTACCAAACAGTATGTAGTACAGAAAGGAAGGATCTGAGAGATTACTCTGGTTCTCAAAGAAAGCTGATAATTAAAACCTAAAAATTAAAAAAAAAGACAAAAACAAAACACTTTACATTCAGTTTTAAACAAGTGAGATTACAAAAGTCATCAGTAGAAAACTGTCCTTGGTTATGTAATTTTGAGCTATTCAAATTTAAATTTTCTAAAATTTAGGGGCATTTTGAAGTCTCCTTGTACAAAGACAGAAATGGACTAACCAAGCCATGGAATACAGGCTCAAAATATGACTCAGCATTGTTACTCATAAAAATCCCTGGGAGTCCCCAGTTCTCTTACCTTTTACTTAGGTAGTATTCAGCCCTCTCCTGCCTCCACGGGACATTATCCAGGGTTGACTACTGCAACAGCCACAATTTTTGCCAAAATGCCTGATATCTCTGAGTTGATGTGTTCCACTGGAGAGAGCACTGGGCTTGGAATCAAAAACCTGGATTTCTGGTTCTGACTGCATTGCCAACCAATTATGTGACCTTCAGGATTGATTACAATGATTCACTAACATATTTTCATTATCTAACTTCTGTACTGAGTCCTCATAATAATCAGTACTGTGCCTAGTGCTTTATATACTTTAACCCTCCAACAACGCTGATCTCGCCCCACTAGTGGCCCAACACTCTAAATACTCAAGGATCACACACACACTCACGCTCATATATACACATTTACCACACAGTCGGTTCAATTTTCAGAGCCTCATCAGGGACCAACACTTCTTTGACTTTTCTAGCCTCAGAATGGCTTTTGAACAATTCCATTCCTTCAGCTAAAGTCAGGCTGATTTTTCATACTTCCCAACCCACAGCTAGAAAGGGAAGGGGGTATTCTCTTCATAATAGCCCAAATAAACGTGAAATGCGCATGTGAGGCCCTTAAGAGATGATGATAAGCAAAAAGTTTCTTGTGGTTTAATATTCACTATGTAAGATATTATAATATATTGTAGAGACAAAATGTCACTAAAATGCTTTAAATATGTCCAAATTCTATTCTGGAGTAAGGGTATTTAATTTAGATACCCCAAAATCATCTATCAGCGATGGTTTCTAGTATCCACACCACCACAATATTCAACACTAAATGCAGCTACTCCCTAATAACCAAATAAAATGAAATCTCAGTCACCCCTGCCACAGTGGGTAGCTAAAAGAAAGCATAGACTTCTTCTTCTTCAGAGAAACTTCAAGGAGTGGGTGGGTCCTACTTGCAGACCAAGGATCATACCAATTCCTTACATAGAAAACATTATATTTTGTCCTATCTTTTAACTTAGATTTTTAGGGTAACATAAAGGTAGAATTATATGTAATACGGAAGAAAGCTGGAAATATTTCTTCTTTAATCCAGCAATGCTCCTTCTTTAAATTTCTCCTAAGGAAATAATCATAAATACTTATGCTCAAAGGTATGTATCAATTGTTTAAAATAATGTAACTGGATCAACTTAAAAACCTAATGAGGGAAAGGTTTCTAATAGTCTTTATATATAAGTAAACTATTATATAGTCACTAACATTATTATATTTTTCTAACATTAATTCTATTAAACGGTGCATTGAAAAACACCCTGGTAAGAAATATATTCCAAAATATTTTAAGTAGTTGCTTTTGATTGGAGATATAATGATGATACTTTTTTCATTTGTACTTTACAGTAGTTTGCAAATTTTCTTCAATGAGAATAGCTTTATTTTATATCTAGAGAAAAAAAAACTAAAAACTGAAGAATTAAAAAATAGAAAACAACACCCAGACATGAAGTCCACAGGAGCAGATATAGCTCATTACCTGGAGACATGACCATCTCAGGCAGCTTGGAAGGAGGAAGTTATTAAGTCATGGCTGAGTAGAGTTCTCTGTTCACTCTGAACCAATAAATTAAAACGGTCATGAGCCCAGAAACTGATCTCACACTATTTTGCTTTAGCTTTTCTTCCCCTTTAGAGACTCTTTGGCAATTGGCAATCATTTCACCATTTACTCACCTCTGAAGACAGGAAAGCCGAGGCCCATACCTCTGTTGTGAACAAGGACCAGAAAGGAGAAATGACATGCTCAAGGCCTTTGCACAGGCATATCAGGGGAGCCAGAACAAAGACGAGAGTCCATACCAGGTTAGCCTCTTGCTTGCTCCACAAGAACACACAGACCTCATCTCCTCCCAACCACTGGCCTTCTCAGTATCCAACTCCTTTTCCTGACTAGAAGGGCCATCCAGAAAGAGCAGGATGGGCTTGCTTCAGGATGGGTGGCCTAATGTTGGCAGGTGGTCTGAGCCAACCAGATCCACCTGTGTGGGGAAATGTCCAGAACAGACCCTGAGTCCCCAGATATTTAACACCTGGAACTCATCAGACCTGCATCTGATAAGGAAGGGGCTCTGTATGAGCTATGCACAGAGCAGCCTATCTCTAAAGAAGACTTTTGGGTCCTTGATGAATTTTTCAAGGTTTCTAAAAGATAATCTCAACCATGTGTTATCACTGGATTCTACTCAGAGATGTTAGACATCAGGGAAAATTCAGCAGCTATTGTTTTTTAGTTGGACACAGCAAAGCTTCAGAAACCCAGTTACTTAGTCATTTTCTGTTTCTTATCACAGAATACCTGAAACTGGGTAATTTATAAAGAAATGAAATATATTTTTTACAATTCTGAAGGCTGGGAAGTCCAGGGTCAAGGGGCTGCATCTGGTGAGGCCCTTCTTGCTGATGGGGAGGGATCTCTGCAGAGTCCCAAAGGAGTTCAGGGCATCATGTGGTGAGGGAGCTAAATGTGCTAGCTCAAGTCTCTCTTCTTCTTCTTATAAAGCTACCAGTACCACTTCTGTGATAACCCACTAATCCATTAACTCACTGATCTCTTAATCTATGAATGGATTAATCTATTCATGAGAGTGAAGTTCTCATGACCCAATCACCTCTTAAAGGCCCCACTCCTCATTATTTCCACATTGGGAATTAGGTTTCAACATGAGTTTTGGAGGGGACAAACATTCAAACCATAATACCCAGGCTTACGTAAAAATGAAGAAAACAAAATAAACTTTTTCTCCTTGAAAAGACATTAGGAAAAAAGAGAAAAGCATTTATGGCAGAAAAAAATCTCTCTGAGCCATTAAAAAATACAGATGATTATTAATGTTAATATTGCTGTCATTATCATTATCATTATCGAGAATCTACAATGTCACAGACATAGTTTCAGGCCCTTTTCTTACACTATTTCCAACCCTCAAAATAGCCCCCATGAGACAGGTATTATTATCCCCAGCTCACAGGTGAAGAAACCAAGGCTCAGGGAGGCTAAGTATCTTGTCCAAGTAAGGTGACCAACCATCCCAGTTTGTCCAGGACTGTCCCAGGTTCAGCACTGAAAGTCCTGTGTTCCAGAAAACCACTCAGCCTGAACAAACCGGGACAGCTATGCCAAGTCTACATAGCTAATAAATAGAAAAGCGTGGATTCCAACCAGGTTTGTCTGACTCCACACCTCACTTTGTTTCCAATATGCCATAGAAAATCCCATTAAATGGGCAAAATAAATTCATAACTACATTTTTTTAAATGGAAGGAAGAAAAAAAGGGAGAGAGAGAGACAGAAAAGGAAGAAGAAAAACACAAATGAGAAAAATAAAGAAAGATAGGGAGAAACTCATATAAATCTAGTTTAAAGAAAAAAATATTTGCCAATGAAGCCAAGAAGCGTAATACTTAATTTATTGTAAATTTTTAATTTTTAACACTCAAATTTTAAATAATGCCCAATAAGAGCCTGTCTCTGTAACTAGTGCATAGACAGATGGCAGAGATGGGGGAGGACATTGGGCTACCCAGTACCTCAGCCTCTGCAAAGCTCTCAGTGGGTTCTGTGATGTATGTGCACTCTTAAGGGCTTCCAGGCTAAAGAGGACTCTGGTGTGATGCCACCCAGAAGGGAAAGGAAAGCCCCAGCACTCCCAAGGTGGACTGTCCGTAGGAGAAATACCTGTTCCCTCCAGTGGTGGCAGCTACACAAACATTACAAGGTTGGGTGTGGACCAGGGCTCACTTCATCCCAGCAGCCATCTTAGGCTAGAGCTTCCCCAGCAGCATCTGGGATCTGAGTCAGTTTCCATCAGCACTGAGAGGTTTCCCATTCCTTTCTCATCTCAAGTGGAACTAGATGTGACCTGCTCACTCTGGTTTCGAGTTTTTGACCAGTCCAAGCTTTCCCTGTTATCAAAGCTGCCGCCCTTAGCCCTTGTTGACAATGAAAAGCTTATTTATTTTGTTCGACAGGCCAACTTGAATTTCCCCAAAGAATGTTTTAAAAGGTAAAATATCAAACATATTAAGCATGTAGGACTTTGCCACCCATACTTATTGCCCAGAGGAGGGAGGTTGCCATGGCAATGCCTCTGGTAAGGAGGATGAAGTCTGGCTGAAGGGTGAATAAAGTATCACAGTGGGGCACAGGCTGCCCCACCAGGCAGCAAGCCCCTTATGATACTGGAAGTGTTTGCCCAAGTCTTAAGAATTAAGTCATAATTAAGAGAGAGAAAGAAAAACAAAAATGTCCAGCTGCAAAAAAAAAAAAAAAAAAAAAAAATGTTGAGGGGTGGAGGAGTCAGAATGTAGATAGAGATATTTTAAAAGTCAGCAGTGAATGAATGTGACTATGTCTTCCTATGACAGCTGGCAGAGCCCACCCACCAGTAGCTTTTGTGCAGACAGGCCACACCCCATCCATCTGCAGAAAGGTACAGCCAATGGAGCAGAGAGAACCCAATAAGGAATTCACTGGAGGGTTGGCATCAAATGACCTTCATGGCCTCTTTGGTAACACACCAAAACTCCACAGAAATTAACACAAAAACTAGGCAGGAGGAACTCAGCTTCCAGTATGGCTTAGTAAGCTCCCACCAGGCTAACCCTCCTGCAGATAACAAATATAAACTCTGTACAAAATACAAAAAGTAACTACTTGAAGCCACTAGAGGGTGAACAAAGACAGACATATTCTGAAGGGTAGCTGACATTTAAAAGAGAGGAAAGGTATAAAGCAAATTTCCGTTTTTGAGGCTTCTGGCCCAAGGACAAGCCAAAGTCAGGTGGCATGAAGTACCTAAAATCTGTTAGAAAATCTGCAGTTTTTCTGGCCTGAAGAACCATGAGACAGAGTTCAGGGCAACTATAGCCACTATAAGGTGAGCAAAGAGTCTTAGAAAAAAGAGACTCAGAGGGAGAAGATCCAAGTTTTCTATAAAAACCCCTCCCTGGGTCTCTAGTTAAATCCTAAGCCATGCAAGTATAGGGCTGACTACAAACAGCTGACTTAGGATCCAAAGCTGAATGGAGACTTGAGATGTCCCCAAGACACAAAGTTTGCTGTATGAGTAGAAGCAAATTAATTGTCTTCTCCAGCAAACAAAAAAAAAATCAATACTCTTTGGAAGACTATAATAGCATCTAGAGTCTCTGAAACATAATACTCACAATATCCAGGACGCAATCCAAAACTATCTGACATGTGCATGACGTGACCTATTTTTAAGAGAAAAGGTGATCAATGGAGACCTGACCCCAAGATAACCCAGATACTGGAATTAGCAGATGAGGATTTGTAAAGCAACTATTGTAACTATGCTCAAATACATAAAAGAAAATATGCTAATAATGACTAAAAAGACAAGAAATCTCACAGAGAAATAGAAACTATTCTTGAAAACAGAACTTCTGAAACTAAAAATACAAAATCTGAAATTTAAAAATGTATGAACTTAGCAAAGTGGAGATTACAGAGGAAATCATCAGTTAACTTGAAGATAGGTCATTAGAATTTATCCAAAAATAGAGAAAAAAAGTTTTAGCAAAAACAGAACCTCAGGTACTTGCAGGATAATATCAAAAGAGAAATAATTGAGGCCAGAAGACAGTGGTATTTTTAGGGGCTGACCGAAAAAAAAAATGTACAAATACACTTCAAGAATGAAGGCAAAATACAGTTTGCAGATAAAAGGAAACCATGAAGATTCATTGCCAGAAAATCTTCACTATAAAAAAAATGCTAAAAGAGTTCTTCAATCTGAGGGAAAATGATACTAGATGAAAACTAGGATCTGCAGGAAGACATAAAGAGCATCAGAAATAGACCTTGTTGAATAGGACACTGGATATCACTAGATGTAATGCAAGACTCAAAGCCTGAGAATTTGAGGCAGTCAGGCACTGCACCTCACCTTCCACCATCACAGCGGCTCTGGGCAGCTGTCAGCGTTCCTACTGCCTCACATAACTGGGAGTATGAATCCACCTGTAGAAACACATATTGCCGTATGTACAAAGAGGAAAGACAGTAGAATTAAGTAGGTAACAGCAATAGGTAAGTCTTGGCAGTCTCTAAACCCAATACTAAAGCAGGAAAATCTTAACTTTGTAAACTGAATTGAAAAAATACTTTTGAAAATGTTACTTTGTACATATTTAACGTAGAGGTGAAAAGTTTCAGGATGAGAATTCCCTCACAAGCGCCAGATCTCAAAGGCATCTCTCAGCGGGTCTCCAAATAAGCAAAGCCAGTACCAATGACAAAGAATTCATCAATGGTCATTCTCTGAATGTCTTGCCTCATACTAGGAGGTAATATCATCTAAAAAAAAAAGATGACTTTCACTTCATATTTCTCACCAACCTATCAGTTTGTTAGAGATTTGTTTTTATGTTTTGATCTTTTGATGTGTGGTAACATTGAATATTTTGTGTGATATGTGTGTCTCTTTGCTGTGTGTTTATGGATGAATTGAGTATTGGTAAGAATAAAGGAAATTTCATAATCCTTGGTTCTCAATCAGAATGAGCTAAAAAGTGAGAAATTTCTAGACTCCTGGAAGAATAACAGCAAAAAATATAATTTTATGCCCAGTACATCAAGTTGATTGACTTAAATATCTGCTAAAATAACTTTTTCACACTAGGATGGTAACAGGGAAACTGTGTGTATATATGAAAGTTGTAAAGAGATAAGATTTTAAAAGAAATGAAATTAAGACTACTCTGTTTGCATTTAATCACCTAAAACCTATTTTTTAAAAGGATTACAGAGTTATCAATTAGTCATCATCATTGATGGCAAATAGTTCAACTCTAGTCTCCCTTCAGGCATATTTTCCTCCAGGATGTGAAAGAAAAATCTTTTCCAAAGCAGCTGTCTTTAGGCCAGATTCTCCCAAGGAAATTATTATGGCCCCTGCAGTGGACAATTTAATCCCAGAGCAGCTAGTGAGGGTACGGTTTGCAGAGTAGGATGGGATAGACAATGAGTGTAAAGACACTGTTGTGAGATCCTGTAGCTGACTGCCCTTCAGTTCTTCTGCTCTGCCCTGATTCATGTTTCAATGGAATGGAAGCTCCAAAAACAGGCTGAACATGAGTCACCTCCACTTACGTGCAACCCCTTAACATTCTTTTTTTCTTCATAGAAGCTAGCTTTTCTTTCTGTGACAGTAGAACTGGCACTTCAGTTATTGTTCTCCAAATTGGGTTTCATACATTTAATATATTTTCAAGATTCAGTTGTATTCACTTAGTCAACAGATATGTATTAAATATCTATTTTACAAAAACATGAAGAAACTTTGCTATTAAAATATAACATCTATGAACCATGTAGCAAATTTTTTAAAAATTAAAGAAATAAAGGAAAAAAACTAGCCTGCAGTAGGTGAAACTGTTGAGTCCCATAGTAGGCACTCCTTATGGATGCATCCACACCCCAGGACATGCACGAGCTCCCCATACAAAAACACCTCTCACTAAAGATAAGCTCACTATCAAGAATTAGAAAGCATGTGGAAAAAAACCATGATGAGAAAACCACCCAATGTAATAACCAAGAGAAATCTCATTTCAATATCTATAGCTAATAGAAAAATCTAACAGAGACTGTAAAATAAGCATATGTAAAATGTCCAAAAAAATAAAGAATGGTGTGGTGGGGGGATGGAGGAACATGTGGGATTTTAAAATAAACAAAATAAAAATGCTGGAAATCTAAAATACAGTCACTCATACAAGAAACACTGATAAGTTAAACAGTGGACTAGACATAGCAATAGTGACTGAGGAGAGCAAGTCAAAGACCCAATACGAGAAGGAAAGAGATACGATGACTGAAAAGGTTTTGGAGACACAACACACAGGATGGGGAACTTCACAACATGCATTTAATTCAGGTTCCAAGAAAGGAGAATAGTCAGAATAAGGAGAGGAAATGTCTCTAGACTTGAAGACATACGTTCTAGTATTGAAAACACTCTGTCTCCTGAGAAGTATTAAACCATGCTTAGCTACACTCTAGTGAAAATGGAGAATATCAACAATAAAAAGAACATCTTAAAATAAGAAAAAAATATGTATTACATATCCATGGCAATGAGACTGACATCAGTACCAAAAAAATGACAGAAGACTTTGTAATCATTTCTTCGAAGATCAGAAGGAAAACAACTGTCAAGCTAGAATTTTACACCAAGCTAAATCATCATTCCAAAGTAAGGGCAAGATAAAGAGTAGCAACAGCAACTATGATCAAAGCCTTCATGGGACCAGCATAGAAAATACTGGAAATTCCAGCTGTCATCATGCTCCAAATGTGTAAGCCACTCAGGATTCTCCTAGCAAAAAGGGGTCAGACCTAAGGAACTGGATATCCTGTTGACCTTATTAGGTGGGGAATCCCATACAAATGTCACTGAGGATTCTATCCAGACACTCAAGAGCAGGTGGGCCTTGAATAGCAGTCATCATCTTAGTTTTAGTGTTATTTACCCATCTGAAATGGCTTCATTAGTTTGAGAACTGCAAAGATACATACACTGGGTGGGAAGAGGGCCCAGATTAAATGTAAGCTGTGCTCACCCTAAGATGCATACATCTATGAATACCCTGGTCAAGTATTTTCATATGCAAGGAACAGAAAACCCACTCCAAGATTCTGGCTGTCCCTGCCAAATGCTTACTCATCAACTAACAATGGTTGCCCCACCCAGATCCAATTCTGTGTGAACTTCTAATTCAAGCTTCTACTACTGCCTAAGCAGAGTCTATGTTTCTCTTAGTTTAAATTCTCTCGAGAGAAAATCTGATTGACCACTAGCCAATGAAATGTCTGCCGCCCCTCTCTGAAGAGAGATCCCCTCTCTCAAGAGTCCACCTCTGATCCAATCAGCTCTTTCCCTGTGGAGCAAGAACTGTTGGCTTGCCTACTCAACATCCATTCCACCATCACTATCACTTTTTTCTTATTAATATTGTAAATCAACCCCTCCCTCCTATGGCACTATCCTCGGCTCAAGGGGTATATTCTGATTTGCCTAAGTCATGGTGTCCCATTCCCCTTACAAGTGAGTGGTTTAGGGGATGGAGCACATGACCCAGTTTCTTTTCATTTTTTAAGTCTTTATTTTTTTAAAGCAGTTTAAGCTTACAGCAAAATTGAAAGGAAGGTACAGAGATTCCTCACATACACACAGGTGCATAGACTCTCCCATTTTCAACATCCCCCACAGAGTGGTACCTTTGTTACAACTGATGAACCTACATTGACACATCATTATCACCCAGAGTTGACAGGATTCGCTCTTGTTGCTATACATTCTATGGGTTTCAACAAATGTGTGATGACACATATCCACCATTGTAGTATCATACAGAGTGGCTTCATTGCCATAAAAATCTTCTATGTTCTACCTTTCCCCCAACCCCTGGCAACCACTGATCTTTTTACTGTCTCCGTAGTTTTGCCTTTTCCAGAATGTCATATAGGTGGGATCATACCGTATGTAGCCTTTTCAGACTAGCTACTTCCAGTTCGTAATATGCATTTACGATTTCTTCATGTCTTTTCTTGGCTTGATAACTCATTTCTCTTTAGTACTGAATAGCATTCCATTGTCTGGATGTACTACAATTATTTATCCATTCACCTACTGAAGGACATCTTGGTTGCTTCCAAGTTTTGGCAGCTAAGAACAAATCTGCTATAAACATCTGTGTGTGGGATTTTGTGTGGAGGTAAGTTTTCAGTTCCTTTGTGTAAATACCAAGGAGCATGATGGCTACATCATATGGCAAGATTATGGTGAGTTTTGTAAGAGCACATGACCCAGTTTTGACTAGTGGTTCAAAAAGGAAAGATTCCAGCATTTCTTCATTGAAGGGAAAACTTCTTCGCTTTTAATGAAGAGACAACAAAAGAGGCAGCTCCATCCTTGGAAACATACATACACACATGTGCACACCTTCTTCCTCCATCTAAGCATTCGCATGACTACATGTGATACACTGGAATACTGCAGCCCAAAGATGAACCAACATGGATGAAGGCAGAACAAAAGGAGCCTGGGGAAATAGAGCCAGAGCTCTACTTTATGTTCCTCACCTGACAACACCCCGCCTCTGAACTTTTCATAATGTGTGGTTTCTTTTTTTTTTTTTTTTTTTTGAGTCAGAGTCTCGCTCTGCCACCCAGGCCGGAGTGCAGTGGCGTGATCTCGGCTCACTGCAACCTCCACCTTCCGGGTTCAAGCCATTCTTCTGCCTCAGCTTCCCAAGCAGCTGGGAATACAGGCACATGCCACCACATGCAGCTAATTTTTGTATTTTTAGTAGAGACGGGGTTTCGCCATGTTGGCCAGGCTGCTCTCAAACTCCTGACCTCAGGTGATCCACTCACCTCGGCCTCCCAAAGTGCTGGGATTACAGGCATGAGCCACTGCGCCCGGCCTTATGTGTGGTAAGTTTCTTTATTGCTTAAGTCAATTTCAGTTGGGATTTACTATTACTTAAAGCCAATGCATCTGAATCAAAACATGGACACCCAGGCCAGGCCTCTATTAAAGATCATGTGTAGGTCCAACTCCCACAGAAATATCCACTGTATCATGTGGGTTTTGTGGACTTGGAAAACATAAGGAATGAGCAACGTCCTGGGAAGTCCCATCTCGTGAGAAGAAAAGTGAAAAAGAACAAGTTTGAGTAGGGATGAGGGATACTTCTATTGTCCTCTAAGCTAGTGTGCATAGATTCATGTCTGAGTTCCAGGGCATACACATTGCAAAAAGTAGTTTAAAAAATTTATATATATATGTGGCTATTTCACTAAAATCTCTGTGGTGTAGTGAAAGGTGCTAGTAGCTTTGGTGCCATGACCTGGCCATGTCAGGAGACCAAAGGAAGCTTCCTGAGGAGGGAGTTTTTGAATATCAGGTACTAAATGCACACAAAAGTGTTCCTTTTTGGAGCCAGGGACAACAAATTGTTTGATCTTAAATGCCAACTCAGGCCAATCCCAACTGACTATGCTGAGAAGGACTCAGGAATGGAAGATTATCATGATCAAGTGGCAATGCCTGTCATAGGACTGACTGGGAACCAGCAGTACACATGCCACATGTTTGCCCTCTTGAATTCCTTTCTGAGATGGACCCCGGCCAAACACTCCCTGCATCAGTGAAGACGCATTCACTCTAACACCCCATGTTACATATTCAAAAATCTTACATTTTATTTTCTCTACTCTTAAGCAAGGATATACATACAAAAGTGCACTGTCTCTAACCAATCTAATCGTTGTTGAATAATCCCCCAAACCCAGGAGCTGTTCTTGTCACATTTATTGTCCCTTGTGCTTCAGGGTACTTGACAATCCTCAACTACTGCTGTTCCTTGAAGAGCAACAGCACTCCACCTAGTAAATTTTACTTCAGAATGTTAGTACTATTGTTATTTTTAGCATTATTTTTGTCTGTCTGCCTCATCCTAAAGATTGTAACCATGAGTAGCTTTGACATGCTTCAAAACTTCTTTTGTTCTTCCAGGGAGCTTTTGGAGAGGGTCCCACTTCATGATGTCCGTATGAAACAAGGTCATGGAGAATCCTTTGAATTTACTTCCACAAATATTTCTTTGAGTACCTATTTTGTGCCAGGTGCCACAACATGTATAAAGATGAATAAGGAAGAAAAGAGAAGGATCATTTGTCGAGATTCTGGTCTGCTATGCAATGTGCTGATGCCATTCTGGGGACTTGGAAGCATTCATCTCATTCCATTCCCATAACTACCTCCCAAAGCATCTTTATCACAGTTACAGCTGAGGAAACTGAGGCTTGGGGAGGTTACCTGACTTGCCCAGTCATTCATCTAGTAGTTACTGGTGCTAGGATCTGAATCATGTCTGTCTGACTCAAAGCCCATGTTTCAATTCTCCTGACATGAGACCAATTGAGAAGTATGGTTCACAAGCTGGGGAGGGTGTCTTGGGAAATTTTGAGGCGGGGCACTTCCTAGCCCAGCGTGTGAAAGCAGGCCAGTTACTAACCTGTCTTAGCCTCAGCAGCCCAGTCAACAGAGGCCAATACCTACCTTGCAAGGTTGTTGTGAGGATTAAAGATAATGGGTAAAGCATCCAGCACACAGTATGTGGTCTATGAAGAATAGCTATGTTATTCAGAGCTACGTAAAAAATTACCATTTCTCAAAGAGGCAGGAGCTATTTTCTGATACAGTGAATTCTTGGAACTTGCAACGGGTGTGTATTATGAAATTTAGGATCTAAGCTAGCAAGACTTTGCTATACGGCTTTGAGAAGGTATATGGTTGTCGCAAAAATCTCAGGAGACTCTGCAAGATAAGAAAATCTCAAAGCAGAGGCAAGTTCAGAGACTTGCTTTCCTACTCCTGAATCTTCATTCAGCTGAGCTAATGGCCAGGAATGACAAGAGGACTCACCATTGTTTGAGCCTGCCTGTGAATTTGCATAAAATGTGATTTAAAACAAAAACATAACCAAGGATCTGGCCCCCAGGAATAGTCAAGGTATCTGCAGTGAGTAGAAGACTATTATTTATACTGCCTGGAATCCCACCACAAATCTTTACAGAAACGCACAAACTCACATTGGATCAGGCTTTTGTTGGTCTCCAGGGAATGCTGACTTTGTTTATTAATGCCACAACAAACGTGTCTCTGAATAAGGGAACTGACAGGACACCCGTCTCTGCATTGAAACCTGATTAAAAGCAAGTCCAGCCCCTTCTAGTCTCTCAGGAGTCTTCACAGTTTCTAAGCTGTCCTTTGTGAGTCAGTGATGTCGATGGCAGGAAAACTCCATCCTTGTTTCTTTGGGTGATAATCCACACATCACAGCATGAATACTCAAGCTCTCACACGAAGCAATGGTCTGCCTCCCAAATAGAAAGAAGGAGAGTTGCCTAAGTGGAAGGACTTGATAGGAGCTGAAAATGCAGCCCCATGACACCCAGTCCTCCTCTAATAAAGGTTTTTCCCTATCTCCTGTCACTGATGCTGCAAATTCTACTCTGGAGGCAGAGTGGCATCGGCAGGCAGCACTTCCTGAACCTTTCCATGAAAGGGACCCTTAAACACAGGGGAACTGTGGGGATAGTTGCACATTATGAATATACTGAAAACTACTGAATTGTATACCTTAACGTGCTGAAGTTATATTATATTAATTATATGTTAATAATGATAATAAATTTTTTAAAAATACATAGAGGAAATAGCCTATGTCCTTGCAAGGCCAGCAGGACCAGGACTCAAGTGGACAGCTCTAAGTATGAAGTATTGTGCATGTTGCATTCTGCTTCAAAATACATCTATATCTGTTGTAACTGTTTAAAGATAAAGTTATTTCCCAGTTAAAATGCTTAATTTTATCCCCTCAGATATTCAAATAAAATTGATACCCCAGGTGGACGTGCCTTAGATGGAGAACCCTGTGGCAGCACCACTCACTTGTGGCTTGAGAAACACAAAGGGGAGGTGGGCTTACCAGGGTGAGATCCCAAGGTGTGGATCCCAGAGTACGAATCCCACGATGTGCATCCTAGGGTATGGGTGCCTAAAATGGTGCTGAAGGTCTGACTTAGGGTGACTCTCACTCACATTTTTCACAGAATAAGTTCAGAACTCTGGGCTATCAAAAGCCCATTGTCACATGTGTGGACCCATGCATCCACTCTCACCCTTCCATGTTCTGTTCACAGTGCTGCCTCAGGTCTATGACATCCAATGGCAGCAGGCATCGTTCACCTTGTGCGTGCCCAACTCTGACTCCCAGGGCAGTCTCCCCACACCTCACGGGCTTCATGCCACATATGAAGCAGGCCTCTGGGGGTGGTCTCAGCCATAGCCTCCGAGAGCCTTCGAGACTGTTGCTCTGCAACACCAGTGGTCCCTTCCAACCAATGTCCTTTCTTGCCTCCAGCTGACATGGTGACATCATGCTCTCCAGCTTCAGTTTTAAGCCATGGTGGAAAATGTTTGGGCATGCCTTGCACAATGGACATATCTTGCTCTTCTCACTCCATCCACAGGCCTTTTGCCTAGCCGGCCTGCAGATGGCTGTGTGTGGAAGGCAGGGGTATGTCAACATTGAAAGAAATCACATTCTAGGAATGTGGGGGTTAAGGCCTAAAAAGTCAAAGAGAAGACATGATTGGTAGATGTGTCATGCTACATTTACATTATGAAATTTCAAATGGCAAATTTAACAAGACCAGAACATTATCATTCAGATTCTCTGCATACTCTGGGTAGGATTTGTATTTGGTCTCAACAACAAAGCACAGCAACAAGATTAGAGGGAGTTGCTGGAAGCCAACATCCACAGGAGGCTGACATGTGACTCAACATCGCAAGTAAGCAATGATGTCACCAGCATGACATGTGAAGCCCAAATGCACCTAGATCTACTAATCTGGGGGTCCTAGGTAAGGTGACGTTCCCTGCCGAAGGGCCCAGAGTGCCCCACATAGCAACAGAGCTGTCACCTGCACCCTCCGCGCTCATCCTCCCTGTGCTCTGTGATCTACTGCCCCCTGCAGACCTCCCTGGACACACCTCATCCCTCTCCTCTCTCAAGTCCAGACTACCATTTTCTGGCTTCTTCCAGGCCACCCTCAAACCACCATCTACGCCCACTGCAGATCTGCAAACACCCCCTGCCTCCGTCTCCCAGAACAGGGCTGCCTTCTCCTTCTAAGACCCAGTTCTGTCGCAGAGCTGTGTGGGCCCCTAATGATATAGCAGCGAACCCCATAATTCCTGAAGGGCTTTTTCAAAAGTCATTTTGTTTCTGCTATACATTAGCCACAAAAGAACTAATTCTAAAGCAAAAAAAAAAAAAAAAAAAGACAATTATGTGAAAAACGGCTCGGAACCATGAAATAGATGCTGATTATAAATATAGGCTTCAGGCATTATGAAATGAGGCAGCTCTAAATTTTCAAAGAACAAAGAAAAAGCAAGAGGATTTTCTAAATATCAAAAAGACTTTCAGGTTATAATTAGTAAATTGACTAACCT
Source organism: Homo sapiens (assembly GCF_000001405.40). Lineage (NCBI taxonomy): Eukaryota > Metazoa > Chordata > Mammalia > Primates > Hominidae > Homo > Homo sapiens. Next base: position 138,050,223 of record NC_000003.12, read on the forward strand.
TTTTAAAGGTACAAGTAAATTTCTAAAGCCTGCAGCATTCATGGAATTATATATGCTGTAAGTCTAGGGGACTGACTCTGCCAGCCTCCTCACTTCACAGATGAGAAAACAAAAGGTTCCATGACTTTCCCAAGGTCATAAAACAAGTTTGTGGCTGCTAGAATTTTAATTGGAGCTCCTGTCCTCCATCTTCAGTTTCTTTCACCCATTCTACAATGGAAGCTACTTTCACAAATAGGCAACAACGTTCAGATTACTTGCATAAATATATGGAGATGGTGTTTGTGGAGGTGGTGGTAGTGATGGTGGTGGTGGTAAGAGGGTGGTAATAATGGTAATAGGGGTAGTAGAGGTGGTGGTAATAGCTGTGGTGGTGGAGGTGGAAGTGGTTGTGGTGGAGGTGGTGGTAGAGGTAGTGATGGTGGTAATGGAGTGATGGTAGTGATGGTGGTAGATGTGGAGGTGTTAGTGGTAGTGGTGGAGGTGGTTGTGGTAGTGGTGGTGGTTGTGGTGGTGGTAGAGGTAGTGATGGTGATAATGGAGTGATGGTAGTGATGGTGGTAGATGTGGAGGTGGAAGTGGTTGTGGTGGAGGTGGTGGTTGTGGTGGTGGTAGAGGTGGTGATGGTGGTAATGGAGTGATGGTAGTGATGGTGGTAGATGTGGAGGTGTTAGTGGTAGTGGTGGAGGTGGTTGTGGTAGTGGTGGTGGTTGTGGTGGTGGTAGAGGTAGTGATGGTGATAATGGAGTGATGGTAGTGATGGTGGTAGATGTGGAGGTGGAAGTGGTTGTGGTGGAGGTGGTGGTTGTGGTGGTGGTAGAGGTAGTGATGGTGGTAATGGAGTGATGGTAGTGATGGTGGTAGATGTGGAGGTGTTAGTGGTAGTGGTGGAGGTGGTGGTTGTGGTGGTGGTGGTGGTAGTGAAATGATGGTAGTGATGGTGGAGGTGGAGGTGGTAGTGGAGGTGATGGTGGTGGTAGAGGTGGTGATCGTGGTAATGGAGTGATGGTAGTGATGGTGGTGGTGGAGGTGGAGGTGGTAGTGGTGGAGGTGGTGGTTGTGGTGGTGGTAGAGGTGGTGATGGTGGTAGTGGAGTGATGGTAGTGATGGTGGTGGATGTGGAGGTGGAGGAGGTAGTGGTGGTGATGATGGTGGTGGAGGTGGAGGTGGTAGTGATGATGGCAGAGATAATGAAAATTGCAGTGGGGCCAGGCACAGTGGTGCACACCTATAATCCTAGCACCTTGGGAAGCTCAGATGGGAGGATTACTTGACCCCAGGAGTTCAAGACCAGCCTGGGCAACATAGGGAGACCCCCATCTCTATAAAAAATAAAAAGTTATCTGGATCTGTGGTCCCTGCTACTCAGGAGGCTGGGGCAGGAGGAGGATCTCTTGAGCCTGGGAGGTTGAGGCTGCAGTGAGCTGTGATTGCACTACCGCACTCTAGCCTGGGTAACAGAGCAAGACCCTGTTTCAAAAAAAAAAGGAAAGAAAAGAAAAGAAAGAAAGAAAATAAATAGTGGTGGTATGCATATGTGCTGGGAAGTTGAGGAGTGAGGAATAGTTCAAGGGCAGTTCAAGGGCATGTCAGCCAAAGCTCAGATTCAGTTAAGAGTGAATATATATAAGAAACTGGCAGAATGAGGAAAAGGATTCAGCCGGTATAGACAAATCAATTAGATGTATCCACAAACAAAATGACAGAAATGGTACAGCAGCTGAGGAAGCAACAGGGTCATAAGGACCTTTCAGTGTGGGATTGCCATGCATGCTGGATATTTCCAGGCTGCGGAAAAGCTCCTAATAGTGAGGCTCCTTGAGTGCAGGTACAGGTTGTGAAACCCATCAATATTTGTTGATTGCCTTTTCTGTGCAAGGACCTCAGCTGGGCCGTGGCAACACAAGGGTATGCAGGAAAGCAAGAGAGGCCATACCCTGTCCTGCTCCATTTTCTATCTTTAAATGTTGGGGGTTTTGTGTTTTGTTTTGTTTTTTAATCACGGGAGAGTTGCCTGGATGAATAAGACAATTCATCAAGTCCTGCCAAACCATGAGTGGTGGTGCAGGCTGGAGGAGCCCCACTTATTTCTTACAGTGAAGTTAGCCTGTCATTAAAAAGTGCCTGTGTAGCCATTCACTTTGTGGCCCACAGTGCCACCGTGTGGAAGGCACCTGTTGGCTGGACATGCACAAAATAAAACCGAAGCAGTGGCAGCTTTTAAACCAGCCCATCACCTTCACTCGGGGAACCCAAAGCACTCCCTCCATGTGACTATTATGCTCAATTTACCAAAGAAAAGGCCGTTGGATCTGTGGGTTCAATGAACCCTTAGTGATCAGCTATGTGGTCTAAGTTCTCACTGATCTCCTCTCTAAGATCCCTGATTGAGGTCAGAATCGCAGAATCAATGGGCACTTCTCTATTCTTTCATACCAATCATTTGATCCATTGCACTGATAGTTTATTGAGTACAAAATGCAGCTTCCTCTTCCACAAAAGCCTAACAATGGTCAGCTATTGCCAATGGAAGAACAATTCAGCTCATCCCATCTTTTCTGGATCAGGTCCTTATATTACCCCCGCCGCCCCCAAGCTTTACTTAAAGTCCTCTCTATCCCTTTGAAACATTTTTCTTTCTGGCTCCCTGCTTAGGTTAGCTCTTCTCGCTTGTCTTGTCATTAGGTGGAATAATACATGAAGACACTCCTGGCACAATTACTGCCTTGGAATTGGCCCAGTTCAGCTTATCAGATGATGAGTGTCTGCTATGGGCAGATGCAAGTGATATAAGCATCAGAGACACCTCCTTCCCAAAGAACTTAACACATGTTAGTGTCTCCACTGGCAGCTCTGTTTTCTGTCGACTATGCTAAACGTTGAGCCTGCATCTTTACATCCAGCAGGGAGATAGGCTTGCAACCTTTTGTAACAGACACAAGCATGAACACAGATGTAGAGAAGGCCACACAGGTGCAGGACAATTCCTTCCACATCCTTTCCACCTAAGCCTGGAGAGGACTTAGCGGACCTTCGCAGCTCCCCTCAGAAACTGGCAGTGAGGCCAAGCACGGTGGCTCACACCTGTAATCCCAGCACTTTGGGAGGCCGAGGCAGGTGGATCACCTGAAGTCAGGAGTTCGAGACCAGCCTGGCCAGCATGGTAAAACCCCATCTCTACTAAAAATACAAAAATTAACTGGGCATGGTGGCGCATGCCTGTAATCCTAGCTACTCAGGAGGCTGAGGCAGGAGAATCACTTGAACACAGGAGGCAGAAGTTGCAGTCAGCCGAGATCAGGCCACTGCACTCCAGCCTGTGCAACAGAGTGAGACTCCATCTCAAAAAAAAAAAAAAAAGAAAGAAAGAAAGAAAGAAGAAACTGGCAATGAGAGACACGGGGAAGAGAAGAAAAGTGCAGAATCACACTTGATGCTCTGTTGATTTTAGAGGTTACTTTACTTAGATTCCCTAAAAGCCTAGAATTTGGTTATAGCATGTGAGTCAGCTTATTATAAATATGTAATTCACTTTGGATTTTCTAAAGCTGAAAATGGTCTTCATCTTTATCTCAGTTACACACCACTACTAGGTTCCAGCCACAAGACCAGAGCATCTTCTACTTCCTAAATTGTGGGCTCAGGTTTTCAGGTGATAAAAACCTTTTTCAGGTTGTCACTATAAACCTATTATATATTTCCAATCAATGTTATCCCTATATGTATAAGTTCAGGACATTCTTCAGTTTACCTCAGAAAATATAGCTAATTAAATTTTCCCTTTTTATATTGAACCATGCAGTCATGGAAGGGAAGAGCTGGTATGGTCCAAAGACACAAACCAGTGCAGCAGCTCCCAAGTGCTAGGCTGTGGGCCAGAGCTGGTCCATTGCTAAATTTTCATTTGTCTAAGACAAAGTATGAGGCCAATTGTCCATTCTTGGAGAGTCTTATCTTCTTACTCTTCTGGTATTAAAGTGTCCTTTATAAAATGATGGTGATTGTTGCATACTTTATTTTATGTGCTGACTTGGCAAAATAAAAGTTAGCAACCTTGGATCAACTGCAAAACTTTTTGTTAACAGCCTATAGCACAATGCTACCTCACACTACCAGGGACTATACTCCTGCATTACAGAGAACTAGCCTAATGAGAATCCAGAACAGGAAGAATTGCGAGAAATGAGACTTTCTGCTTAGAAGTATTCAGAAGATGCCCACAACTAAGGTTCAAGACTCAACTTCAAAGAAGATTTCTAATTAGAATTCATGAAGGCACCTACCCATCAGAGCATTCCATGCGTTCATCCATATGTGGAGATTGGGATGGCCTCACAAGAATGTGATGTGATTTCAAATTTGAAAAATAGCCAATATAAAATTCTAAAAGAGAAAAATAATCAGAGTATCTGTGTCTTGCAAGATGGTAAAACATATGATAAAATTTCCATGACTAAGAATAGCTCACTGTTAGAACCAATAAATGGATTCAGCAAAGTTAAAGGATACAAAATCAACACACAAAAATCAGTTGCATTTCTATACATTAATAATGAACAATCTGAAAAAGAAATTAAGAAAACAATCCCACTTATAATAACATCAAAAAGAATAAGATAATAATACACCAAATCAAGCAAACAAAAGATTTGTACACTAAAAACTTCAAAACATTGCTGGAAAAAATTAAAGAAGACACCAATAAATGGAAACACATCATGTGATCATGGATTGAAAGACTTAGTATTGTTAAGATGTAAATACTACCCAAAATAATCTACAAATGTGATGCAATCTCTATCAAAATCCCAACATTTTTTGCAGGAATAGCAAAATCTATCCTAAAATTCATATGGAATCTCAAGGGACCCTGAATAGCCAAAACAATCTTGAAAAAGGAAAACAAAAGTGAAGGTCTCATGCTTCCTGATTTCAAAATTTATGACAAAGCTATAATAATCAAAATAGTGTAGTACTAGTATAAAGACAGACATGTAGACCCATGGAGTAGAATAGAGACCCCAGAAATAAAAATTGCATATATGGTCACATGATTTTCAACAAGGGTGTTAAGACCATTCAATGGGAAAAGGACAGTCTCTTCAACACATGGTGTTAGGAACACTTGATATCCATGTCCGGAATAGCGAAATTTGACCTCCCCCCTCCCCACCTTATAACATATACAAAATTTAACTGGATCAAAGACCTAAATATAAGACCTAAAGCTATAAAACTCTTGGAAGAAAAGATAGGGAGAAATATTCACAACATTGGATTTGGCAAGGATTTCTTGGAGATGACACCAAAACACAGGCAATAAAAGTAAAAATAGATAAACGTGACTACATAAAAATTGAAAATTCTGCATCAAAACACAAAATGAACAGAGTAAAAGGCAACCTATAAAATGAGAGAAAACCATTTGCAAATCATATCTAACCCCACAATATATAAAGCTCCTATAACTCAACAACAAAAAACCCAAATAACCCAATTTTAAAATAAGCAAAGGACTTGGATAAACATCTCTTCAAAGAAGATACACAAATGGCCAACAAGCATATAAAAAGATGCTCAACATCACAAATCATTAGGGAAATGCAAATCAAAACTGCAATGAGATATTATTTCACATCCATTAGGATGGCTGATATTTTTTTAAAAACAGAAAATAACAAGTGTCAGCAAAGATGGGGAGAAATAGGAACATTTGTGCATTGTCAGTGGGAAAATAAAATGGAAAACAGTATACAGGTTCCTGAAAAATAAAAAAATAGACTATATGATTACTATATGATCCAGTAATTCCACTCTGGGTATATATCCAAAAAAGTTAAAAATAGGATCCTGGAGAAATATTTGCACAGCTGTGTTTATAGCAGCACTGTTCACAATAGTCAAGATGTGGGAGCAACCCAAGTGTCAACAGACAAATGGATTCTTTAATGATATATATTCATACAATGGAATATTATTTAATCTTAAAAAGGAAATTGTGACACACACTGCAACATGGATAAACCTTGATGACATTATGCTAAGTGAAATAAGATAGTCACAAAAAGACAAATACTGTATGATACTACCATACATGGTACTTAGAGTAGTCAAAATCATAGAAATAGAAAGTAGAATGGTGGTTGCCTGCAACTGGGTGGGGGGAGATAGGGAATTGTTTAATGGGTATAAAGTTTCTGTTGGGGAAGACGAAAAATTCTGGAAATTGGTTGCACAAGAGTGTTCATATACTCAACACCACCGAACAATACAGTTAGAGGTGGTTAAGATGATAAATTTTATGGGTTATTTTACCACAATTAAAAATGAATTTTTAAAAACAAAACTGTGCAATACCAGAATAGTAACAGAATAGTCAGATTAATGAAATATACAGAAAGTCCAGGAATAGACTAACCACATACAATAATTTACATTTGATGAAGCAGGTATTTTTTAAGTGAAGAAAGGATGAATTGTCAAGTAATGCTGCTGAGATGACTGGCTAATTGTAAAAATAAAATAGATTCCTAACTTACTGCTAACACCCCTCAAAAAATCCGGATATATTAAATATTCAAAATTTTAAAACTTTTTAAACTAGTAAAAGAAAATATAGATGAACATGTAGAAGTCTTAGAATGGAAAAGACCTTCCTAATTATGACACCAAAAGCAGAAATTACAAAGTAAAACACTGATTAATTAGACAGCTACAACTTAAAATCTCTTTATAGCAAAGAACTCCATGAACATAATTAAAAGACAAATGATTGACTAGAAAGGAGAAAAAGTAACATATATAATAAAGGACTAATATTTTCAATATATTAAAAACTCTTAAGAGCAATAAGACACAAATTACACAATAAAAATGCAGTCTAAAAATCAAAAGTAAAATAAGGCATTCAGTAGCATAACCACAGAAAAGAACTACAAGTGACTTTATAACACAGTAATTTAACTGGACATTCCAAGTAGGATCTACCTTAAGGACAAAAACAACTCCAAAAAAGTTAATAATAAATTTTAAATTGTTTTCAGTATTCATACAATAAGCAATAGGGTGGGTATTGTTATGTCTAAGACTATGATTGTGATGTTAACAGCCAGGATTTTTGGTATGGAAGAAAAGCGATACACATGTTAGGTCAACGAGATAAAGTAAAACTTCTGTAGTCAGGAATTTGAATAGGGAATATCAACATGAACTCACAATATTTTTATTGTATTTCCTATCTCTGTGCACTGAAAGATCTTAGAAACAGTAAGTCCAGTAGTGATAGGCACTCCTAGCACCCAGATGTCTATAAATATAACTTGCTTCTAAAAGAAACCAGGATTCCCCCAGATAAATTACTAATTTTAGGTCTGGGACAAGAAAGGTATGCAATGAGCCTGGAAGGAAGCTATCGGACTACTAAGGTCATATCAAAATCATTCGAGAACCAAATTAAAGAGGCACCCCAAGACAGTACAATCTCAGCGTTAATAAGGATAATAGTACAAAGGATTTAAACAAATCAAATATATTTAAATCTATAAGGTTGTATGACACCTATTGAAGATACTAGGAAGCTCATTCATTATTCTGAAAAAAGAAAGACTTGAGCCTTTAGCTGCTTTACCTGTATGAATTGCACCTCAGAGCAACCAGACAGTTTGATGTGGAGAATTCCTCTTTACAGAAGTTTTCCAGCTAGTAAATGTCAAAGGAATAACAAACAGACTATTAAACTTTTAGAGATTTCTAATTAATAGATTGGGCTGGGCGCAGTGGCTCACACCTGTATTCCCAGCACTTTGGGATGCCGAGGAGGGCGAATCACAAGGTCAGGAGTTCAAGACCAGCCTGGCCAATATGGTGAAACCCCGTCTCTACTAAAAATACAAAAAATTAGCTGGGCATAGTGGTGGGCGCCTATAATCCCAGCTACTGGGGAGGCTGAGGCAGAAGAATCACTTGAACCCGGGAGGCGGAGGTTGCAGTGAGCCGAGATCGCACCACTGCACTCCAGCCCAGGTGACAGTGCAAGACTCTGTCTCAAAAAAAAAAAAAAAAAAAAGATGGATTTAGGCAATGGTCATCAATGTCTATCACCAATGCCATCACCAACATCACAAGAAAGGAGAAAAAGATATTCTGTGTCTCCTGATGGAGATGCACAAAACCACCAATGAAGAGTCCTGCCAAAACACAAAAAAGTAGTCAAAGCTGAACCTGATCAAGTATTTAGCTCTAACTACAAATTTACAGATAGTTCAGGAGAAAGAGGAATACATTAAATACCACCACAGTAATCAATCAGCAAAACCCAGACTGTGGGGAATTCCACAAGATGAACAATCTGATTTATTCAGCAACAGTAAAAATAATAAAAATCATGGGGAAGGAAAAGGGAAAGGAAGAGAGGAAAGGAGGGAAGAAGGGAAGACAGGAAAGAGGGAAAAATGAAAGAGGAATCTATAGGTTAAAAAAGACAAATATGTGTAGTAAAATAGAGGAATTGTAGACAGAGAATTGATATTTGATGACATTTAGAAAAAAAGTACTGATTTTTGTTGTAGTGTGATGGTGGTACAATGGTTATTTTTGAAAAGGAAGTATCTTTTAGAGACACATACAGAAATGTTTGTAGACATAATGATATTATTTGGGATAATATGTAATATTACATGTATATTACTTGGAATAATATGCAGTATCATATTAAAACATACAATATTATTTGGCGAAAGATATACAGGAAACAAGATTCTCTATGGGTTGGTAATTGTTAAAACTGAGTAATAGGAACACCAAGGTCATTACACAATTCTATTTTTATATATGCTTGAAATTTTTCATAATAAAGAGATAAAGAAAACAGCAACAAGAAAAGTGAACTACGGGCAACTCATAAAAGAAGAAATAGCAACAACCAACATGAAAAAGAAATAAAAAATAATTTTACTTTAGAAGAAATCTTAAAAATGCAAGTTTCTTAAAAGGTGAGGTTTCATTTTTCACGTATCACGTGGCCAAAACATTGAAAGATTAATGATATCCCTGGTAGCAAGGGAATGCAAAAACTAGCTTTCTTGTGTGCTCCAAACACTAGTAGACTAAATTGGCTCCAGTTTTCTGGAAAGCATTTGGCAATATGTAACAAAAGTACATGGGGAAAGGAGCTAGAGTGCCAGGGCCAGGCTGCCAAAGTCAGATTGCAGTCACACCACTCACTGGTGGCAGGACCCAAAACAAGTTTCTTAGCTGCTGTGTACCTCAATTCCTAGCCCATGAAATGCATGTACTATAATAGTGGCATCCATCTCAAGGGCTGCTGTGAGGCTAAATCATAATATTGGTACCAAACTTGGACCAGTGCCTGGCATATGGTGCTGGCTTTCATTATTATGTTGGCCCAGCAACCTCACTTCTAAGAATTTATTTTAAGGAAATCTTAATCAAGTGCACAAAGACACATATACACATTTTTTTAATCACTTCATGATTTATAAAATGCAAAAAGTAGAAATGTCTGGTTAAAAAAACTTTTGTAATCTTTGCCTGGAATACGAGGTGGCCATTATATATAACTGTCTTATATTTATACGTACTGACATGTACATGTGTACTGATATAAAGACATTTGTAATCTGTTTTCCAGGAGAAAATCAAGCTAGAGAAGAATATAGTTGAACCCTAGGAAGGAGTTTTTTTTTTCACCAGTGCATGTACATCTAGATGTTAACAATAATTGACTGAATTTGTGGGTTATATTCTTTTTGATTATCTGTATTTTCTAATTTTTCTGTATCAACCTTATCATTTGTCTAATTTTTAAATGATCTGTTACATACGTTCCACAGTTCTGGCAAATCTTGTGCTGGTTAATTTTAGTTCAATTTAATGAGAGCAAGAGATACCTGGACAGCTGTGAAGCATTACTTCTGAGTAGGTCTGAGAAGGTGCTTCCAGAAGAGATTAGCATTTGAATCAGTAAACTGAGTGAGGAAAATCTGCCCTCTCCCATTGTGGGGGACACCATCCAATCTGCTGCCAGCCTATATAGAAAGGCTTTCTCTCTGGAGTTGGGACACCCAGCTTCTGTCCTTGGATGTCAGAACTCCAGGTTCTCAGGCCCCAGGACCTGCACCAACAGTCCCAGGTTCTCCGGCTTTCGGATTTAGACTGAGCCACTCTACCAGCTTCCTTCATTCTCCAGTTTGCAGACAGCCTATGCCGTGATCACATCAGCTAATTCCCTTAATAAATCCCCTGTCATTTATTAGGGAAACTGGCTAATAAATACCCATAAGTATCTATCTATCCATATATCCTACTAGTTCTGTTTCTATTGAGACCTAATACAACTTACTAAAGAATTTTAAAATATATTTGAAAATGGGAAGGGGTGAACACAGCATAGAAACACCAAAGTAATACGTTAGTCAAACCCTCCAAAGTAGATAGAAAAACCCATTTGGAAACATATAACGTAATGATGAACATTCAAGAACAGAGACATTCTCATTGATAATCATCACCAGTGTGTGCACACAAGTCCAAACACATTTACTGTTTACATTTGCATTCCCCCAAAAGTGGAGCTAGAAACAAGGACTTGGGTGCAGATTAATTTACCTCAGAGGTGCTCATAAGAGAAAGAAGTAAGGGAGTGAGAAAAATGAAACAGAAAAGAGGAAGGCCGATGAACTATGCATTAATAATAGTAACTGCATACTAGTGAGAACTAGCACTCAATCCCACAAGGGACTCTGAGAAACTGTGCAGAATAAAACTCAGAGGTGCCCCACAGAAGCACAGGAAGCCTGGAGCAATTACTCATCAACTCCCATCCCATCAAGATTGTGGGCTGATCTGGTAGCATCAGCTCTCCAGCTCTCCTGAGCTTCCTCATTGAGCAGCTTCCTTTGTACGACAACACCCCCAGCCTGCCCCCTCCCCCAGCTACCCTACTCCACCACCAGACCCCTTTTGCTCCCTGCAGTGTGTTTCCTCCATCACCTTCCTACGAGAACTTCAAGGCCTCTCCAGGTGTCAGGACCACCCAAAGGTCAAAGGAAGTCTGGGTGAGTTGGAGGTGGTAATAGATGAAACAAGATTGACCTTGAGTTGAGCTGATAATATTTGAAGCCCAGTGATGAGCACATGGGTTCATCACACTATTCCCTTTACTCATATATGTGTTTGAAACTTTCCATAACAAAAAGTTAAAAATAGATCTTTGCTGTGTCAGGGATGGAGGTTCTTTGCTAGGTCTCCCTTTCAGGAAAAAAAAAAAAAAATGCCACTCAACCAGGAGAAATGAAATTGACTGACAGGTTCACTCCAAGGTTCACTCCAGCTTTCAAGTCAAGGTCTCATTCAGTCTGGGCCACCCCAGCCAATGGCCAAGTGCAGTGCAGGCATGAGAGCCTGGCCATTTCTGCACAATGGGGACTCCCAAGTGGGCAGTTCTTGCTCAGGAGCTCCCCACTGGGTCAGTGGAGACCTTGTCAACACATCAATGCCCTGAGTTCTCCTGGCTCCTCCAGCTTCCTTCTCTCTTTCTGTTCACAGTGGTCAGGTGTGCATTGCAGTCTGCGGCCTTTCCCCACTGGATCCTACCTCCACCTCCTTTTCTTTCCCAAGTGCAGCTCCTCAATAACTCCATCTTGGCAACCATGTCCCAAAAGACCTAAACTGACACAATTAAGATGCAGTTGCTTCCTTCCCTCCCAACCCCCTGAAAGCTCCAAAAATAATGAAATACATACCAGAGTTAAAAACATTGTACTATATTTAAATGTTTGCATATAATATATTAATGTTTTTCACACTAAAAATATACAATGGCTATGTATAAAACCTGATTTTGGAAATAATATCAAAAATTACACGTGTGGTCCTTTGGGGATACAAGGTCCAGCCAAGTGGCCATCCTCCCTTCCCACCCATGAGTAGGCCTGCCACATATCACAACCCTGGGAAACTCTCCAGGATCACCCAGGCTGGGATAGATGGCCTCTCATATGCTCCCCATAACACCCTGTTCTCTGTCACTAGATTACTACCTTGTGCTGGCACTGGCTGTAAACATTCTGCCCCAGCCTCTGCCTGCACCCTAACTCAGTAGTGAGAGGCTAGAGAGCCTGGCGCAGAGTAGGTAGGCACTCAGTAAATAATTTTGGATCAATCACTGAATGACTGACTGAGGCATATGTCCCCAAAAGGACCCCAGATAGGAACCATCTCCACAGTGTTCCTGCAGTTTTATAAAAGGCTTGGGAAAAGAGAGTTAGTGACTCTTTTCAGTCTTGGGGGGATGTGGAGGTAGAGGAAGAAAACTACCTGGAGGTTCTATTTTAACCCTTTCTCAAGCCTGGGGACCTAGGGGCTCCTAGTCAGGCACCTGTGGCCATCTACAGCAGGGCCCCTCACAGGTCAGGAGGGATGAGATCATATCCATTCCCTGCACTGCTTCTCTCCAAGAGGATGATCTCTTGGTTGTTTGTGAAGACAAGAGGCCCAGCAGCCTCTTCTGTTGAAGTGGACCTGAGCTGGCCCCAGCCAGGCTAACCCTCTAGCCAGCTAGCTTCTGGGGTGAATCACCAGGCAGGGACCCTGGGTTGGCCAGAGCTCTGTGGACCAGTGCCAAACTTCTCTGGGAGCTTTGAGCGAGACAAGGGCTTGGGTTTCTCTCTCTGGTCCAGGTCCAGAGGAAGATCTTCCAAGGAGGAGATCTCCAAGTCACTCTCATCTTCAGAAAGCTGCAGGGGGTAAAGGGGAGAAGAAAATGCATTTTGATAAGGGAGGAGGGTGGCTGAGAGCTAAGCACATTGCAGGATGGGAATGCAGAATGGAAATGGGGACAAATGCAGACTGGGAAGAAAGCAATAGGGAGATGCTACTCCTCCTGACTTCTCAAGTCTTCCTGCCTTTGAGAACCTGCTTTAGTGACCTGGGATCAGGGTGATTTCAAATACCCCTGAAATTCTACTAACCAAACCCAGGCAAGTGCCTTGGAAAGGCCTATGTGCAGAGAAGGTTGCTCTCATTTTCACTTCAACTTTGGGCAGATTTTTAACTCCCTCTTGGACAGAGCCAGAAGCCCAGAAACTCGACTGTTCCAAGTTCGCGAGCTGAATGCACTGTGGGCTAATGACCCGCCTCCTCTCAGACAGGTTCCCTCAGGTCTGGTAAACATCCTGACTGAAGGAGCATGAGAGGAGCTTGGGAGCAACAGGAGTCCTTCAGCCTGGAAGGGTCTGCACTGCAGCCAGCAGGACAGCTCAGAGTCAGCCAAGGGACCAGGCCACCCCCTGACCACAGCCACCTGCGTAGCAGCCCAGGCTTTCCCCTCTGGAGTCCTCAGTGCCCCTGCTGGCCACCTGGGCTTTGATACAAGCCATCCTATGCATCTTCTCCAGGAATGTAAGACCGACCAATCAGAACCCATGCAGGGTGCAGGGCAGCAAGCATGCTCTGAGCGGCGCCTCAATCTGTTTGGGGCTGTTGGTGCTCTTTCACAATTTGGAAAAAGGAACAAGTTTTTTCTTTTCAATCATTTGGATGCATTACTCACAAACATACAGGAGCTGTGTGGTAAACCAAACACACTGTGGTAAAGAGCAGGGAGTGCTATCAAAAACCAAAGAATGGTTGCCCACCACTTGAAATTTTAAAGCAATAGCACTGATTATCCCAGGATGCACCTTTTTGATACAGAAAGGTGAGAAAGGAGTGTGAAGTAAAGGGAGCTCTAAAGTTTTCTGCTTGAAAAATAACAGCAGTGTGCAAGTTGTTCCCTGATGGAGGAGAGACGGGCAGTGAGGAGGGTCTGATGATGCTGGGGAAGCCCAACATCTGAGCTCTAAGTCTGAAAATCTGATGGTGGCTACAGTCTGAGGCAAGGAGGCTCAGGTTTCTAAAACAGAGGTATCTAAATATTCCCATCTTGTGCTGTTACCTACTCTGATGTGCTATGCGAGGCCACTCCAGTACCACCCTTGGGGGAGTCCGCTCCACACACATATTGTGTTAGGGTCCATGGCAGAGTGAGGGACTGGGGAGGAGCCCACTGTGGGATGAGACCGGGCTGGAAGAGCAGCTGCTGCAGGATGCCAGACACAGAGTCAGCTCCGAAGCTCTCCGAGAGGCAGGAGATGGGACAATCAAAACTTACTGAGCATTGCTTATATAATGAACCAAAAGGCTTTTTAATGTTAACTTGGATACAAGTATTCCAAACTGGCCATCTCTCCATGTGCACAGGGGCAGAGGGAGGTCACCCACAATGTCCCACTAGGGCAAAGGATGACACTTGCTGGGCCCTCCCCAACCTTCACCCCAGGCCCCCCAAACTCAGAGCTGGTTCTGTAGAGAATTCCAGAGTAAACTCTAAGCATCCTACATCCTACCTGAGGCTTCCTTCCTGGTGTGGCAGCCCTCTGTGGCCCAGCATTGGGCATAAAAAACAGACTGACCCCTCCAGCAGGCTTCTTTGCTGGAGCTTCTAGCTGCTTCTCCAGGTTTTTGACCATCGACTGCACCAGTGTTCCTGGAAGGTGAAAAAGTGGCTGTGTCAGTGGGAGAAGCCTAGAAAATGAACATCTCAGTTTTGTGGCTCATGTCCAGGCTCCAGTGTGGATAGAGGGAATGAGCAGAAGGGCCAGGAGGAAGAAGGCTGAGCAACCACAAAAAAGGAGACAGAGAAGGCCAGGCCAACAGGTACCCAGTGAACAGAGGCTTGGCATATTCTGAAAATGTGACTGTGCAAACTTAATGACATGGCTAGTGACAGAGGCTTAGGAAGCTGTGCTTCCCTCTAATGAGAGGCTGAGGCAGGACCTCTGCTCAGTGTGGGGAATGAACTGTATCACTAACATGCAGTTAGTTCCTCAACATCTTTATACAGAGACAAGAAGAAATATCATAAAGATTAGCACAGGAGGACCACAGGCAAGAATGACTTTCTGCAAAGTCCATGCAGGAAGCAGGAGCTAAGCAGTGACAGAGATCATCAAATAGATCCCTGATGCCTGGCACACCAAGGTAATGTATGAACCTCAGGAATGACCAGGAAGCAGGAAGCTAACTACAGCCTTCTACGATTCAAATGAAATCAAGGTCTGAGCAGACTTTTGGAGCTACAACAGCCCTTGGCTCATTGATTCATTCAAGAAATGTTTGTTAAGGGCCTACGATGTAGCAGGCACTGTTTCCTTGCCCTCTCATTAATCACCTTGTCCAAATACCTCATTTTATAACAAAGGATCAGAAACCACCTGCACAAGGACAAGCAGGTAGTAAGTGGCAGAGCCAAGACTTTCTCTGAAGATTCCTAACACCCAGTCCCAAGACCTTGCCACCCTATTGCCCTTGCCTGGTGGGCATCGATACTTCTCCAAAGATCTGTTTCTGGTGAATTCTGATGGACTGGCAGGCTTGGCTTATGCTGTAAACATGGCCAAGTACTGCAGAGTCTATTAAGAGCAAGAAATTTGCAGACCGCAAGCCTAGCCTGACATCCCAGGGTTTCTACTTACTGACCTTGGAAAGACAAAACTCTAAATTCCATATTCTTTAACACAGCCTTGGCTAGAAAATACAACTGAAGCCAGAAGCTACAGGCCTCAGTTGGCAGTTTTATAGGAAAATCTTGAAAGAATGGGAGTAGACAGTTGTTTTGAAAAGAAGGAGGCTCAACTAGTCATTGCAACCTGTTAGATAGAAAATAATACGTTTAACGAATATTTTCATTCCACTTACCATGACAGTTAGCTCAGGTCTCTACAATGCCCTTTCCACCAACAAGTTGAATTTCTAAGTCTCTTGGCTGAAAAGGGCAAAGAGCTTTCCTGTATGATGAAACAGGCTGCATGGCCCAAAGGCAGCCTGCTATAAAGGTTGACTGTGGCTGCCTCCTCTGTCTCAAGCTTTGCTGGGAAGCCACATTTTTCACAATTGAGTTGTTGCAAAAAGTTATGTGTGTTACACTCTATGTGTTCTTGAAAACTATATTTGTCAAAATGTTCATGGTAGGAAACTGTTTTCCCTTCAAGTTGTAACTGAGGTTTACCTTGGAGGCTACTTTGACCACTGTGATATTTAACTCTATGACCACCAACTCTTGATCTGGTGCTAATGAACTCAAACAGCATTAAAGACTATGGGGATATTCTTAACATTGGGAACACAGCTAAAGGCAGCTCTTTCTGGGGGGAAAAATGGTTTACAAGTAAATAAATAAACAGTGACTCTAACACATTAACTTCAAAAACATCATACAGAATCTCAACTTGCCATGACATCGTTCTGTGGTCTTGGGCCAGTCATAATGTCTATGAGGCTTAGTTTCAACTTCTGTCACGATGTGTGTGGCTCAGCCTTCCCTCATCAGTGCTGTGAGGAGTAAATGAGGAGACTTGTGCGAAGAGATCCACACAGAGCTGAGCACGCGGTGAGCACCCAGCAACACCAACATAGAGGGGAGAGCCTTCTCTCACACGCCTCGAGCTTCCACAGAAGAAGGAACTTCTGCTCTACTCACCGAGATGGACAAGGATAGGAGAAACACCCTCCCAGTTTCTTCCCCACATACTACCCTCTCTCACAGAAGAAGCCAAGCAGAGGGGTGGGCCTACAACACACCCTGGGCCACGGCGCACCTGAAGGAGGGCCGCTGATCCAGAAGACAGTGCCAGCTCTTTCTCTCGGACCCTCCCCGCCCCTGTGGCTGGGGTTGGAGCCTGGCTGGAGTGTACCCTACAGCTGCCTGTTTAAGGGCCTGCACACTCAGGGTCTTCTTTGCAAACCCAGCCCTGCACACAAGTAAGATTGGGATCTGGATTTGGGGAGGCTGGAGGGGCCCCCACTTTGGCCTCAAGTGCGGGTTGTTCCTCTAATCCAGCCCTAACAGGAAGCCTATGCCTCAGGCATTCCTGGGCCCTGTCACCACTACTAGAGCGAGGCTTTGATCTCCCGTAGCTGGCCACAGTGTTTACTCTCTACTGGAAAGAACATGGAGGAGAAAAGGGGTGAATGGCTCCCTTCAACCTCCCACAGTTAACAATTTAATGACAAAACAAGGGGTAAAACTAAACCTTGCTCAAACTCTAGCTTTCTCCTGATATCTCTGCTATCCCACAAAAAAATATCTGAGGCGAAGGAGGACCATCCTTTCCAAGCCAAATAGAGAAAGAGATGTCAAATAAGAAAGCCTAAAGGAAGCTAAAGGGTGTTTCTGGAGCCTTGAGAAATCTGGGCTGGAGAAGGGCTACACCGGTGGTCCCAGCCCACTCACCCAAAGGTGCCAGCTCACCTGAGCCCTGGCCAGGGGGCTGGGCATTCTCCTCCGAGGTCTCTGTGTCAGACCAGTCCCAGTCATCCTTGGGCCGGGGCACCATCCTGGAAGGAACTTTTGGGGGCTGTAGAGACACACGCTGCACACGGTCTCCCTCTGAGTCCTCTTCAGAACTGAACGGGGGCGTGCTGCCACGAGGAGGAGAAGAAATGAGGGATGCATGGGCCAGAAAGAAAACTTCAAAAGCCAAACTTCACCACGCTTCAAGCTGGTTTGGTTTGCTCAGGGCCAGCCCTGCTCCCTCCCTCAGGCCCAGAAGACAGCCAGGAGACCCCTGGAGTGCAGCAGCCACACCAGTATCTCCCTTAGTAGAGCCCTGCCCATCTGAGGATCCAGCCCCTCTGGAGGGGGAACGGGTTTGGGGGAGGACATGGGTAAGGGGAGGGTGGGTTTGTCTTGGCTGGGAGCACAGGTTCTCAAGTCCAGAGCTCAGACTGGACCCCACCTGAGGCACCTTCTATTCACATGTGTCTGCCCCCCTCCTATCTGCAGAAGCCTGGAGGGAGCCCAGAACAGGACTGCCTGAATCCAGGAGCCACCACTGCAGGTGGGGTGAGAGGGCAGAGTCTGGGGCTCACCTCATCCCGGGCCCCGAGGAAGGAGGGGTGCTGGAGGGTCCATGCAGTCCGGGGCGTGGAGCGGGGGCGGACACCTGGGTCAGGCTGGAGCCATGGCTGCCATGGCTCTGACGAGTTGGTGGGGGTGGCTCTGCCGGTGTGGATGGCAAGGCCACCTGCAGGGTCCTGGTCTTTGGCTGGGCCTCTCTGGTGACCAGTGTGCTCTGCTGGCTTTTGACTGGAAACACAGAAAGGAATGATTTTTGGAGTACACCCATGCTGGATCTCAAGCCTAAGAGGAGGGAGAAAGTGGCTCCAACACCCTGGAAATGAACAATTACTCCCTCTCCGTGCTGTAATAACCACAGCAGATTTCATGACTGTTGCCAAATCAGGTGTTCT
Organism: Homo sapiens; assembly: GCF_000001405.40. Classification (NCBI taxonomy): domain Eukaryota; kingdom Metazoa; phylum Chordata; class Mammalia; order Primates; family Hominidae; genus Homo; species Homo sapiens. The sequence continues at coordinate 138,068,532 of NC_000003.12, forward strand.
GCTGGCCAGATTCGAGGCTAGGACCACAGTTCCACAGTTTCATCAGAGACCAGGAGAGCAGCTGGGTGCTCCAGGGTCGTGTTGTCATTACTGAAGACCAGCAGGAGTCCGCGGGCCTGAAGAGGGGCTCAGTAGTCCTAGATGGACTTCACCAAGGCTGCTACCCTCTCCCCAACCCACGCTACAGCCGCTGCACTGCAGGCAGTCCTGCAGGAAGACCCCACTGCCACCAGAGGTCGCCGCAGGACTGCATGAACCATCAAGATCCACTCAAACCTCCTCCCAAATGCAGTCTGGGGCAAGGCAGTACCAAGGCAGGCAATTGGACACAGCCCCTCTGTTTTCCAAATTGCATCAAGACCTATAGCCACAAGAGCGGTCCCGGATCAGCAAGTTTTTATGGGAAGAGAAGAGAGAGAGTGCATCACAGGGAGTCAGACATGTGTGGATTGGGTCACAATGTAAAATGAGTTTCTTACAGTAATTCAAGATCAGAAAATGTTTGAAATACAGTTGACCCCGAAACAACGTGGGGTTGAACAGCCATGGGTCCACTTATACGTGGATTTTCTTCCGACTCTGCCACCCGTGAGACAGCAAGAGCAACCCCTCCTCTTCCTCCTCCTCTTCAGCCTACTCAACACAAAGATAACAAGGATGAAGTCCTTTATGATGATCCACTTCCCCTTAATGAATAGTAAACATATTTGCTCTTCCTTGTGATTTTCTTAATAACATGTTCTTTTCTCTAGCTTACTTTATTGTAATAATACAGCTTATAATTCATATAACATACAAAATGTGTGTTAATAGTCCATATTGTCGGTAAGACTTCTGGTCAACAGTAGGCTATGAGTAGTTAAGTTTTGGGGCAGTCAAAAGTTACACGCAAATTTTCAACTGCATGGGGGGTTTGCGCCCCTGACCCCTGCATTGTTCAAGGGCCAGCTATGCACTGCTCTCAGTGAATGTGTCTACTCAGAAGTGGAGCTTCCAGGAAAGAGTGAACTGAAGAGAAGGGGAAGACAAAGACAAGCCTGCTGGGGGAAAATAACAATAGCTTCCCATGACTGTGTACCAGATACTAAGAAAAGCACTTTACATACAACCACTTGGCCCCCGAGCATCTTCAGAGGCTATCATTTTCCCTACAGAGGCTTGCCCTCAGCTCCACGGAAGAAAGTGGTGAATACAAACCCAGGTTGTCTGTCTGCCCTAATCTTGGGCCCTCACCGCTACTTCCCACAGCCTTGCCCAGGCCACAGAAGAGGCAGGGTCCAAGCAGAAATGGGAGGTGAGCATTAAGACAGCACTTGTGGGACCCAGGAAAAGAATAAAGGTGCAGAGCTGGAAGGAAAGGTCTACAAAATGCCACAAAAACACAGCGCTCATCTCACAACTCAGTAACATCTCCAGAGAAGGCAGAACCCCAGGGCCAGGGAAAGGGAAGGCTGCGAAGGGGGCTCTCCCTCCTGGCTTTTTTACTACAGGAACAAAGGTGTGTGGGAGTGGGTGGGGCGTAGCACCTAGAAGGAGCAAGATACCTTTGCTTTCTCTTGGAAGCCAGCATTCCGAGGGTTTTTCCATTCATCCTCCCCAAGTCCCTGTCCCCTCCCTCCTCTGAGCTCCCACCACCCCCATGCTTGGCTCCATCACATCACCTGGTCCTGGCTGATTTCCCAGGTGAGGTGGAAGGCCCTGGCACAGAGTCAACCTCAGCAAGTACTGTACTAAATGAATGAGTGGGCAAATGAATGAATGAACATTTGACTGAATGAGCAAAAGGATATACGTTTAAATTGGAGCATAAAAGGCAGATTGGCAACCAGGACAAATACCCTTCTGTCTGAGATTTCTATGCAAGATAAAAACCGTCCTTTCCTTAGAGATTTTAAGGCCAGAAGTTTAAACTAAATATTATAGTTTCCCAGGTCATCAATACATTTTTTTACCATATTTTCATGCCAAAATGACAATGCTTTTAAGCACAAAATACCTGCTTGATACTTGTCCAAGTAATAATTTCCATGAGCTCACAGGATTGCTATGTTAGTCTTATTTTCTTCTAATTCACATGAGGAAAAATAAAAATAAGTTATAAAATGATTGGTTGATGTAGCAACTAAAATCATCTCTCATATCCTCAGAGATACGTGGGCCATACTCTGCAAAATTTTTTTGCATGAAGAGCTCAAATCGGTTCTTCCTGGACACAGGAGATACAGAACTGGCCTCCTTCTGGCCACATGTGTCCCTGACTGAGGAGACGAAGTAAAAGGAGCAGGACAGCACCTGCATGAGCAGACCAGACCCACTGAAGCCCTCCCCAGAGCCTCTCACCACAGCAGCCCAGACCCTCTTGGAACCCTCTGGAAACAGGGGGCTCTCAAACCTGGGAACACAAATACACTTGCTCCGTAAGAACAGACTCAAGGGTCCTGGTCCACAGAATTTCGTGTTCCACCAGAACCACAGGGCCTTCTCTTGTCATGACCCCCAGAGCATGGACAAATGGTAAAGTGGCAGCTATGACCTGGCCCAAGGAACCAACTATGAGCTCTGAGAATTCATCTGCGTGCAGAACTGGCCCAGTCTCTCATGCTCTCCCATGGCCAGAGCAGGGGCTATCTGAGCTCTGCAGAAGTTTACATTCAATTGATATTTGCCTCCACCTGCAGCTTCAATGCTCCCGGGCCTCTGCCTGCCTCCCCAGGCTGGCATGCCTGGTGTGTAGAGCCAGAAACTGAATAGGCTGCTCTCTGTTGAAGAGACACTCAACTGTGGTCGCAACAAGCCAAACAGAATGAAGGTGCTAAGGGAGGCAGCATGTCTGCACAGGGACAGTTCAGGCTGACAACAGGCTCCAGCTCCGGCTCTCCTCCAACTTCCCCGAGTGACCCTGGACAAATGCCCCCACTCCACCCCAGATCCTATTTCCTCAACAGAGAACTTCTGGACTCAGTCCCCTGTAAGGACCCTACCAGCTCAGCCCTTCAGAGAAGTGCCCCTAATGGGGGACAGAGACTATACCCTCCTCATGTGCAAACAAGTTTTGGCAAGAATGGGACCCTTACAGGTCACAGCCCTGAGCAAGCCCTCTCCCCAGTGTACCTGAAGGCTGCCCGTCTGGCTGGGACACCACAGCGCCATTCTCCTGTCTCTCCTTCGCTCTGCTGGTGACTTCCTTGACAAGCTTTCCCCTCAGACTCAGAAATTCAGAAAACTTCCGGGCCTTCTGCTCCCGCTGGACTCTCAGCAGGGATTCCAGGTGTCTGAGAGTCTGAATCGAGATTCCCTTTGCATCCTAGAGGAGACAGGAGTTCACCTTTACAGAGAGAGGCTACCCTTCTTCTCCTTCCCCTAAGCCTCTCACACCTGCTGCTGCTGGCCTGGGAGTCTGTGATCAGTGCCTGGTGCTTTTCTTGCAGGACTGGGGGGCATGAAATGAGGATCAGAGAAGGGTAAGCAGCGGCTTCAAAGTTGCTGAAAGTGCAATGGTTCAGGGTTTGGGAGCCCCATCAAAATGTGCACAGCAGGATAATGCAAAGGACTGCGTCACAATTCTGACCACATCATAGCATAAGGGACTTCGTTGGAACATGCTTTTCTACCATCTGACTGAATCCTAGGATAAGAGACCACAGCTTGCTCATTTTTGTACTCCCAATTACTATTATTATGCCAAACACACTGTCCATGGCTAACAATGTTTAAAAAACTAAACTGCTGTAAACACAATCCAAGTACCCTTTCAAGACCTATTGGAAGTTGCTCGAGCTTTTGACATCCACCCAGAGCCCATGGGAGGGTCCAGGGAGGCATCTGAATCCAAGATGAGGATTCATGCAAGGTTAGAAAGGAATGTCTTAATCAAATCTGAATATAGGGCCAAAGTTAGAGTAGTCAGTAGTTGAAAACAATCAAAGTAGTGACCATTCTTCCTAAAATAACCCTAGTTGTCTATTTTTTTTTTCTAACTTACTCTACACAAACAGCATTCCAATAGTGTAATGCTTGGCTAATTTAATAATAGGTGTGTTTTTATTTAATAATAGATTTCATTGGTGCTTCTAATAATAACATACGTGTTCTGGTTAAGCACAATGGCATTCAAATACTAGTTGGAGAGAGAATCCATAGACCCTGTAAAGGAACTGGATCACTGCTGCAGACTCCCTGAGATGCCGAAAACCTGAGTCTGCTTGCTTTCTCAATGGGGAGGTTTGTGGTCTGGGGCAAGTTCCCAGCCCTGGTCACTGGCTGCTTGGAAATAGACTTGCTCCTGTTGGTGGGGCACAGTGCGAGTGAGACCGGACTTTAGGACCGCAGGCTGCGTGGAGATGGGCTGAGGCCTGTGACTGCCAGATTTCCCCCACTTCCCTGGCGACCTGTATGACTCAGCAGAGGCAGCCATAATCCCCCTGGGAATATAACTCCATTGGACTGGGAACACACCCTCATCCCCAACAGTAGCTGCAGCAAGCCACACCCAAGGAGAGGCTGAGCTCAGACACGTCTATCCCTGGCCCCACCTGGTGGTCTTCCTGCACCCGCCCTGGTAGCTGAAGACAAAGGTCATAATCCCTTAGGAGCTGTATGGCCCTGCCCACCGCCTGAGAAACCTGAATACTTAACCAGGTGTCCCTAGGGCAAGTAGGGAAGTATGCATCCTCCCTATAGGACCACAGTTTGAAAGCACCACCTCCTAGCTGGAGGCCAACAAACACAAAACCAATGCACTAAACAAACAAAAAGAAAAAACAAGGACCCTCAAGAGTCCACTTCACTCCCCTACTACCTCCACTGGAGCAGGTGCTGGAATAGTATCCACGGCTGCAAGACCTGAAGATGGATCACATCACAGGACTCTTTGCAGACACTCCCCAGTACCAGCCTGTAACTCTACTGGGTGGCTAGACCCAGAAGATCAAAAACAATCACTACAGTTCAGCTCTCAGGAAGCCCCATTCCTAGGGGAAGGGGGAGAGCACTACATCAAGGGAGCACCCCATGGGACAGAAGCATCTGAACAGCAGCTCTTGAATCCCAGATCTTCCCTCTAACATAGTCTACCCAAATGAGAAGGAGCCAGAAAAACAATTCTGGTAATATGACAAGACAAGGTTCTTTAACACCCACAAAAATCATACCAGCTCACCAGCAATGGATCCAAACCAAGACGAATCTCTGAATTGCCAGAAAAAGAATTCAGAAGGTCAATTATTAAGCTAATCAAGGAGGGACCAAAGAAAGGTGAAGCCCACCTTAAAGAAACAAAAAATGTTATACAAGAGATGAAAGGAAAATTTTTTAGTGAAATAGCATAAATAAAAAGTTATCACAACTTCTGGAAATCAAAAACACACTTAGAGAAATGCAAAATACACTGAAAAGTCTCAGCAATAGAATCAAACAAGCAGAAGAAAGAACTTCAGAGCTCAAAGACAAGGCTTTCGAATTAACACAATCCATAGAAGACAAAAAAGAATTTTAAAAAAATGAACAAAGTCTCCAAGAAGCTTGGGACCATGTTAAACATCCAAACCTAAGAATAATTGTTATTCCCAAGGAAGAAGAGAAATCTAAAAGCTTGAAAACATCTTCGAGGGAATAATTGAGGAAAACTTCCCCAGCCTTACTAGAGACCTAGGCATCCAAATACAAGAAGCTCAAAGAACACCTGAGAAATTCATTGCAAAAAGATCATCACCTAAGCACATAGTCAACCGGTTATCTAAAGTCAAGATGAAGGAAAGAATCATAAGAGCTGTGAGGCAAAAGCACCAGGTAACCTATAAAGGAACACCTCTCAGATTAACAGCAGATTTCTCAGCAGAAACCCTACAAGCTAGAAGGGATTGGGGTCCTATTCTTTAGCTTCCTTAAACAAAACAATTATCAGCCAAGAATTTTGTATCCAGTGAAACTAAGCTTCATAAATGAAAGAAAGATACAGTCTTTTCCAGACAAACAAATGCTGAGAGAATCCGCCACTACCAAGCCAGCACTACAAGAACTGCTAAAAGGATCTCTAAATCTTCTTTTTTAATTTATTTTTTTATTATACTTTAAGTTTTAGGGTACATGTGCACAACATGCAGGTTTGTTACACATGTATACAGAAACAAATCCATGAAATACAACAAAACAGAACCTCCTTAAAGCATAAATCTCATAGGACCTATACAACAATAATACACGAAAAAAAAAAAAGGCAAGGTATTCAGGCAACAAATAGCACAATGAATAGAATAGTACCTCACCTCTCAATACTAACATTGAATGTAAATGGCCTAAATATTCCACTTAAAAGATACAGAATGGCAGAATGGATATGAATTCACCAACCAAGTTTCTGCTGTCTTCAGAAGACTCACCTAAACTCACATTAGGACTCACACAAACTTAAGGTAAAGGGGCGGAAAAAAAACATTCCATGCAAATGGATACCAAAAGCGAGCAGGAGTAGCTATTCTTATAGCAGACAAAACAAACTTTAAAGCAACAGCAGTTAAAAAAGACAAACAGGGACATTACATAATGATAAAAGGACTAGTCTAACAGGAAAATATCATAATTCTAAATATATATGCACCTAACACTGGAGTTTCCAAATTTATAATACAATTGCTACTAGACCGAAGAAATGAGATAGACAGCAACACAATAATAGTGGGGGATTTCAAGACTGCACTGACAGTACTAGACAGGTCATCAAGACAGAAAGTCAACAAAGAAACAATAGACTTAAACTATAACCTAGAACAAATAGACTTAACAGATATTTACAGAACATTCTACCCAACAACTGCAGAATATATATTCTATTCATCAGCACATGGAACATTCTCCAAGATAGACCAGATGATAGGCCACAAAACAAGTCTCAGTAAACTTAAGAAAATCGAAATTATATCAAGCACTCTCTCAGATCACAGTGGAATAAAATTGGAAATCAACTCCAAAAGAAACCCTCAAAACCATGCAAATACATGGAAATTAAATAACCTGTTCCTGAATAATCGTTGGGTCAACAACGAAATCAAGATGGAAACTTAAAAGTTCTTTGACTGAACGATAATAGTGACACAACCTATCAAAACCTCTGGGATACAGCAAGAGCAGTGCTAAGAGGAAAGTTCATGGCATTAAATGCTTACATCAAAAAGTCTGCGGCCTGGCGCGGTGGCTCACGCCTGTAATCTCAGCACCTTGGGAGGCCGAGGTGGGTGGATCAGGAATTCGAGACCATCCTGGCAAACATGGTGAAACCCCGTCTCTACTGGGTGGGGTGGCACGTGCCTGTAATCCCAGCTACTCAGGAAGCTAAGGCAGGAAAATCCCTTGAACCAGGGAGTCGGAGGTTGCAGTGAGCCGAGATCGCACCACTGCACTCCAGCATGGTGACAGAGCGAGATTCGTCTCAAAAAAAAAGGCTGAAAGAGCACAAATAGATAATCTAAGGTCACACCTCATGGAACTGGAGAAACAAGAATAATCCAAACCCAAGGAGACAATGGATCAGGACGAGTGGCTGAGGAGTGGGCCCAGAAGCCTTGGGTAGCAGCACTGGAGGTCCTAAGGACTCCAGACTGTCCTTAAATGAGGAGGGAGCTTCCCAGAGTGGGGATGGTCAGCATCACTAATTACCAGGAAAATGCAAATCAAAACCACAATGTGATACCACCTCACCCCTACAAGAATGGCCATAATCAAAAAATCAAAAATTAATAGACGTTGACATGGATGTGGTGAAAAGGGAACACTTTTACACTGTTGGTGGGAATGTAAACTAGTACAACCACTATGGAAAAGTGTGGAGATTCCTTAAAGAGCTAAAAGGAGATCTACCATTTGATCCAGCAATCCCACTACTGCGTATCTACACTGAGGAAAAGAAGTCATTACATGAAAAAGATACTTACACATGCATGTTTATAGCAGCACAATTTGCAATTGCAAAAATGTGGAACCAGCCTAAATGCCCATCAATCAATGAGTGGATAAAGAAACTGATATATATACATACCATGGAATACTACTCAGCCCTAAAAAGGAACAAAATGATGGCATTTGCTGCAACCTGGATGGAATTGGAGACTATTATTCTAAGTGAACTCAGGAATGGAAAACCAAACATCGTATGTTCTCACTCCTATGTGGGAGCTAAGCTCTGAGGACACAAAGGCATAAGAATGGTACATTGGACTTTGGGGATTTGGGGGAAAGGGCATGGGGGTGGAGAGGGATAAAAGGCTACACACTGGGTACAGTGTATACTGTTCACGTGATGTGTGCACCAAAATCTCAGAAATCACCACCAAAGAACTTATTCATGTAACCAAACACCACCTGTTCCCCAAAAACCCACTGAAATAAAAAATTAAATTTCAGATATTTTATCTGAAAATAAAATATACATACATACATGTATATACATACATACATGTAACTGCTAAAAAACTATAGGAAAATATAAGTTATTACTTCTCAAAAAAAAAAACAAATAATTGGTGTCAGACACAGCTTTCAGTGATGCCCACACACAGCCACCTGCTGAGTGGACACAGCCACATGTACCACAGATGATGGGCTTGCAGATGGATACTTACCCAAGGGGGGACCTATCCACAGGCCAGATTGAGCCAATTAAATTCCCTCTAGCAAAAAATTTAGAGACACAGAGGGAAGTAACCAATGAGTGGAGAACACTGAGCAATCAGGACTCAGGGTAGTATCGCCAGCCAAATAGGGCCAGTCTTGAGAAGCTGCTGGAGAAACAGAGGAAAGATATCACACTGCCGCTGTGAAGTGAGAAAGGCGTGCAGATGCCAGAGGAGCCCGGGCTGCCACAAGTGAGATGAATGAGCTCACAATGCAAAGAACAATCGATCATTTGTCTGTCTGAGAACACTTAGTGTCTAAATCGTAGGTATCAGCCCTTAAAACGATGGCCCTGAAACTCACCTTCCTTATCCCCATGCTTTCGAGCTTCTCTTCCAGGGTGTCCTCCAGGATTGGTCTGAAGTGCTTCAGCAAAGTGGGGTTACGCCTCAGAGCTGCCAGCACCTTGTGCTGTTCATCCTGGGAGTCCTCCATCTCTGTAGCATGAGACATTCACCCAGATCAGCCTGGGCACCTGAGTTCTCCATTCCCAGAGCCCTACTGCACCTGCCGAGCCCTCACACTGCCAGGAATCCTGGTCGGTTAACTCAGGACTTGGAGATTGCACTTGAGCCCTTAAAGCAGCTTGCTCTCTGGGCTCCCTTCTGATCTCAGATTCCAGGCCCCACTGCTGTGGGTTCCAGCCTAATCCTAGCCCCACCTGATACCCTCATCTCGTTTCCATGCCAGGCTCAATTCTGGTCCAGGTGATAAACTGGTGGACAAGATAGACAGATCGCTGCTCCCTCAAGTTTACTGTCTAAACCGGAGATTCTCCCTCTAACTTTAGCATATATCAGAATCACCTGGGCATGGGTTAAAAATTAATAGTCCCTCACCTCACCCTCCAAAGAGTCTGATTCCATAAGTCTGGGGGAGGACCCTAGAATCTACATTTTAACATACTGAGATGATTCTGATGGAGGTAAGCCACAGACTATACTTTAAGAAATACTGACCTGAGGCTAGCAAAATAAGCAATTACAATTAAATGTGGTAAGTGCTACAAAGGAGCAGTCCAAGGTGAGTCAGGGAAGGCCTCCTACGGTGTTCTTCAGGTTCCATCTGGGGGCCTCTGTGGTAAGACCAGGACCAAGCCCTTTGACTCACTCAGTAGACATTAACTGAACAAGCAGCATGAGTGTAATCAGGCTAGGGCTGGATGCCAAGGACACAGAAGCCCATCTCTCGTCCCCCAAGGACCTCACTCACAATCAAGGGTGGTGAATTTCACTGCTGGCTGCGAGTTGGAATCACCCCAGGCTGATTCCATCAGAATCTCTCAAGGTGGACCCCAACGCTTGATATTTATATTTTAAATTCTCTAGATATTCTAATAAACAGCGAAGCCTGAGAAACAATGATTCTAGGACAATGGTCCTTAACTGTGAGCCAAAGCATCAGCATTACCTGGTAACTTGTGAGATGCAGATTCTCAGCTCCCACTCCAAATCTACTGCATCAAAAATTCTACAGGTGGAACCCAAAAATCTGGGTTATAATAACTCCTCCCCTACCACCCATTCACCTCTGACCCTGCGTGATTCTGCTCAATAAAGTTTACACCAGGACATGAGCCTCAACCTTGTCTGCACATTGGAATCACCTGCGGAGCTTTAAATGCTACTGGTGCCTGGAACCCACCCACTCCATGTTCTGCTTTAGGTAATGTGGGGGTGTAGCGTGGTCCTCCAGACAGTTCAAGCTTCCTGGGTGATTCTTAATGTTTAGCCAGTTGTAGACAGCCACTGGTCTCACAGTGGTTCTCAAACTTGAGCAAGAATCAGAATGCCCTGGAGAGTGTCTGAAAACAGATTGCTGGGTCCTGCCCCCAGAGTTTCTGCTTCAGTTTGTCTGGCATGGGGCCTGAGAATTACAACTTTGCATTTCTAAAAAATTCCCAAGTGATGCTCTTGCCTGCTGGTCTGGGACAGGAAGAGGTAGACAAACAGTGTAGTAAGCAAGTAAAACCTCCACTGTAACAGCAGGGGCATGGCCACAGGATCCCCTGACTCATCAGTCTCAGGCTCCTCCTCTCTAGAACCCTGCATCCACTGTTTGAAGATGTGATTCATCCTATCTGAGTTACTCAACAGATACCTTCCTCAAAAGTGATACGCAATTCTAATTTTTACAACTGTATCCCAAGGTTAAATGCACTGGGAGGGTAGGCGGAGGCAGTAGAGGACTAACTGGTTAAATAAATTTTAGTTCATCCATCTAAGGGAAGACTGCAAAGCCCTGAAAAAATAATGAAGCAGTTCTCTTTAAAGGGATATGAAACCATTTCCTAAGTAAGTTGTTAACAATATAACTAACTGCAGAACAATGTGTACAGTGTGTTCCCATTTGGGAAAAGGGAGAAGAATGGGTACACACATGTGCTTATATTTGCACATATTCCCATGTAGCATGGAACGATAAATGAGAAACCATTAACAGTGAAACTTCTGGAGAGGAAACTGGATAGCTGGGCAGAAGGGAGGCCTGCTTCTCACTGCATACCCTTTTATACCATTCCTTTTTTTTTCCAAAGTGCATAGATTACCATCTCAAAAATAAAGAAAAACATTACATTAAAAAATAAAATACCCCATGATGAGCTCTTTGATGGCACAATTAAAACTTGTCTGGGTGTGTCCATTGGGGAACTCTGAAATTGTCATATCATTGCCTTGCTCAAACAAACGGGACCTGGTCAGTAGCTTTTCCAGTCAGCACTCACTCATCTGTCCTGGGAGCTTCCTCTCCCTGACTATCCCTAAGATCTTCTTGCAGTCAGGGAGCATCTCTCTTTTCTTCACTTTTCTTTTGCATCCCTTGGCTACATCTGGTTGAGAGGTCTGCGAATCAGAGTCAATCACTGGATAGGGTGAATAAAAACAGCAGGTGCCCAATGCTCTGACAAGGGAGCCGAGGTGGATTCCTATGCATTAGTCAGGCCCTGTGGGACCTATCTGCAGCACACTCACAATGTAGAAAAAAACAGCAAAGGCCATTTTAAGTCAACTAGGCGAGTTATCTTCCACTGTTCTGCATAGTCGCAGGTGAGAGTCAGTAGGGCAGGCTGTGAATCAGACGTCCCTCCAAATCCTCACTCAGTTACCTGCTAGCTTTGTGACTCTGGACAAGCTAATGACCCTCTCTAGGCCTGGGCTTCCCCATCACTAAACCAGCAGATTGTATGTTAGTACCTGCATGTCACATGCCTGGCACACAGAAGGTGTTAAGAAATATTATTTCATGTCCTTAGATCCCTCCACTCCAGCTTCGGATGTCCAGATACAGTTAAGTAGAGACAAACTAAACAAGGAGGAGGGCAGCAAATCTGTTTCTGCACTGGACACCCAGGAAAGAAAGTAAGGTCCCACCTTCCTCTGGAGAGTCCTCCTCTGTGTCCACAGCCTTTGGCACCTTGTGGATCCCTGAAGAGAGGAGGAACAGTTAGTGGCACCAGTGCTCTGGACCCCATCCCTGACTAGAAGAAAAGTACAGAACCCCAGCTGAGTATGAGCCAGAAAGAGAAAACCCTCCAGTCAGTGCATCTTGACTGGAGAGAGGCAGGACAGAGCAGACACTGGCGGCAGAAAGATCAGAGTCCACACACTAGCTCTGCCCCTCGCTATCTGTGAAAGAGATGGCAAGTCCTTGAACCCCTCTAAGCCTGGGTTTCCCCATCTAGAAAACGAGGATAATTCAATAGTGAGCCATGTAATGAGATGATGCATCTGAAGTGGCTGGGGAAGGGTGTGGCACATGTCTATTATCAATGGCTCTGCTCTAGCTCCATCCCTCAAGAGGGTCTCCATCCCTCAAGAAGTTCAGGGCCACAGGGGTCGGGCCTGTCTGAACTGGCTACACGGCTGGGAAGGGGATGGGCAGAAGGCAAGGGATAGGAAGAAATGTGAGTTTGCAAGAAAAGGCAGAAGTGTAGCTAAAGCCATAGGACAGGGGAGCTGGGGGTGGAGGATGAAGGGCCAAGCTTCACAAGGGGCTGTCCAAGGTCCTCTAAACAGGAGCAGTCCCCTGTGGGTTGCCGTCTACCTTTAGATGCCAGCACCTGCACCCCATTACACACAGACACACGCATCCCCACACCAGAGTACCCAAGAGGAGGAGACTGTATATGCCAAACAGGACACATTCACATGGGGTTGGGGTCAACTTGCTGAACATTGGGAACAAGGTAAAAGTTGCTGGCAACCCTGAATCCTGATTTTACTCATTCGCTGCAGGCATGGTGAATTAGAAAAGCCTTCTCATGAGCCCCCACTCCACCCATAACCACCCTCCTCCCCACTGCCTCCATCCCTTTACAGACAGGAGCAAGCCAGGCAAGAAGCCCTGCCAGCTGCATGGGAAGCCTTCAGCACAAACAGAGCTGCAGCCTGTGTGGCCCAGAAGCCTGACACTACATGTCCACAGGCTGCTGTCACCAATCCACCACCCATGAATTGACTGGGGGAGAGGGAAAAGGAGGGAGAAAAGCCAGAGACAATAGTCAAGACTGCTACACACTGCCCTGTGTAGACACTTACCTTCCACCTTCCTGAGAGACAAGGACTGGATCTGCAAAGAGGTGGAATAGAGCGGGTTACAACCAGCAGAGAACATTGTGAGAACTCTGCTTTGAGCAGTGTCTGCCTAGCACAGTGAGGAAGGGATGGCTACAGATTCCATGACTCACGTTGGGAACTGGAAGGAGCTCAGATGCACCACCCCAGCCCCCTGACACATCTCTGGGGTCCGTGTGTGAAAGGGAATGGCAGCATGCTCCATTTTCCAAGGTGGGGAGGCAAGAATGTCCCCTCTTCAAAGAAGAATTATGCCTCGAGGGCAGGAGCCCCATAGAAACAGAGTGGGACAGGCACACAGTTGTTCCTATTGGTATAATTCATGGAAAACAGCCAGGGCAAGGGAGAGGCTCCCTCCCACAATGCGGGCGTCTGAGCAGAGCACTCCCTGGGAGGAAGGAGTCAGACACATTCCCGGACAGGAGGCCAGATGTAGACATTCACTGAACTGTCTGCTCAACCCCCCTGCTCCAAGAAGTTCCTGTTCCTTCCCCCTTCATGGCTGCAGGCAGGACAGCCACAGGTGAACAATGAGACTTCACACCACAGCCGGACCCAACACCCAAGTTAAGGCAAAGAGCTCTGGACTGGTAATGAATGATGTCAAAGCTGCTGGCAGCCAATTGTTTGTGGTTTTTCTTGGTTCGTATATTTGTTTTACCACATAAAACAGATAAGCAGCAGAAGCTGATCTTCAGGGTAAAAGGAAAAAATAAAGCAGTTATAGAGAAAGGAACAGAGACACACAGAAAAGGAAAACTGATGACCACATTCATGTCTCTGGTTTCAGTTTACTCCCAGACTCAGCTGCTCCCTGCCGTGAGCTCTGTGAGATGCTCCATCTACCCTTATGACAAACTCCCTCTTCTACTTAAGCTTCGGTTGCTTTTTATTACCTGCAGTGGCACATGCTGACATATGACTCATCCAGTATCCATTCCCCACTGCTGTCTCCTTTGCCTACCTCTACTCCAAACTGCAAAACTAGTTGTTTACTTTCCCAGCCTTTTTTGCAGCTGTAGTTTCCCATGTGACACAGCTTTGACCAATAATATAGATAAGCACAAGTCTTGGGAAGGGACCTTTTCATCAACTTCTTCTGCCAAATATGGTTGTATGGTTGGGGCTACAGTAGTCTGCTTGCAACATGAAAGTGAAGCGGTAAACAAAAGTCATCACACTGAAGATGGTAAAAAGAAAAACACAGTCTGGATTCACAATGGCATACTACTTCTGCTAACCAAGCCCAGCAACTGTCACCTCTCTTGCTGTGAAAATAAAAATAATAGCCCCTAATAGACTATTCTGTTATCTTTAGCCAATAGGTTCCTAACTGAATCATTTGCAAATAAGAGTTCTGAGTAACATACAGGACATTACAGCCAGCAGGGAACACTGTGGAAACTCTGCTGTGGTTTCCTCCTTAGGAAACCTCCAGACTAGAGCTTAGTGCAGAGCTGAGTGTTTTGGGGGGAAACTGAAAAGTAGCAAGACAGTGGGGTAGTTATGTCACCTGGGTGAAATGTGGCTGGGTGTGTGGGAAAGCACAAATAGCAAGGGGTGCAGGAACAAGAGGCCAGGACTAGACAGTAACAGTGGGTGCTCAGCCCAGGGAAGCTGTGTGGAGCCTGGTCCATGAGGTGGGTGGCAGCAGAGGAAGATACAGATTTTCCACAGACCTGGGGCTCTGGAGGGGGAACTCAGCCTCGACTGGGCAGAGAATTGTCAGCAACAGGTAAAGAGTCACAGGGGCCAGCTTTAGGAGAAAGGTGCTAACTAAGTGCCTTTTCATCACACTGCTTTATCTCTCACCTCATCAGAGGCTGTTCATTTGTGAAAAAGGTACTGGTTAAGGAATTCTGCCTAAGAATACTGTGTAAAAAACACACGCTTTGCGTTCTTCCTGCCTGGCCAGAGTTGAATCTCATCACTTACCGAGTGCCCCGTGAGGACTTGAGTGAGGCACTTCCCTTCTCCAGCTTATTTCACCATCTGTCGAATGAAGATGGGGAGAAGGGGGATGCCTACCTTGAAGGATAGTAGTGAGGCTTAAATGAGGTAATAAGCAAAGTATCAGTGAGGTGCTGAGCGTTTTATATGGTCTCTGCTGTTAGAGTGGCCCCATCTGCCAGCAGCCCCTAAGGAGATGGCACATCTTCAGCCTGGAAGGAGGCAGCTACAGCCTTATCATTTTGTGCCCTTCATGCCAGAGGACTCTTCTCTCTCCTTAAGGAGCCTGAGTGGTAAGACTAGCACTGATGAGCCCAAAAGAATCCAAGGAGATCCTCACAGGAAAGAGGCCCAGGGACACCAAGGCCTGGCTGAAAGGAAGGGCAGACCTACCATCTCCTCCTGGGAGGCAATGATCCTAGCTTGTTCCTGCAGCTGGGCACGGAGGGTGCTGATCTGGCACTGGGACTGGGCAGCTGCCTTCTTCTGATCCTGAGACAGGGAGGCCTGGAGCCTCTGGTTCTCCTCCTGTAGCTGGCAGGCACAAGATGGCTGGTCAGTCAAATGTCTGCAGGGACATCTTAGTGCCTGGTGTCTGCAGGCTCAGCACCTGTAGGCAAGTGCCAGGCAAGCACAGTAAAGGATTTTGAGACCTGGACAGGCTTTCTAACAAGACAACCTTCCAGTCTGGGGACATTTTTGTGCTGTGCCTGAGAAGAAGTAAGAATGGAATGCATGCCTTTAAGACCAGGAGAGAAAGGTGTAGCCACCCATTGAAGAACAGTCAGATAAATTAAAACCATTTGAAAATCATCAAATGGATGTTTTTAGGTGAAAACAAGAGGTGAAGAAAACAAGTTAACATGCTACTTCTGATGTAATAGCAGAAATAAAGTGAAAATATTTATTAATATTTGCATAAAGAAACTTTAGAAGAATACAAAAGAAAGCCATAAAAGTCACCTGAGCAGTAGGTGTTGGAGACAGGTAGATGGGGACAGGTGGGAGTGAGACTCTACTCAGTGTATCTTAATATATTTCTCCTGTTTTTGGAACAGGAAATGTGAATGTGAATGTGAATGTATTTCCCATTTGAAAATGCTTCAGTTTCAGCTTTCTACATATGGCTAGCCAGTTTTCCCAGCACCGTTTATTAAATAGGAAATCCTTTCCCCATTGCTTGTTTTTCTCAGGTTTGTCAAAGATCAGATAGTTGCAGATATGCGGCATTATTTCTGAGGGCTCTGTTCTGTTCCATTGATCTATATCTCTGTTTTGGTACCAGTACCAGTACCATGCTGTTTTGGTTACTGTAGCCTTGTAGTATAGTTTGAAGTCAGGTAGCGTGATGCCTCCACTTCCTTACACCTTATACAAAAATTAATTCAAGATGGATTAAAGTCTTAAACGTTAGACCTAAAACCATAAAAACCCTAGAAGAAAACCTAGACATTACCATTCAGGACATAGGCATGGGCAAGGACTTCATGTCTAAAACACCAAAAGCAATGGCAACAAAAGCCAAAATTGACAAATGGGATCTAATTAAACTCAAGAGCTTCTGCATAGCAAAAGAAACTACCATCAGAGTGAACAGGCAACCTACAAAATGGGAGAAAATTTTTGCAACCTACTCATCTGACAAAGGGCTAATATCTGGAATCTACAATGAACTCAAACAAATTTACAAGAAAAAAACAAACAACCCCATCAAAAAGTGGGCAAAGGATATGAACAGACACTTCTCAAAAGAAGACATTTATGCAACCAACAGACACATGAAAAAATGCTCAGCATCACTGGCCATCAGAGAAATGCAAATCAAAACCACAATGAGATACCATCTCACACCAGTTAGAATGGCGATCATTAAAAAGTCAGGAAACAACAGGTGCTGGAGAGGATGTGGAGAAATAGGAACACTTTTACACTGCTGGTGGGAATGTAAACTAGTTCAACCATTGTGAAAGTCAGTGTGGCGATTCCTCAGGGATCTAGAACTAGAAATACCATTTGACCCAGCCATCCCATTACTGGGTATATACCCAAAGGACTATAAATCATGCTGCTATAAAGACACACGCACACGTATGTTTATTGTGGCACTATTCACAATAGCAAAGACTTGGAACCAACCCAAATGTCCATCAATGATAGACTGGATTAAGAAAATGTGGCACATATACACCATGGAATACTATGCAGCCATAAAAAAGGATGAGTTCATGTCCTTTGTAGGGACATGGATGAAATTGGAAATCATCATTCTCAGTAAACTATCACAAGAACAAAAAACCAAACACCGCATGTTCTCACTCATAGTTGGGAATTGAACAATGAGAACACATGGACCCAGGAAGGGGAACATCACACTCTGGGGACTGTTGTGGGGTGGGGGGAGTGGGGAGGGATAGCATTAGGAGATATACCTAATGCTAAATGACAAGTTAATGGGTGCAGCACACCAGCATGGCACATGTATACATATGTAACTAACCTGCACATTGTGCACATGTACCCTAAAACTTAAAGTATAATAATAATAATTAAAAAAAAAAAAAAGAAAATGCTTCAGATAAAATAAAACCATCACATGTGAGTGATCATGCTTCCCTACACCAGAGTGAGGAGCTCTACCATGGACCAGACTGATCTAAGCCTTTTCATCTTCTGAGCTTTTTGCAGGCGGAACCTGGGGCTCTTATGAACCAGCTTCCTCCTCAACTTGCCTCCTGCTCAGGACATTTTTACAGAAGCTGTTTGCTCTGCCCTGAGGCCTGTTGCTCCCTGTTCACTGTTCTCAGTATCTAAGTCCTTCCCTTTGGACTCCTGCTGAACTATCACTGAGGCCCACAGCCGCCTGGTTCTCTCCTAGGGTGGGGGAATTTCAAAGAAGAGCCCAAACGTGAAACGACCAGGCGATTCATCTGAGGTTTATCGAACAACCCTCCCTGGAGGGCCTAAAGGGGTCACTGCAAAGAAGACCACAGAACAAAGGATGTGTTCGATTCAGAGGAGAAGGCCTGGAGGCCCCTGCTCCTGGACAGGGAAGCTGCTGGCTGGACAGCTCACCCCTTCTGTGTACTGATGGGGACAGTAGCCAGGAGCAATATCTGCAGCATCTGCCAACCAGTTCCAGGTGAGATAGGGGAGATGGTGGGTGAGGGGGCGTGGAGAATGCTGAATTCTGAGAGGAGGTCACAGGAAACCAAGCTCCCCGAGATCACCCAACAAAAGCTACCTCTTTCTTCTCAGCCATGTGCTCTTCATGCAGTTCCTTCACTTTTCTTTTCCACTCCGTTTTCTGAAAAAGATTAAAAGCTTATCAAATGGGCCCTTGCAGGTATTAAAACATGTTATAAAGCTACAGGAAGTTAAAAGTACTGGCTCATGGGTAGGCAGACAGAGTAGTGGAATAGAATAGAAAATCCAGACAAAGATGGAAATACATAGAAACTAAGTATGAGGAGAGGGAGATGGATTATTGACTAATGGTGTTGGAACAAATGGCTAGCTACCTGAAAAAAAATAGGAAGCTGGATCCTTATTACACATCTTAAAGCAAAATAAATTGTAGGTGGGTCAAAGATTTAACACAAAAAATAAGGCCAAAAAGTACTAAAAGAAAACACAGGAATGTTGTCTTTTTAAATCTCAGAGTGGGGAAGCCCATAAAGAAAATACGAATAATTGGATAATTTTGACTACATAAACATTAATTCTTTGTTATATGGCCAAACCATAATACACAAAATTGAAGGACCAACAGAATACTGGGGAAAATAACCACAACTAGAACAACAAAGGGCTGAGTTAATTTCCATACATTATACAAACTCACAAATTGATAGGGGAAACATCAATAATAGAAAAGCAGGCAAAGAATGTGAACAGAGTTCTCAGGAAAAGAATGGCCTCTTTATAATGTGAAACCTGTCAAACATCAATCGGCAGAAACACCTTACTGCTGATTGTTAGCTAGACTTTACATTTTTTCTCAAGAATCTTGGACAGCAGAAAGATAAGCACAACATGATTTAACACCTGTACCAACTACCCTTCTTTGCCATGGAATTATCAGTGATACAGACCATTTTATAACCAGACTGCAGTAAAATTCATCCAGGGGTGGCCAGAGCCACCTTCTACCAGCTGGTGAGAGCAGACTGTGCACAAGTCTTCCTGGCTCCATTCAGTGACCTCACATTGATAGCAGGAAATCGGCCATGCTGGGAGTATTTACACCACGGAAATTGGCAAATGCTACAAATTAAAGCTTTTTTAATTCCAGAGAGCTGGTTGCTAAACAACTACCATCACAACAATGGATGCATCCCAAATATCTTCAAACCCAAGAGACTGTCACAGTTTCTAAGAGTTGCTTCCAACTGGGTTAGAATCAGAATGGGGCAAAGGTGCCAAATAAGAGACAGAGTTGTATGTATTTTTTAAAAGATCTTAGGCAAATCTGACATTGCACACATACCACCAGCCTCACCTGAGAACCCTATTCTATGCTTTCATGTACTGGCAGAAGGTCTGAAAATATAGAACTTTGATGTCCTTCAACTTCTCTACATTCATAAATGAGAGAATATATTGGAAGAGAAGATGGCTCTTGGCTTCCTCTGGGAAGAAAGGCATGGAGCATCAGCTCACCTGAATTTCTGTCTTCTCTCTCAGGGCCTGAAGCTCCCGTGCCTGCCGAAGCCACTCCTCTGACTCCTCATCTCGCAGTGATCCCAGCTTGGACTCCATCACACTGTGGGACTGCAGTGCCCGCAGTTTCTGAAAAGGCCAGGGCATAGTTTTATTCAGATGAAGATCTCATCATGATGTTGTCTTTTATACCCAGAACAGTGTCAGAGGGGCACGCCTTACCCAACTCATCCTCCCAACTCATCCTCACTAGATACCTACTCACCTACAGATATTCACACAAATCAGCATTCCCTTCACAAGGGCTCTCCTGGGGGCTCAGCCCTTGCATAGAAAAAGCAATTCCATGGAAGAACAAATTAAAGAGTGTAGTTTCCATTTCACTTAAATTCTGCTATACTCAAAATCCCGAGCTCTCCTGACTGCTGCCCCATTTCTTCCTCAGTCTGGAATACACTGATGAGAATGAGACTCTTAGAGCCTATGGGAGGGTCTCACCCCAGGCCACTCCCTGAGGACTCCTGCCTCTCTCCCTACAAAACATCCTGGCTGTCTCCAGAAAGGGCTTTGCACAGCTTGAAGTAGAGTCATCAATACCTAGTGATTCCTGGGCTAGCAGTGTGTGTGACCTGAAGAAAAAGGTACAGAAAATTGGATCAAAGAGAGGATGCCTTTCCACCCACCTTTGATTATTTCTTATAATATATGACTGTCGTAGTAACAAAAGCAACATATTTCTATCTGTATGACTGTATAAAACTCATAAGCCCTATTAAGGCTTTAAGGATGTAACTCCAAGTGCCTAAGTTTAACTTGATATCATTCTTGCTAACACTTCTCAACTATTGCTAAACAATACTGGTTCCAAAGGTTAACAATTTCTAAACTCCCTGAATATTTTCAGAGTCAAATGCTTGATCAGATGTATGCACAACTCCCGGGTTCTAATGTGTCACTCCTGGTTTCCATATGCTGCTTATGACACACCACAGAGCTGACTTTCTTGGCATTACAAACCTTCGTGGTATTTCCATTTAGCTAGACACTCCCTTGGCATCTCAATTTACCCCAGGTCTAATCTAAAGTTCTCTCTTTAGTCAGGTAATGTAGCCAAAGTAAGCTCTCAGACTTCTGTATCAGGGAAAAAGTTTTGAGGAAAAAATATTTTCAATATACATATAGTTTTCATTGGCCTTCCTAACATCAGGAAGAATCATTTTTTGCATTTTGAAAATGGACATCTTACAGTGTTTTTTTTACAATCATTCTAAATGGAATCTTGCTGGTTTTTACCCTTAAAATTTTTTAAAAATACATTAACAAAATGACTACCCAACTGCACTGAGAATTTGGTATCCAGTTTGATTCCTATACTTTAATAAAAGTAAAACAATAAAATATTGAAAGGAGACAGGGTGAGACACACAAACATACAAACACAATATAAGTAATCCTATAGGGGAAAGGTTTTTAAAAAAGAGTAAGATGGGCCAAGCGCAGTGACTCAAGCCTGTAATCCCAGCACATTGGGAGGCTGGGGTGGACAGATCACTTGAGCCCAGGAGGCCAGCCTGGGTAACATGGCGAAACCCCATCTCTACAAAAAATACAAAAATTAGCTGGGTGTGGTGGCACATGCCTATAGTCACAGCTACTCAGGAGGCTGAAGGAGGATCACTTGAGCCTGGGAGGTCAAGGCTGCAGTGAACCGTGATTGTGCCACTGCACTCGAGCCTGGGCAACAGGGTGAGAACCCATCTTAAAAAAATAAATAAATAAATAAATAAATAAAATTAAAAATTAAAAAAAAGATAGCATGTTCCAGTTTAGGAGAACATGATCCAAGTTAAAAAGGATATCATGGATGGTAAGGATTATGTCCTCATTCACCAAAACTCATAATTTTCTGACCAAAAGTAACCCTTTGACCCTTGAAGAGGTGGTTTCTGAACAACAACTTCAAATTCCTGTCAATACCTATTTATCAAACGTCTAGTCAGCTAGCACTGCGTCGGGGAAGTGTGGGGGTCAGGAGATGTTTGCATGTGCTTGGGAAGGATGGGTGTGGAGCTGTATATTAGGAGCATGAGGTCAATAGTGGAGCAGCATCTTCTCTTCCACAATCATCCCTGGCCCAGCTGGGAAGCATTTTGGATGGAAGCGCTTGCGTCATTTTAGGGAGCCCCCATCCCCACCCCAGTGCACACAGAGTTCTCGTTTCAACCCCTCCACCTTCCACCTTTGGCTTTCCATCTCAGACAGGGATGATGGAGCACCCAAGACTCCAGGCATATGACAATTTCCTTTTGAAAAAAAATTTGCCTAGGTGCTTCTTTAGGTAAAACGTGGAATGACTGTGAAAAACGCTATTAGACAGTTCATTTTCAAAAACAAGATTCTCCTTGATCTAGGAGGACCAATGAGAGATAAATACATTTAAAAAATATTTTTCCTTGATACAGTTTTAGTCATGCAGGTTTATATGGGAAGATATGGTCAAGGGATAACTTTTTTTTTTTTTTTGAGAAGGAGTCTCACTCTGTCACCCAGGCAGGGGTGCAGTGGCGTGATCTCAGTTCACTGCAACCTCCACCTCCTGGGTTCAAGTGATTCTCCTACCTCAGCCTCCCAAGCAGCTGGGATTATAGGCACCTGCCACCACACCCAGCTAATTTTTGTATTTTCAGTACAGACAGGGTTTCGCCATGTTGGTCATGCTGAACCACCCACCTTGGCCTCCCAAAGTGCTGGGATTACAGGTGTGAGCCACTGCGCCCAGCCCAGGGATAACTTTAATAAGGTTATCCTGCATAAACTTGTTAGTATATCCAGTAGAAGAATAGGACCTTTGGAAATTATAGAGCTGGGTTCAAGTCCCAGCTCCATCTCTTCTTAGCTAAGTGACCTTGGGCAAGTTATATGGCCTCAATTTCTTTACCTATAAAGAAAGAATGACGGCCGGGCGCAGTGGCTCATGCCTGTAAATCCCAGCACTTTGGGAGGCTGAGGTGGGTGGATCACTTGAGGTCAGAAGTTCAAGACAAGCCTGATCAACATGGTGAAACCCCGTCTCTATGAAAAATACAAAAATTAGCCAGGAACGGTGGCACACGCCTGTAATCCCAGTTACTCCGGAGGCTGAGGCACGAGAATCACTTGAACCCAGGAGACGGAAGTTGCGGTGAGCCGACACCACGCCACTGCACTCCAGCCTGGGCGACACAGCGAGACAGTGAGAGCAAGAAAGGAAGGTGGGGGGAGGGAGGGAGGGAGGAAGGAAGGAAGGGAGGGAGAGAGGGAGGGAGGAAGGAAGGAAGGAGAGGGAGAGAGAAAGAGAGAGAGAAAGAAATAAAATAGCTTTTTTAAAAAAAAACTTTAAAAAGAAAGTACTAAACCAGTGATGCACCTATTCTGAGAATGTTATGGTTGATTGCTATGAAGATTAAAAGTTAGTATATATAAAGTATACTGCATGGGGGCTGGAAAATAGTAAATACAGTCATAAATGTGTGACCTCTGAAGACCCCAACAGAATGTCTGGCATGTAACCAGTATTCAGGGAATATTTGTTGGGAGAAAAATGCATTCAATTAAATTTTGCCCCATTTCTTGTCCAGTGATGAAAGCCCTTCGCAAAAATAAGAATAATACCTGGAGATATTACTATATACCAGATACACTACTGATACATTACTACATGCTGGATAATGTTACATACTGTATATGTACTAATTTAACCCTCTCAGTAGCCTATCTTACAGAAATAAAACTGAGGCATGAGGAGGTTAACTCATTCAAGGTCTCACAGCCAGAATGTTGACACAGCAGTGATTCAACCCCAAGGCGTCTGAAATCTGGGCCTCTAATATCAGGCCTCTGATAACTGGCCTCACAGTGTTTTAGCTTCCAACAGCAGATGAAATAAAACCAGTACAAACTAAGAAATTTTGAGAATAAGCAGATTTCCAACAAAGAAACTTTAAAAAGCCTTTTATGTTGGGTACCTCTTCTAGTGTAGAGTTCTGCTTGGCGACATTTTTAAATTCATCCCAAAATAATTTTTTTAGTTTATCTATTTCCCCATAAAGTTTGGTCCACTCTTGCTCTTTCCATTTATCAAATTCTTTCTTAGCTTCTATTTCCCTCTGATGAATGAGCTCTGCTTCCTAAAAAGAAGAGCAAGAACAATATGATGATTAATTCCACATTACAGCAAATATTTACTAAGAACCTACTTAGGCCTCCTTGTCTATGCAAGTCACTATGGAGACCCAAAGAGCATTCATCCCACAGTTCCCATTGTTTGGACTTGGGAGGACCAGTCTAAGCCTACTAAGTCTGCTACTTCTAAGCATCTTCAGAAGTAGTAGATTCCTTCTCAAGAAACTACTTTATTTGCTCATCCATAAGAAGCAACTACTGAACCATTAGTTTTATCATGAGGTTGCAGCAATTCAGTCCCATCTTCAGGCTCCACTTCTAAGTCTAGTTCTCTTGCTATTTCCACCACATCTGCAGTGGCTTCCTCCACTGAAGTCTTGAATCCCTCAAAGTCATCCACGATGGCTAGAATCAATTTCATCCAAACTCCTGTTAATGTTAATATTTTGACCTCCTCCAAAGAATCACACATTTTCTTAATGGCATCCAGAATGGCAAATCCTTTCCAAAAGGTTTTCAATTTACTTTGCTCAGATCCATCAGAGGAATCACTATCTATGACAGCTATAACCTTACAAAATGTATTTCTTAAATAATAAAACTTGGAAGTCAAAATTACTCCTTGATACATGGGCTGCAGAATGGATATTGTGTTAACAGGCTTGAAAACAACACAAATCTCCTTGTACATCTCCACCAGAGCTTTTAGGTGACCAGGAACATTGTCAATGAGCAGTAATTATTTTGAAAAGAATCTTTTTTTTAGCAGTAGATCTCAACAGTGGGCTTAAAATATTCAGTAAACCATAGCTGTGCTGTCATCCGGACTTTCTTGTTCCATTTTTAGAGCACAGGTAGAGTAGAGCTAGCATAATTCTTAAGGGCCCTAGAATTTTCACAGTGGCAAATGAGCATTGGCTTCAACTTAAAGCCACCAGCTGTATTAGACCCTAAAAAGAGAATCATCCTGTTCTTTGAAAGTGTGAAGCCAGGCTATAAAAGTTCTAGATGGCTTATTCCTATAGAAGGTTGTTTTTTCTACACTGAAAATCTGTTTAGTACAGTCACCTTCATCAATTATCTTAGCTAGATCTCCAAGATAACTTGCTGCAGCTTCTACATTAGCACTTGCTGCTTCACATTGCACTTTCATTGTTATGGAGATGGCTTCTTTCCTTAAACCTATGAACCAATCTCTTTTAGCTTTCAACTGTTCTTCTGCAGCTTCTTCACTTCTCTCAGCCTTCATAGAAGTGAAGAGAGTTAGGTCCTTGCTTTGGATTAGGCTTTGGCTTAAGGGAATTTTGTGGCCGGTTTGATCTTCTATCCAGACCACTAAAACTTTCTCCATCTCAGTAATAAGGCTGTTTCACTTTCTTATCATTTGTGTGGTCAGTGGAGTAGTGCTTTGAATTTCCTTCAAATTTCCTTTGTATTCATAACTTGGCTGTTTGGCACAAGAGGCCTGCCTCTCAGCCCATCTCAGCTTTCGACATGCCTTCATCACTAAACTTAATCATTTCTACCTTTTGATTTAAAGTGAGAGATGTTTAAGTTTGCCATCTTATATGAATAGTTTGTGGCACCCCAAAACAATTACAATAGTAACATCAAAGATCATTGATCACAGATCACCATAACAGATATAATAATAATGAAAAAGTTTGAAATATTGTGAGAATTACCAAAATGTGATACATAGACATGAAGTGAGCACATACTGTTGGAAAATGATGCTGATAAACTTGCTCAACACAGGGTTGACACAAACCTTCAATGTGCAAACAATACAATGTCTGTGAAGCACACAAAACACACAAAAAAAGAAGTATGCCTGTATTTGTCACAATACCAACTATGCAGCTGGTGCTCAATAAATGCATGCTGAGGGGATGAATAATGAAGGGATGAGCAGGGCAACTTCATGTATTTTCATTCTACAAACATATACTGAGCATTGTCTCTGGGCTGGGTTCTGGAGCTTTCAGAATCAAACCCAGTCTTTGTCCACAAAAAGTTAACTAACAGCATTGTGTACGAAGCTAAAATTCAGGTTCAAATGCCCTCAGAGGGTGCTGACTAATGCAGGAAACTGCATCTCTCTGCTCTACTTTCGTCCACATAAGTCTGGCAAAAACAATTCAATTTTCCTTTCCAGGCTACCTAAAATCATTTGCCATGTCCAAGAAGGCACTATCCCAGCTCTGACTCCCAGCTCTGGGAAACTAGCTGGAATTTTTGCCCTGTGGGATTCATGTGCATCAAGGGTCTCCTGGGTAGTCCATGACCCAAGTCTCCCTGATGTTTTCTCTCCCTGCCCACCTGGAGCTGCCGCTGCCTCTCCGCCTCCCTCTGGGCTTCCAGCTCCCCTTGGGTCCACTTTAGCTTGGCCCGTAGCTCTTCTAACACCTCTTCCACTGGCTGTTCCTGTTTCTTCTGTTTTCCTGTGGGGTCCACGCAAAGACAGGTGACCAGTTTAAGTCCAAAAATCAAGGGAGTGTAGTTTCTCACCTTGTCAATCAGCCATACCTCGGTCTCAAACCAGCTTCGCTACTTAGTACGTTGACATTGGGCAAAGAACATAACCTCCCTGTCCCTCTGTTTCCCCAAACTGGAAAATAGAGATAACAATAGCACCTAACTCAGAGGGCTGCTGTGAGGATGAAATGTGAGAATGCAAAGTGCTTAGCATAGTGTCTGGCACGACAGCTCAAAAAATGTGAATTACTATTGTACTGTCACTTAAAATAAGTATTTTGACAGTACTGACACGTGGAAATAGAAATTTAAAATTACTATAGTAACAGAACAGAATATCAAATAGCATGTACACCAATTATCAATACAAAGAACATATCCATGTATCCTGACAGTAATCAGAGAGAATTTTAAAGTAATAAAAATCTGTAGTTTTAAGTTCACTTTTTTCAATAATGTAAGTGTATAGTTGTAAATTTCAGGCCGGGCGCAGTGGCTCATGCCTGTAATCCCAGCACTTTGGGAGGCCAAGGCAGGCTGATCACTAGGTCAGGAGTTCGAGACCAACCTGACCAACATGGTGAAACCCCGTCTCTACTAAAAATACAAAAAAAATTAGCCGGGTGTGGTGGCGGGTGCCTATAATCCCAGCTACTCAGGAGGCTGAGGCAAAAGAATCGCTTGAACCCAGGAGGCGGAGGTTGCAGTGAGCCGAGATCGCACGACTGCACTCCAGCCTGGGAGACAGAGCGAGACTCTGTCTCAATAAATAAATAAATAAATTTCAAATGGAAAAAAAAAGCAGCATGTATTATAAAGAACCAAAGCTCCTTTAAGTGTATAATTTAAATTGTTTAAGTGAACAAAAAGATTCAGAATGAATTATAAAAAACATCCTAACTAAACCACATACTGACGATAAAGCAAGAGTTAAGGGTCAAAAAAGAATACAATTATTCTTGAACATTTGTTACTTTTTAAAGCATATTTAGTGATTACTAGATAAATCATACTGTTATTAAAATTCTAAGCCTTTTCCTTGAAAAGAGATGTGGCGTTTCTCAGGTTGGACATTTTACAAACAAACAATTTTTAGTTGCAGTAGAAATTAATTTGGTTTAATAACATGATTTGAGGCGACTGTGGAATAGGAGAGCTGGGCATCTGGGAAGTCAGCTGCCTGTGAATAAAGAGGCCATGACCATTAATATAGCAAAAGTGATCTTAAGAACACATTTCTCTCTCCTTACAGCACTTTACGTTAAGGAAATAAGAGATATGCTCAAAGATCTACATGCAAGAATATCAATCATCATGTGATTTATAATAAATAAATGTTGGGGTAAGCCATATATTCAACAGGAGGAAATTGTGAAATAAATTATGATAGCCACTTAATGAAATACTATTCAGCCATTAAAAAATCACATTTTCAAAGATAATTTAATGACATTGGAAAATAAGACATATTCTTAAATGAAAATAAGCAATAGTCAAAGCGCACATTATATGATTATATATGTCTACGGAAAAACAATGACAGAGAATACACCAAAATATTAACTGCTGGTGATACCATCCATGGTTTTTATTTTCTCTTTTCTACTTTCCTATATTTAAATTTTCTATACCAGAGACATATTTTTATTCAAAAAAAATTTAAGGCATGGAAAATTTATTTTTCCTTAGCCTCCAATGCAGAACTAAAAAGAATTAGATATACACTAAATACATAGTTTTAGGTAAGTGGTACTTTTTTTTTATGAAAAGAGAATTTGAATGATGGAAAATAGGAGGAAAAGTTTTACTTAATGGCATTTTTACATCTATATTTTGTGTTTTAACAAATATTTCTTGTTGAACCTCAAAAAGTGAATATAGGTTGGGTGCAGTGGCTCATGCCTGTAATCTCAGCACTTTGGGAGACCAAAGCAGGCAGATCACTTGAGCCCAGGAATTTGAGACCAGACTGGCCAACACAGTGAGACCTCATCTCTATGAAAAATTTTTAAAATTAGCCAGGTATGGTGGTGCGTGCCTGCAGTCCCAGCTACTCAGGAGGCTGAGGTACGGGGATTGCTTGAGCCCAGGAGGTGGAGGCTGCAATGGAGCCGAGATCAAGCCACTGCACTCCACCCTGGGTGACAGAGTGAGACCCTGTCTCAAAAAAAAAAAAAGAAAAGAAAAGAAAAGTGAATGTAAAATATGCAAATCTCTTTATGGGGAAAACATACAGCCTTGCTCCTCATTTTGGAATCTGAAATTGTAAAATTAAAGTGATTAGATCATGATAAGCTCAAGTATGTAGAAAAGTCAAAGAACTGGTCTGACTGCCCATTCACCCCATTTAGGCTTATTCGTGGCTGGCATCAGGGAACTGCAGATTCGCAGAAGGCTGGAAGGTAAGAGCCCTTCAAAGTCACTCCATCTGACTGCCCCATTCACAGTGAAGGCCACTGAGACACAAAGGGGAAAGCATGGACCGGGGTTACATAATAAATAGCGACAGAGCTAAGAGTGAAATCTACCTGTCTGACTCCCAGCCCTTCTTTACACGTGGGGTCAGAAACCCTTCCAACCCATGTGGGCTCCCCCGGTGGTGGATGGTGGGATCATCCCATCCCCAATTGGACAGTGAGGTTCTGAGAGCAGTTTTGGGTGCTATAGGTGGTCACCACCCACTGAATACCAGCCCCAGCCCTTTCCACAGTCCCAGAAGGGGCCCGGGCTGCTGTCTGGACTCACCACCTTCTGCCACGCCTGCATGCCTGCGCTGGATGTGGCCCCGGAGAAAGGTGGCATTCATGAATGTCTTGTCACACAGGTGGCACTATACAGAGAGGAAGCAATGGGGAGTACAAGATTAGGTCACCTGAGTCAGCCTGGGATTTTCCCTATATCAAAGCCCCCATCCCCTTGGGACCCCTGGGCTGCTTCAGAAATAAAGAATTTAATTTACTGAGCAAGGCAATGATGTCAGCCCATGCTGCCCACTAGGATCACCGGAGCTTTAAAATACTACCAGTGTCCCGGGAAACTGTCAACACTGGATATTTGATGATACTAAGGAATTTCTGTTGCTTTTTCAGAGTGTGATGATGGTGTTTGTCTATGTTTAAAAGTCAGAGTCTTTCTCTTTTAGAGATACAAATAGAGACATTGAAATACTACAAATAAAATCATAATACTAATATGCTTCAAAATAATCCAGAAGTGAGGGAAAGTGGGCAGGGGAAGAGATGCAACAACACTGCCCATGGGTTGATACTGTTAGTGTGTAGATAAAGGTTCATTATATTATTCTCTCTACTATTGTACATGTTTGAAATTTTCCATAATAAAAAGTTTTTAAAATATGCCAATGTCTAGGTCCCATCCCAGGGTGGAGAAACACCAGAGGCAGAGAGGTTAGCAAATAAACAGCATCTGTAATTCCACATCCCTCTCCTAAGACATTTTAGACATAAGCAATCTATCACATCGTCTTCTCACTGTAAAATTTCAGAATTCTTCTCAACACAGCTTTGGAGGCTGCCATTGTTAGTTAATCCATAGGCAGATTATTTGCTATCTTTGCAGACAATTGTGACAGGAATTGCCAGTTGTCCCCCAATACCCATTTTCCCTTTCTTCCTTGGTAATAGTAAGTCTGTGGCCAATGAGAATAAACACTCTATGTCCCAACCTTCCTAGCAACCAGGTGTGTCCACAGGACTTACTACTAAAAGGGTTCTGACCCTTTTAATCATAAACATCATATCAATTATATCAATTTGTTATCAATTAATAATATATCATAACGATTCCTTCTGTCCCACTGTGATATTGTGATACAATAAGAATGTAGGCTGGGCACAGTGGCTCACACTTAAAATCCTAGAACTTTGGGAGGCTGAGGTGGGCGGATCACTTGAGCCCAGGAGTTCGAGACCAGCCCGGGCAACCTGGAGAAACCCTGTCTCTAAAAAAATTAGACAAACATGGTGGTAGGTGACTGTAGTCCTAACTACTCAGGAGGCTGAGGTGGGAGGATCACCTGAGCCTGGGAGGTTAAGGCTGTGGTGAGCCATGATCAGACTGCAGCCTGGATGACAGAGTGAGACCCTGTCTCAAAAAATAAAAAAGAATGTATATTTGGTCTTTGTTCCTTCCTAGTTTCTGGCAAGGAGGTCCTAAAACACTTACAACAAGCTGGTTCA
Organism: Homo sapiens; assembly: GCF_000001405.40. Taxonomy (NCBI): domain Eukaryota; kingdom Metazoa; phylum Chordata; class Mammalia; order Primates; family Hominidae; genus Homo; species Homo sapiens. The sequence goes on from NC_000003.12 coordinate 138,099,217, forward strand.
ACCTGCAGCCAATAGGCCACATGTGGCCCAGAACAGCTCTGAATGCAGTCCAACACAAATTTGTAAACTTACATTATGAGATTTTTTTAGGAATTTTTTTTTTTAGCTCATCAGCTATCATTAATGTTAGTGTATTTTATGTGTGGCCCAAAACAATTCTTCTTCTTCCAATGTGGCCCAAGGAAGCCAAAAGATTGGACACACCTAACTTACAATCTTCAGAGTGATAAGGGCAGTAAAGCACCTTTTGTAATAATATTTGGTCTTAGAGATTCTGAGATCCTTGGAATCTCCAGAGTAATAAGAGTGTCTACTATTGTTTGAATGTTTGTCCCTTCCAAATCTCATGTTGAAATTTAATCTCCAGTGTGGCAGTGTTGAGAGGTGGGGCCCAGTGGGAGGTATCTGGGTCATGGGGCAGATCCCTCATATATAGATTAATGCCCTCCCTTGGGGGTGAGGGAGTTCTCATTCTTATTAGTTTGACAGAGCTGGTTGTTAGAAAGAGCCTGGCATTCCTCTCCCCTTACTTCCTCTCTTGCAATGAGCTCTGGACAGGCCAGCTCCCCTTCACCTTCCACCAGGAGTGAAAGCAGCCAGAGGCCCTCATCAGGTGCCCAGTCTTGAACCTTCCAGCCAGCAGAACTGTGAGTCAAATAACCTCTTTTCTTTATAAATTATCCAGCTTCGGTATTCCTTTATTGCAACACTAAACTTACTAAGACAGTGTTTTTTGTATGCTAATGAAAGGACTGTTGGCTGGGCACCTTCTGCCCCACCCCGCAAATGACTTTCTGGTGACCAACCCCCATCCTTTTTTTTTTTTTGGCTCATCAGCTCTCATTACGATTAAGATGCCGGGCTCAGGTAATCCCCCCAGGATGGGGGTTGGTCACCAGAAAGACCAAGGCATGGGTAGAGGGTTGGAACTTTCAGCCCCACCCTCCAGCCTCCAGGGAGGGAAGAGGGGCTGGACTACTAAGCAATGGCCAATGATTTAATCAATTATGCATGCTTGGTGGAATCTTATAAAACCCCTAAATGATGGGATTTAGAGAATTTCCAGATTGGTAAACACTAAGGTGCTAGGAGATGTCACACTCAGAAAGGGCAGGGAAGTTCCGAGTCCCTTCTCCCATACCTTGTCCTCTCTTGTCCTCAAGTGCATCTCTTCCATTTGACTGTTCTGACTTCTATCCTTATAATAAACTAGTAATAAAGTGTCTTCTTCCTGAGTTCTGTGAGCCATTCTAGCAAATTATTGAACCTCAAGATGGAGTTATGGGAACCCTCAATTTGTAGCCAGTTAGTCAGAAGTACAGGAGGCCCAGGTATCTGAAGTGGGGCCAGTCTTGTGGGACTGATCCCTTAACTCATGGGATCTGATGCTAACTCCAGGTAGATAGTGTCAGAATTGAATTGAAGGGCACCCAGGTGGCATTGGAGAATTGGTTGGTGTGAGGAAGAAAAACACACATTTGGTGTCAGAAGTGTTATAAGCAGAAATAGGTAACCCATCCATCCGTAAACTATGAATGTCTTAAAAACCTGAACCAGCATGATTTGTGCCCACATCCTCAGAGCCTGGCACAGGGCCTAGCCACCATGACAATTTTTATTAAAGGGCAAATGTCCCTAATCCATACTTCCATGGAGACACATGCAAACGCTCCATGTTGCTTTGGGAAATGAACTGTCACTTGGTTGAATAATGGAGTCAGTATTCCAGAATAGGCCTGGCTCCACCAATCCCTTGTCACACGTAGATTCAACACATGCACACACAAACCCCTCACACACACCTTTACACAACACACTCCTCTACATACACATACAAATCCTCCATCATATATAAATATGCACGCACTCACACCCTCTATAAATACACCCTTAGACACATATACATCCTTCTTCTACATACTCATCCTTACATACACTCTCCATAAGTACAAACACACACTCTTACACACATATATACCCTTCATTCATTCACACACACACAAACACTATTTTTTTTTTTTGGCAGAGATAGCTGAGGTTTTATTTTGGACCAAAAAAAAAAAGCAATTGAATTGTTTTGTAGCTGGAGGCATGGGCAAGGGGGGTCCCTAGGCAGTAAACTCCCCCGCAGGTGGGTTGAGGGCTAGGGCTGAGCCTCAGGTGGGTCTCCCGTTCCCTGTGCTACCCTGCACAGCAGCCTCCCCCGCTGGGCTCTGGGGCAGCCGCAGGAGGGGCAGGCTGGGAGGGGCTGCCACAGCTGTTCACTTGGGCAGGACGTCAGAGGACTCGGACACCAGCTTCCCATCGCAAGTCTCTATCTTCTTCACAACCACAGTGGCCCTGGTGGAGCTGGTGCGGCTGAAGGAGCTGGAGCCTGCGCCAGAGCCAAAGCTGGAGCCCAGGCCGTAGCTGAGGCCAGGGCTTGTGAGGCCCCCATAGGCCGAGCTCAGACCACCTGCATAGCCGCTGGTGGTCTTTGTATGGATACTTGTGTTCTGCATCTCAGACTCCAGCCGGCTTTCCTTGCCCTCCAGCAGCTTCCTATAGGTGGCGATCTTGATGTCCAGGGCCAGCTTGACATTCATCAGCTCCTGATACTCACGCAGCTGCCGCTCCATGTCCTGCTTGGCCCGCTGCAGGGCGCCCTCCAGCTCGGACAGCTTGGCGTTGGCATCCTTAATGGCCAGCTCCCCACGTTGCTCGGCATCTGCGATGCCCTCTGGCCTTTGAGGCCCTCAATCTCAGCCTGGAGCCGGCTGATGTTCTGGTTCATCTCAGAGATCTCAGTCTTTGTATGCTGCAGGTCATCTCCATGCTTCCCAGCCAGCATCTGCAGCTCCTCATACTTGATCTGGTACATGCTCTCAGCCTCAGCCCAGCTGCAGTTGGCGATCTCCTTGTACTGTGCCTTGACCTCAGCGATGATGCTGTCCATGTCCAGGGAGTGACTGTTGTCCATGGACAGCACCACAGGCGTGTCCGAGATCTGGGACTGCAGCTCCCGGATCTCCTCTTCATACAGCTGCCTGAGGAAGTTGATCTCGTCAGTCAGCCCTTCCAGGCGAGACTCCAGCTCTACCTTATTCATGTAAGCTTCATCCACATCTTTCTCGATGAAGGCAAATTTATTCTCCATCTTTGTATGCTTATTGATCTCATCCTCATACTTGTTCTCGAAGTCCTCCACCCAGCCCCTGCATGTTGCCAAGCTCTGCCTTCAGCTTCAGCTTCTCCTGGCCCAGAGTCTCCAGCTGCTGCCTAAGGTTGTTGATGTAGCTCTGAACATGTTGTCCATGTTAACTCTGAGCCGTCTTCTGCTGCTGCAGGAGGCTCCAGTTGGTCTCCAGCATCTTGTTCTGCTGCTCCAGGAACCATACCTTGTCTATGAAGGAGGCAAACTTGTTGTTGAGGGTCTTGATCTGCTCCTTCTCCTGGGTGCACATGGCCTGAATGTTGGGGTCCACCTCCAGGTTAAGGGGGCTCAGCAGGCTCTGGTTGACAGTGATGGCAGTGATGCCTCCCATGCCACTGGCCCCACCATAGCCTCCGCCCAGGTCACCCCGGAAGCTGCTGCTGCCCACTCAGGAGAAGCTCAAGGAGCTGATGCCAGCACTGGGCCCACTCATGTAGAAGCAGCTGCTGAAGACCTGGGGGCCAGAGGTGGGCACCTTGTAGGACTTCTGGGTCACCCTGATGAACATGGTGGAAGCAGGAGTGGAGGCAGGTGGGCTGAACCAGGCGGAGATTCCAGAAGGAGCAGAGAAGCTGCTTCTTGGTCACTAACACTATTAATACACCTTTTTATACATGCTCCAGAGTTGTATCCTTTATAACATAGTACAAGCACACATTACACACCACACACCCTACATACACACAGAGGTACCCTTCAAGTATTCACACACACACACACACATTAAACACACACACATGTTCACATCATTTACAAACACACACACTCGCCATACATTCATGCATATACATACACTAGACATGTACCCTCTCCATAAACACGCACACCTCCCACACATGTACAATCTACACACACATACACACACACACACACTGTAGAACCTAATGAGACACCCCCAGGCTCTCTGGCCATGAGCAGCATCTCTGAAATCTGCTCCTAACCAGTGAGAACAGCCCCCCAGCAGCCTTAAGGTCCCAGCAGTGCTGCCCAGTGGCAACAGTTGCCCCAGTGGCTGGGGCACACAGCCCTCCCACTCTCCCTGCCTGGTGGAGATTCCTCACCGTGTGGTAGCTGTGGGTGCCTGTCTGCATTAGCAGCTGCTGCAGGGTGCTGATCATCTTGCGACGCCGGCGGCTCTCCTCCCGCACACCCTTGAGCTCGTCAGCCTGGCGTCCCAGCTCCTGCTGACCACGCTGCTGCTGGCCCAGGCTGGTCTGCAGCCGTGCCTCCAGCTGGGCAACACTGGCACTCAGGCAATCCTGGCAGTGCAGCAGGTACTCAATGATGAGCTGCGCCAGGCGCAGCACCTTGAGCAGTGCCGGGTCCACAGGCTGCCCACAGCGGCTGCACACCTCCCGGTCCAAGTTGCAGAAGGTGATGCCAGCAATATTCTCCTGCAGAGTGGCCACATCCAGTTCCCGGGCCACGCGGTCTACATCCAGGGTGCTAATGCGTCTCCAGTCCATGCTATCATGGCGAGGCTGAAACTTGAAGGTGGGGAACGTGTAGGCCCCAAAGAGGGGGCCACTGAGGCCCTCAGCAGTGGCAGCTGGGGACTGCATGGGCAGAGGAAGCCCTGAGCTGACCACCAGAGGAGGGGGGCACCAAGGCCACGGCAGTAGGCCAAGGAGCTGAGAGAAGGCCTGGAAAATAAGAAGAGAGTCCAAGTTAGGTGAGGTGTGTGTGGCTGCACCTACTGTATATCTGGCCAGCAAGGGCCTAAGCGGGGCAAAGTGAGGTGTCTGTGCAGCAGCTGTAGCATTCATGGTGTGTGCTGACATGGCCAGAGCTGTGGAAAGAAAACATGGGCTTTGCAATCACACAGATGTGGATTCGAATGCTCTGCCTTGGGCAAGTCCCTGCACATCTTTAAGCCTCCTGTGTCTAAGGAGGAACATGGGTCCCACTGTGCAGGCCTGTGGTGAGGAATGAGGCAAGTGAAGCACCCAGCCTAGTGCCTGGCACATAGCAGGTCCTCAGTGAGCCCCCTCTGCAAAGCCCACCTCCACTGCAGGAATGCCTGGCAAAGGCCTTTGTCAGCAGGTGACTATCAAATTTACAAATGGGTCCTTCTGCAACCCTATTTTTATCTCAAGATAAAGTCCGACAACTTGCTGTGAGTGACCAAGGTTCCTAATGTCCACCCTGTCTTCTCTTTCTCATATAACTACAGGATTCTAATGGAACACGAGTGAACTACCTTTCCCAGCTTCTCCAGCAATAACGTGTGATCATATGACTAAGTTCTCTCTCCTGGAATGTGAGTGAAATGATGTCCACCCCTGTCAGGAGGGGCTTAAGAGAGTTACGGAGTCTCTGCCACATGGTGCTCAATCCATCATGGGCTTTTTTTTAACTTAATAGTTAAGTAAAAAGATCTCTAGTTTCTTTGCCAAGACTCAGATTCTACTCTCTAAACTCTTGGTGAGCATATGAACTGTTCTCTCTGAAAAGTAATTTGACAATATCAATGGGAATTTTGAACATTCCACTACTAAAAATTATAATTATGCTACAAACTCATATGTACAAAGGTACTTGTGAAAAAATTGTCATTGTAGCATCTTTTATAAAAGCAAAGTAAAAGAAAAAGTAGAAGAAAGCAAAGTACAATGTATCTCTATGCAATGGAATATTATGCAGCTATTGATTGGTATAAAGCAGACTTACATGTACTGATATGAAATGATAATCTCCAATATATATATATGTAAACACACACAAAATAGGCATATATACCTCTATTTCTGTTTTAATGACATATTAATATAATCATATTTAATAACTCACCAAAGTGAAAGATATATATCATATTAGAATGGTTGTCTATGAGAGGAGGGAGGGAAATGGGAGTGTGGAATGGGGATAAATAAATGGATGGATGGTGTGTGGGTGGTGATGGTCAGATAGACAGGTAAATAGGCCTTCACAGACCAATGATGATCATTTTATATAAATATATATATATATACATATTCAGTCGTCTGTCAGTGTCCATGAGGGATTGGTTCCAGGACCCTCCTCAGATACCAAAATCTACAGATGCTCAAATTGCTTATACAAAATGGTGTAGTATTTGCATATAACCTATACACATTCTCGCACACACTCTAAATCATCTCTAGATTATTTATAATACCTAATACAATGTAAATGCTATAAAAATAGCTGTTATACTTAATTATTTAGGAATAATGACAAGAAAAAAACTCTGTACATGTTCAGTACAGAAGAAACTATCCTTTTTTTTTCAAATATTTTTGATCCGCAGTTTGTTGAATCTGTGGATGCAGATCCACAGATATGGAGAGTCAACATATATATACACCCATACACACACATACATATGAAAGACTCATATTTGTTATAATTAGTTTTATAATGAATAAAATATGCTCATTTATAATTCATATGTATGATTCACTTATGTATATTATTTCATAAGCATAGACTGTTTCTGGAAAGATAGACAAGAAGCTATTAGCAATGGCTGCCTCTGGGAAGTGAAAATAGAGATTACAGGACTTTTATTTTTCACTTTCTACCTCTCTGTACTATTCAAACTTCTTATCATCATCTTCTATCACTTTTATTATTTTTTAAAATAAAACATAGAATTTCAGTTCTTGCAGAAGTGAGAATCTGACTAAGGCAACAAGAGGTACACTTTACCCTATTTAATCAAGTCTTTCGAGATTACATGATTCAGTCTTCTTTCTTTTTTTTTTTTTTTTTTTTTTTTTTTTTGAGACAGTGTCTCGCACTGTCGCCCAGGCTGAAATACAATGGCGCGATCTCGGCTTACTGCAACCTCCACCTCCCGGGTTCATGCAATTCTCCTGCCTCAGCCTCCAGAGTAGCCGGGATTACAGGCACACTCCACCACACCTGGCTAATTTTTTGTATTTTTAGTAGAGACAGGGTTTCACTATGTTGGCCACACTGGTCTCAAACTCCTGACCTCGTGATCCACCCGCCTCAGCCTCCCAAAGAGCTGGGGTTACAGGTATGAGCCACTGCACCCGGCCCATGATTCAGACTTTAAAAAGTGCAATAGAAAGTGCACTTTAAAAAGTGCAATAGAAAGTCAAAGAAGTCATCAGCTTCAGAAGGAAGAAGGCCTTTAAAAAATCGTAGGACTAGGCTGGGCGCAGTGGCTCACGCCTGTAATCCCAGCACTCTGGGAGGCCAAGGTGGGTGGATCACGAGGTCAAGAGATTGAGACCATCCTGGCCAACATGGTGAAACCCCGTCTCTACTAAAAATAGAAAAATTAGCCGGGCGTGGTGGCGTGCACCTGTAGTCCCAGCTACTCGGGAGGCTGAGGCAGGAGAATGGTGTGAACCTGGGAGGCGGAGCTTGCAGTGAGCCGAGATCGCGCCACGGCACTCCAGCCTGGGTGACAGAGCGAGACTCCGTCTCAAAAAAAAGTGGTAGGACTAGGTTGGCCAAAAAAAAAAGAGAGAGAGAGAGAGAAAGAGAGAGAGAGAAGGGCCTCCAGGAACAGCCCCTGACCCCACTGAGCCACTGTCTTCTTCTGTGAAAGGCAGTGACAGGCCAGCCCTGCCTACCTCACAGGGTGCTATGAGACTTGGAGAAGATGCAAGGGGAAGGTGCTCAGTGATAACAATGGCAGCTCTGCAGGGAGTGTCACCCTCTGTGCTAGATACAAACTCCTAATACAAACCTACAAACAGGTATTATTATTCTCATTTTACAAATAAGGAAACTGGTTTCTGGAGTGGTTCAGTGGCATCCCCCAAAGGTCATATGTTGAAAACTCAATCCCCAATGCAGCAGTGTTGAGAGATGGGACATTTAAGAGGTGATTAAGTCACGAAGACTCTGCCCTCATGAATGGATGAATGTCATTATTGTAGGAGTGGGTTAGTTATCACAGGAGTAGGTTCCTGATGAAAGGAGGAATTCAGTCCCCTTCCCTCTTGCTCTTATGCTTTCTTGACCTTCCACTCTCCACCAGGAGATGATGCAGCAGGAAGGCCCTTGCCCAATATTGGACTTCAAGCTTGATATTGGACTTGATATTGGACTTAAGCTTCCAGAACTGTGAGAAATACATTTCTTTTCTTTATAAATTACCCAGTCTGTGTCATTCTGTTGCAACAGTACAAAATGGATGAAAACAGGAGACCAGATTTGAAGTGTAATTGTAGGTTCATCTGGCACCAAAGCTTATGGACTCTGAACCACTCAACATTGATTCTTGGGGCTATTCCTCCTAAAATATTGCTTTGATCAGATTATCATCCTTTATCCCTTAAACCTCCAATTCATCCATTTACTCACTCCTCATTTATAGTATGCCTATGTGGGCCCAGCCCAAGCTCAGGTCCTGGGCTATGGAGCCATATTAACCACACAGCTGCTCCCCACCCTGGAGCTCAGCATGGCTCCCTATTCCCACTGTACCAAACGCAAACCTCTCAGCCTGGTCTTGAGACTGCCTACAGGATGCCACTGGCCCACCTTTTCAGTTTCAGATCCATCCTTCCCTTTCTCAGATACTCTTTCCCAACAAGTACTCCAAAAAGAAAACCAGCCTGACATAAGCACCCCCACCATGGCCATGAGAAGACTAGCACATTTCTGCCATGTTATGAAACAGTGCAGTGGCGCGATCTCGGCTCACTGCAAGCTCTGCCTCCCAGGTTCACGTCATTCTCCTGCCTCAGCCTCCCAAGTAGCTGGGACTACAGGTGCCCGCCACCATGCCTGGCTAATTTTTTGTATTTTGAGTAGAGATGGGTGACATGATACTCACCATGCTTAGCTCCAAAGCTGCAACTGTGCCACCAGAGCCTCAGAGACGACTACTCACAACAAGCTGTGCCTCGGAGCAACAGCAGGTTACCAGGCATGCTGTGGGCAAGGGTAATAAGACACCTGCTTCCTGATGTCCCAGCTCTCAGGTGAGCTCACCTGAGAACTGCACTGTTTAACTATTTAAGCTTTGGCGTCAGATGTTTGCCAACAGTCCTCTCTCTAATAATAAAGTCAAGAACTCTCCATCAGCCACTCTCTCTCTCATCTCTCCTCCTACCTTTTTGAATGCTCTTCCTTAAACAGTGGCTATTCTTTCCCCTTTCTTTTATGACAGGGTGTGCCACTGCCCCCTTGATATTCTGCTATCCACCTGCAACCCATTTCTCCCTGCACGCTATCCCTAGGAATGAGCTCACAGCTTCAGCTACTATAGGCTTGCTCTAGGCTGAGCCTCAGTCACCCCCAAATCTCTTTCTCTCTAGCCCCTCGGTCTCTTGTGATCTTATACCCAACCATTCCATACTGATAATGCCAGGAATTGCAAACCCAAGTTCCACCAGGGCCAGAAAAGTAACATTAAATGCACAAAATGTAGCAGATATGAAAGAAACCACAGTACATGTGTGATGATAAATGGCAACTCATTCTCCATCTTATTGTCCAAGGTACAATAAGGCAGTGGTTCTCAAAGTGTGGTCTCTGGACCAGCAGCATCAGCATCACCTGGGAATTTGTTAGAAATGCAGATCCCCAGACTTACTGATTTAGAACCACTAAATCTGTGGAGTGCTGGGCTAGGAAACATTAGGGATTGTGGCAAACCTGAGAGTGCAGGCCCTGTTTAAGGTGGGAAACCACTATTGAGCTCCAGCCACAGGGGAATGGATTTTGTGTTCCTTATTGGCTAATTCCAAATACACTGAGTGATATTCAAAGACTTTGATGAACTGCTTCCAAAAGTACCTCTCTAGCTGCATCTCCCATTTACCATATTACTTGCCTTCCACACTTTCACACTTCTGGGCTGTTTATTTTATGTATAGACACTGTTTTTAAATGCTTTACAAAGAAGCACTCATCTATTTCTCAGGACAAGCCCTTGAGGAGGTACTATTATCATCTAAGCCACAGAGAAATAAAGAAGCTTGCCCAAGATCCAGAGGCAAGATTCACACCCAGGCAGCCTGGCTCCAGTCTGGGCTAGCCTCTATTCTATGCTGCCTCTTGGTATAGATGGTCCTTTGCCACCTCCTTTTGTTCCAATTAAAGGTTGACACATGTTTCAAGGCCCTGCTTATAAATGATTACCACCATATGGGAGTGTAAATTAGTTCAACCATTATGGAAGACAGTGTGGCGATTCCTCAAGGATCTAGAACCAGAAATACAAATTGACCCAGCAATCCCATTACTGTGTAGGTACCCAAAGGATTATAAATCATTCTACTATAAAGATACATGCACACATATATTTATTGCAGCACTATTAACAATAGCCAAGACTTGGAACTAACCCAAATGCCCATTAATGATAGACTGGATGAAGAAAATGTGGCACATATACACCATGGAATACTCTGCAGCCATAAAAAATAATGAGTTCATGTACTTTGCAGAGACATGGATGAAGCTGGAAATCATCATTCTCAGCAAATTAACACAGGAACAGAAAACCAAACACAGCATGTTCTCACTCATAAGTGGGAGTTGAACAATGAGAACACACAGACACAGGGAGGGGAATATCACACACCGGGCTTCCTGATATCCCAGCTCTCAGGGCTTAAAACCTAGATGACGGGTTCATAGGTGCAGCAAAACACCATGCATGTATACCTATGTAACAAACATGCACGTTCTGCACATGTATCCCAGAACTTAAAGTAAAATTAAAAATAAAATAAATAGATCCCATTTGTCTATTTCGGCTTTTGTTACCATTGCTTTTGGTGTTTTAGTCATGAAGTCCTTGCTGGAAACCATCATTCTGAGCAAACTATCACAAGGACAGAAAATCAAACACGGCCTGTTCTCACTCATAGGTGGGAATTGAACAATGAGAACACTTGGACACAGGAAGGGGAACATCACACACCAGGGCCTGTTGGGGGATGGAGGGCTGGGGGAGGGATAGCATTAGGAGAAATACCTAATGTAAATGACGAGTTAATGGGTACAGTAAACCCACATGGCACATGTATACATAATGTAACAAACCTGCACGTTGTGCACAGGTACCCTAGAACTTAAAGTATAATAATAAAAAAAAACTTCCCACAATAAAATAAATAAATAAATAAATGATTATCACCATAAATCCCTGCTACGCTCACAGTCAAAGTTCCCTGCCCCTCCCCTGGGCTTCCAGAGCGCACAGCATACACTTTGTCTGTTAGGGTGTCTCTGCAACATTCATATCTCCATCCCATCAACAAATGATTCCTGAGGCCCTACTAAGTGCCAGGCATCATGACTGGCACTCGGGATCAATGTTGACCTGGGCAACTATCCCTGCCGTTGTTAATAAAAATAGTTCACATTTCTGGAATTCTATTATTTTCCATACACAGTGCTAAGGCTTTACATGTATTATCCCACTTAATTCTCACAACAACCTATTATGCAGATGAAGAAACAGAGTGTGATCAAAGAGAGGAAACAGAGAGAGGAAACAAACAGGGGAAATGACTTTCCCACAGTCACACAACTAGTAAGTGATAGTGTCTGGCTCCAAAGTTTTTTTCTCCAGAGAGACAGAAAAATACACAGAAATTAACCCACAGAGCGGCAAGTGCCAAGACAGGAGCTGGGAAAGGGTTCTCTGGGAACACCAAGGAAGGGCCCATACCAGGATGCTTCTGTCTCCTTCCTCCCCCACTCCCCTGGCTGTGAACTTTACAGGGGCTGAGACCATGGCTTATTCGTATCTGCTGTATCCCAGTCCCCAGCCCATTACCTGGCACCCAGATTGCTACTGAACGGAGCAAAATTGTTGAAATCTCAGCATATCTGACTTAAAAATTCTGTTATTCTTAGGGTCTTGAAGTAATGGGGCTATGGACTGCCAAGAGTTAGTACAAAGAGTAAAAGCTGAGTAGGAATCCTTCATTCGGACTCATTGGAGGGAAATGCCACTCAGACTTAGTAAATGCTTTATTTGTTGACCATCTGCATCCAGAGTTTAATCCCATGGGCAAGTAATAAGAGCTGAGAGTGCAGGAGTCCCGGCAGGTGGAATCAGGCATATCAATGAGAAGTCGCAGTGCCCACGCTGACTGTCAAGATATGGCCTCAGTGTTGGAGCTTGCTTCCTGAGCAGCCCTGAAACCTTCATACTTACACTCTGAGCATACTCCATAAACACAGAAGGTGGCTGCCCCACTCCCAACTACACAGAATTAGGGGTCTGAGTTCATGAGGTTTTAATGTACCTCAAAAGTATTACTCATGTCTTTTTCTAGAACCCTAAGGGTCCAATTCTTAGATGTCCTAGAGCTCTGGCATTATAAGACGGAGCAGGGCCAGGCATGGTGGCTCACACCTGTAATCCCAGCACTTTGGGAGGCTGAGACAGGCGGATCACCTGAGGTCAGGAGTTCAAGACCAGCCTGGCCAACATGGTGAAACCCCGTCTCTACTAAAAATACAAAAATTAGCTGGGCATGGTGGTGGGTGCCTGTAATCCCAGCTACTTGGAAGGCTGAAGCAGGAGAACTGCTTGAACCCAGGAGGTGGAAGTTGCAGTCAGCCGTGAGCAGAGACTGTGCCATTGCACTCCAGCCTGGGCAACAAGAATGAAATTCTGTCTCAAAAAAAAAAAAAAAGATGGAGCAGAACTGTGGAACTTGAAGATGATTATGATGATATGATGATAGTATAATAGGTAATATTTATCAAACATCTATATGTCAGGCACTGTGCCTGCCTTTAAAAGTAGTAATTCTAAACTCATATAGCCTTGTAGATGGCTATGGTTCGTCTCATCTCACAGATGTAGAAACTGAGGCTCAGAGAAGCTAAGATCCCTGCTCACTCAGCTACTAAATAATGAAGCCAAGATTCAAACCAAGTTCTATCTGACTCCAGAGCTTTTGAATTATGCCAAACTCTTAATAATTATGATAATTATAATGATATACAAATTATTTTCCATTATGGAAATTACAATACCTGAGTTTTCTTGACCAAAGTGCAAGCGCTGACAGAGTTTACAGCAAATCACCACAGGGTTAGTGTTGGGGATTCTAAATTCTCCCTGTATTTCAGCAGGGCTTGTCTGAACCCGACTCAGCTCCACAGCTTGCGTCCTGATTAGGATAGGCGGACAAAAAGCCAAATGAGAGTGTTGCATGTTACCTGGAAACCATACACCCCAGGGGCAAGGACATCGTGCTTTTTTCAGACGAATTGTGAGCAGACTGCTTTTCCCACATCTGGGAATAAAAACACAAGGAAGAAATGACTCACTGTCAACCAGGAGCAGTGGCTCTCGCCTGTAATCCCAGCACTTTGGGAGGCCAAGGAGGGCAGATCGCCTGAGGTCAGGAGTTCAAAATCAGCCTGGCCAACATGGCGAAATCCTGTCTCTACTAAAAATACAAAAATTAGCTGGGCGTGGTGGCTCATGCCTGTAGTCCCAGCTACTCGGGAGGCTGAGGCAGGAGAATCACTTCAACCTGGGAAGCAGAGGTTGCAGTGAGCCGAGATCGCACCATTGCACTCCAGCCTGGGCGACAGAGTGAGACTTCGTCTCAAAAAAAAAGAGAGAGAAGAAATGACTCACTGTCATTAGGAAAACTGAAGCTGTTTAATCACCTTTAGATATATTGACAGGGTTTTGGGAAACTTCCCATTCCTAGACCAATATTATGAATAAGGGACCCAAAAGAATATTTGTGCTAACATTCAAACTTGCTTCATTGTTAAGAGTTGGTTTCTGCCTGGGACAATCCCACACCCATCTAGAATATAGAAAACCCATCTACCACCCTTGCTTTGCACACTCCCAGTGACAAGTTGTTCACCACCTCACAAGACAGCCATCCCACTGTGAAACAATCCCTGGAGACTTTATGGTTCTTCTAAAACCGGCCCACCAATAATCTGTCAAAAATAACTCCCTCAAAATTGGCCAAACACCTTATTTTTTAACATAAACTGACAGCTAGACAACAACAACAACATCACCACTTTACTGTCTCTTCTGCTTCCTCAAGAATGCAGTCAAGAGGAGAACTTGAGGGAGCCAAGTTTCCAAGGTGGCTGCCAGGCAATCATTTACAAACCTGCCCTGGCTCCCAAGCTAACTTCAGCAGTGCCCACTGGGGGAGCTCAGGCGTGTCATTAATGCTAATTGTTGTGGCTGCCAAGGAAACCTTCACACAGTTTGCAAACAGGCTATGCACACACAGTATGCAAGGGAGCTCCAGAGACCTCAACAGAGATGACAGGGACCTGGGAGCTCTCCTGAAGTACTGCCACTGCAGAGCTTAGCCTTATTCTCAGATTCCATGGTGTTCTCCTTTTCCACTCTTCCCTGACCCTCATGGGGGCTGCAGCGACTCCTAGAACCTTCAAGCAGCGAGACAAAGGTCCCCTCAACCGGGCACAGCGCTCTCCTTACACCTGGCCTCCTATTCCCAGCAACTTTAAGGAGATATTTTTAAGTGGCCATGGTTTTATCAAAAGCCTATTAAGTTTTTGCCACAAACGGATTTTATTTAAAATAAAAATAGGGGTAGGTATTTGACTGATGTCTCTTGGGAGTGTTTTAGAGAAGAGGAATGAATACTGACATGTCCTATCTTCCCAGATGCAGAATTGTAAAACAAACAAACATAATTGCTTTTCACATGTAAAAGAAAACTGGCTTAGAACATACTAGCGTTTTCTTTGCCATGAAGGAGTTCACCTTCAGTGACTAAGCCAGAACTACTAGAGCTGCCAGGCCTAGGGACAGGAGACATTGCCAGTGCTTAGCCAGGCTGGCCAGGACTAACCATCTCTGCAAGGAGTCCACAAGAAGCCTCAGGGCAGCCTTTCCCTGCTCCTATCAATTTGAGTTGAGCAAAAAACCTTTGACCAAATATCAGCTCCATGGCACAACCCACAGTTATGGTGCCCACATGAACTCAGGTTTCTGTTCCCAACCTGAAGCATACAACTTCATGAGGTATTTTATCAAGTTAGATAGTATCAAAAAATATTCCCAGATGAGGGAGGTGTCTGACCAAGACAGTCAGAAGGCCCCTTATCAGCCACTAGACTGGAGGATCAGCCTTCCCTAAGCAGGATTGTTCTCACTGGCCAGTCCTCACATCCGGGAGGGGGAGGAGAGGTGCTAGGGGCTGCAACTGAGAAGGGAGAGATCACCCACCCTATCTGCAGATGAGGGTGTGAGAAGCCAAGTCAGAACACCCCATACTTCCCAGGCCTCTCTCCAAAGTCCTGTTAGAAATCGAATTCCAGGAGACCAGGCAGGGGCAGCCTAGGCCCTGGGCCCCTAGGAAGTGCTCCGTGAACTAGGCCCTGCCCAGGCAGCCTCGGACCCCCTCCTCTGCCCTGCCTCCTGATCCCTGTCCTGCACTGAGCAGGTCTTCGGTGGACTTTATGCGCAGCCACCTCAGGATGAAAATACCACGTCTGCCTCCTGCTGAGGTCCAGCCCAGGAAAGGAAGAAGGGGAACGAAAGATGCCAATGCGATTGCTTTTAAATCACCTCATTACTAAAAGAATCCTCCTTTACCTACGGCACTCAGATCATCAAGCCCTCCCAAATCACTTTTCTTTTTTCAAAAAGTAAAAACCCAAGGCCGTCTTCCCAGTGAAGCCGAGTCTTGGGGCATCCCGTCATTCGTCCCCCGCGCACGGGTCCTTCCCTCCCTGGGCGCCGCAGTTCGGAGCAGGCCGAGGGGGCCGGGCTGCAGGGCCGCGCCGGGCCAGAAGGGCGCGCCCTGGGCAGCGCGGACGCACGCAGCCGGCTCCTCCCGCGCCCCGCTGCACCCCGGCAGGGAGTTCGCCCCCGCTAATGTTTAACCTCCCGAATCGCTGATCCCTCGGACTGCAGCCAAGCTACCCACCCGCCCCGCTCCCGGGACGAATTCCTGGCATAGTTTTCCCGCGCGGCCCGCTCACCGTGGGGTCTCCTGGAGCCGGGGACGGCGGGAAGACGTCTCGAGGTGGCGGCTCCCATACTCGCCCCACGTCCCGCCTCCAGACTTGCTCCACCGCCCCAGACAGCCCAGAGATGGTTCCCGGAATGCTCACCGCCCGCCGTTCCCGGGATGCTTCCCCAGCCCCACGCAGTCCGGGCGCTCTCTGCGGCGGAGGCAGAGCCTGCCCGGCCCACTCCAGTGCCGCCAACCTGCGGGACCGCGGACAGAGAGCTCCTCGGTGCGTCGGTCAGCTCGTGGCTTGGGGTCTCTGGTGCCTCCAGCTCCTACTACAGCCGCCCCGCCCCACCTCAAGAAGAGGTGGAGCCTCTCCCGGCCCCTCTCGGACGAGCTATTTTTAGGTCTGTAACGGATGGGGGAAGGCGGGAATGCCACGTTTAATCCGTTAGTAAAATCCAGGATCCAAGTGAATGGCTTCCTGGCCTTGCTGAGAGGCTGGACTTGCCCCGGTTTCCCCACACCCTGCCTCCGGTACAATCGATAGCCTGCTGTGCAGGGGCGGCCGCACCCCCCGGGCAGATAGCCCTGCCCACCCTCCTAAAGGGACCGTCCTGGTTTCTTCCTGACCGGATCCCAAGCTAGGAGAGTTCTTTGGGTGTGCCCCAGGTCTGATCAGACAGACAGCAGCCACCTTCCCTCCGCAGCCCCCACCCACCACCCCCTACCCTCCCAACCTGCTGGTTTGCCCTGGGGATGCCAACTTGGAAACCCAGGACTGAAAAACTTATTTTTTCTCCTGATATTAGTCCCTGATCTCTTCCCATAGTAGTAGTTGCTTTGCTGAGATTCCGTTTTGTGGGCACCGTAACTGTGAGTTGTGCCATAGAGCTGATATTTGGTCAAAATGTTTGTTGCTCAACTCAAATTGATAGGAGCAGGGAAAGGCTGCCCTGAGGCTTCTTGTGGACTCCTTGCAGAGATGGTTAGTCCTGGCCAGCCTGGCTAAGCACTGGCAATGTCTCCTGTCCCTAGGCCCGGCAACTCTAGTAGTTCTGGCTTAGTCACTGAAGGTGAACTCCTTCATGGCAAAGAAAACGCTAGTATGTTCTAAGCCAGTTTTCTTTCACATGTGAAAAGCAGTTATGTTTGTTTTACAATTCTGCATCTGGGAAGATAGGACATGTCAGTATTCATTCCTCTTCTCTAGAGCACTCACAAGGGGCATCAGTCAAATACCTACCCCTATTTTTATTTTAAATAAAATCCTTTTGTGGCAAAAACTTAATAGGCATTTGATAAAACCATGGCCACTTAAAAATATCTCCTTAAAGTTGCTGGGAATAGGAGGCCAGGTGTAAGGAGAGCTCTGCGCCTGGTGGAGGGAACCTCTGTCTCGCTGCTTGAAGGTTCTAGGAGTCGCTGCAGCCCCCATGAGGGTCAGGGAAGAGTGGGAAAAAAGCTCCTTTTCACACACACTCTCTCTCTCTCCACTCCGCAACTCTTCTCCCTCCCTCTTTCTCTTTTTTCCATTTCAAAGGCTTTCGTCCCACCACAATCTCAATCTGCCAAGCTCTACATTTTGAGGCAGCCAAAGCAAATGTGTATGGGAACAAGCGTTGTCAAGGACTTGCAGGGAAACTGGAACTCCTGTGCATTGCTGGTGGGAATGTAAAATGGTACCATTACTGTGGATACAGAATGGTAGTTCCTCAAAAAATTAAACAAGAATTGCCAAAAGATCCAACAATTCCATTTCTGGGTATATACCCCAAAGAACTGAAAGCAGGGATTCAAACAGATATTTGTATACTCATGTTCATAATAGCATTATTCACAATAGCCAAAAAGTGGAAACAATTCAAATGTCTATCGACAGATTAATGGATAAGCAAAATGTGGTATATCCATACAATGTAATATTAACTTTAAAAGGGAAGGAAATTCTGACACATGAATGAACCTTGAAAACTGTCTTAGTCTATTCAGGCTGCTATAACAAAATACCATTGAGTGGGTAGCATATAAACAATAGAAGTTTTTTTCTTACAGTTCTGGAGGCTGGGAAGTCCAAAATCAAGACATTGGCAGATTCGGTGCCTGGTGAGGGCCTGTTTCCTGGTTGATAGGCTGTCATCTTCTCACTGCACCCTCACTTAGTAGAAGGGGGCTGGCTAGCTCTCTGGGGTTTCTTTCATAAGGGCACTAGTCCCAATTATGAGGACTCTACCTTCATGACCTAACCACCCCCCAAAGGCCCCACCTCCCAATACCGTCACCTTGGGGGTCAGGATTTCAACCCCATTTTGCAGGGACACAAACATTCAGATCAAGGCAAAAGCATTATGCTAAATGAAATAAGCTGGACACAAAAGGACAAATATTGTATTATTCCACTTATACCTGGAAATATTGTATGATTCCACTTGTACCTAGAATAGTCCATTCACAGAGACAGAAAGTAGAATAGTGGTTACCAGTGGCTGGAGGAGGGGGAATGAGTAGTTATTGATTCATGAGTACAGATTCTCAGTTTGGGAATGATGAAAAAGTTCCAGAGATAAATGGTAGTGATGGTTGCACAATAATGTGAATGTACTTAATGCCACTGAATTGTACACTTGAAAATGGTTACGATGGCAAATTTTACATTATGTACAGTTTATCACAATTTTTTAAACATTAAAAAAAAATAGTGGATGGAGCAGGGACCAGGACTAAGTTGGGATATCTGTGCACCATGTATTCGGATGGGGGATCTTGTTCCTGCCGTCTTCTCCTAGTCAGGGCACTTTTTTCACCCCAGGATTTTCTGCCACCCACAAGAGCAAAGAGAAGAGTCCAGGCCTTGGGAGTCAAAGACACATCTACATTCCACATTCCCAAGCTACATAACCCTGGGAAAGTCACGTAGCCTCTCTGACCTTTCATTTTTCTCCTCTGTAAAATGGGAAAAGTAAACTCTACCTAGAAGAGTTGTTAGAATCAAATTAGCTAAATTACATGTAGGCTCTGCCCTGGGCCTACAAGTCAGTGGTGTGCACTCCTGACTTGACACTGTGAAATCGCCAAGGACATTTGCTTCTCAGCTCTCTTCCCACTGTATCCCTGAAATTTGCAGAAAGTAGTTCTGAGGATACCTTTGTGCATGTTATTTCCACCAGCCTCAATTTCCCCATGTGTAAATAGGGTGCCCTCCTTTGCAGGGCTGGTGTAAGAAAGTAGACTTGACATGCACCCAGATCTACCTTAGCCAAAAACCAAATCCTGAATCTTGAGCTGACTAAGACCTCATGCATGGAACCCTCACACTCTTCCCTTACTGGGCCTTAGTTCAACACTCAACACAGGGAGGAGTTACTGCATGCCTATCATGTGCCAAGTTATTTTCTTAGTCCCAAGGATACCAACAACCTCTAGAGGACTAGATCACTTGGCACTGGAAAGCTGTCATTTCTGCTGCCCACCTCTACTGTAGCACACACAAGCTCTGGCATCAGCCGTGGGGACAGGTGCATAGACCAAGGGAGACTGGCCCTAGCTGGCTAGTCCAGGAGACATTCCTGTCACCCCGAGCAGCTGGCCCATAACTGCTGGGTGGGAGGACAGGAGGATGGATTTTCAATATCCCAATGGCCCCTCACTCCCTCCTCAGCCCAGTACTAGTCACCCGCCCTCTGACCCAGCTCAGCCCCTTTCACAGACGGTCTCCCTCCTACACCTCAGGAAATAGGACA
The DNA here is from genome assembly GCF_000001405.40 of Homo sapiens. Lineage (NCBI taxonomy): Eukaryota > Metazoa > Chordata > Mammalia > Primates > Hominidae > Homo > Homo sapiens. Next base: position 138,119,040 of record NC_000003.12, read on the forward strand.
CAGCCTAGACAGCCTGTAATAGGAGTGCCCTCTGCTGCCAAATGCTGGCATCACACCTTAGAAACCTGCTCTGGATCCCATTCTCCTGAAGGGAAGTGTATCTGAGGTGTATGGGACAGGTCTCCCTGCGCTGGGATGCCGGCCACTAATGAGCCCTGAGGTGATTTTAGGTCAAAAGTGTATTGTTGGGTTTTCTGCGTTGATGTATAGATAGGCAGGCATACAGTCAGAGGAGGATTTTACATAAAATCTGGTTTGCTGGTTTCTGAAAAATCTAAGAATCTAGCAACAAAAGAAAGGCCTGCACTCTGACATGTCTAGAACTGGCAGGATCTGAGAGGAAACTTTCTTAGGCAGATCGTACATTCTAGCCCAATCCCTGAAAAGTTCACTTTGAAGGAAGTCTGAGCACTTACCGAAAAGACCTCCTTTCTCAGGAAAACATCCCTTCTGCAAAAATGAAAATGCAGAGCTGGATAAGCCTGGCCTAAGGCGTGGCTGTGATATGGCCCCTCATTGGCTGGCAGTGATGGGCGGGTGGGATCTAGAAGGAGCTGCCCCAGCTGCCTCCTGCCTGGGCTTTTGCCTTTTGGAGGAGGGATTCCTCTTTGGCAGTTTGATGAAGCCCACACCCTTTCCTCAGAATGGTTTTTATTTTTATTTTTTATTTATTTATTTATTTTTTGAGACGGAGTCTTGCTCTGTCTCCAGGCTGGAGTGCAGTGGCATGATCTCGGCTCACTGCAACCTCCACCTCCTGGGTTCAAGCGATTCTCCTGCCTCAGCCTCCCAAGTAGCTGGGACTACAGGCGCCTGCCACCACACCCAGCTAATTTTTGTATTTTTAGTAGAGACGGGGTTTCACCATGTTGGTTAGGATGGTCTCGATCTCTTGACCTTGTGATCCGCCCACCTCAGCCTCCCAAAGTGCTGAGATTACAGGTGTGAGCCACCACGCCCAGCCTAAGAATGGTTTTAAATGCACCAAGCAAAACATAGAATTACAGAGGACATCAAAATATTGAAAATATAGCTATGAAAACATAAGAAAATGTGTAAAATAATAGCATTTTTGTTTATTAATGCATTAAATGGCAAGATCTAGCATCTGACCTAAAAGTAGTAAGAGTGTAAACAATTATTTCAAGATATCCGTAATAACTTTAATGTGATAGGAAAAAACTAATATTTAATGACAAAGTCACAGGTTCTACTAATACTACTGTGGTTTGTGGCATACATTCATAATTGGAAGGAATGATACATTTTGATTAACAGCTAGTAAAAATAAAGAGTAAGTTCCCAGACCCCCAAAATCTCTTCACAGCCCCCTAAATTAAGAATCCCTGCCCCAATACCACCAAGGAGAGTGCACTAACCTTGTAACTTAGTTTAGAAGATACATCTGAGATTCAGGGTCCTGACAATTCCCTTGGGTGAGAGAGCTCTGCCTTTATTTCTTGAAGGGGAGCAGAGTGACAGAAGGGTAGGGAAGCATGGCATGAAACCCAAAAAACAAAAAAAAAGACAGGTTGGATTACATAAAAATTTTGAAACATATATGGTGAAAACATCCTAAATGAGGTTAAAAAACAAAGAACTAAAAAAAATGCAGTGTAATGATACAGTATTCATGACATTAATTTATAAAGAGTGCTTACAAATCAACAAGAAATAGAACAACTCAAAAGAAGAGTGGACAAAAGATGAGATGATTCATATAATAAAAAAAATTGCCAGTTAAACATGTAAACAACCTTACCAAAATGAACATAAAAATTACATGTTTTAAATTATTATACTGACCAAAATTAAATAGATGTTTTAAACTGGTGAAAAGTGGGAAAATGGGCAGTTTCAAACAGCCTTCTTGAAAAATAATTATCAAAATTTAAAGTCCTCAAAAATGCAGTAATCAGGATTTTTTGCTATAGTATTACATGTACTATTAAAATTAGAATAATGTAAATATCCACCAATCAAATAATGATTGAGTAGATTATCATGTATCCTACAATGAAACACTATGCAACCATTATAAAGAAAAAAGTATATTATATCTTGATGTGCTAATGAAAAAAGGTACCTACGACATACACATTTTTAAAGTGAAAAACAACATACAAATAACATGTATCTTTTTTTTTTTTTAAAGACAGAATTTGGCTCTTGTTGTCCAGGCTGGAGTGCAGTGGTACAGTCTCAGCTTACTGCAACCTCCACCTCCCGGGTTCAAGCAATTCTCCTGCCTCAGCCTCCCAAGTAGCTGGGATTACAGGTACGCGCCACCACGCCTGGCTAATGTTTGTATTTTTAGTAGAGACGGGGTTTCATCGTGTTGGCCAGGCTGGTGGTCTCGAACTCCTGACCTCAAGTGATCTGCCCCCCTCAGCCTCGCAAAGTGCTGGGATTACAGGCATAGGCCACCACGGATGGCCATAACATGTATCTTATGATTCCATTTGTATTTTTTTTAACTATTTATATGAGAAACTCAGGAATGGTATTCAAAATATTTAACGAGTCTGGCACAGATACCAACCAATCAGCACTGATGCTGGCTCTTACCCTAGAGAAGGAAAGAGACAGTCCTGTTGAATTGTGGGTGGGAGTCCTGGGGAAAAAGCAAGGGCAGACAAGGTGGCAGTGCAGGGTACTTGGAAGAGACTTCTTACCAATAAGCGTGAATATATATGCAGAGAAAGAGCGAGAGGTACCTACAAACATGACAGTAGTACCCAACACGCACTTTCACTTTTTGCCCCACACAATCCTATTTGAAATTCTAAGAATGAGTAGGATTTGAAAAAAAATTAATACAGGGAAAAACACCAGCATGAGCCTATTTGCAAAATGTAGCCTGATATAAATTCATGGCATAGATTCACAAAAGGCCAGAAGGAATCCAGGGTTATCTGGGGTCCCAGGAACCTCACATTTCTTACCACTTACTACTCTTGCCATCATCACCACCACCATGTTTTGAAATGTTCCTTTTCACTAAGCAAACTGGATTCATTAAGTAATACATTATTATTTTATTTGCTACATTTTTTATTAATCAAAAACATAATTTACTGCCAGGTAAAGCTCCCTATAAACATCAAATTATCATTAATGTCAAAATGAATTTGTGTATGTGTGTGTGCGTGTGTGTGTGTGTGTGTACATTTATTTACTTATTTATTTATTTAAGATATGGTCTCACTGTCTTGCCCAGGTTGGAGCACAGTGGTGTGATCATAGTTCACCATAACCTAGAACCCATGGGCTCAAGTGATCCTCCTTCCTTAGCCTCCCAAGTAGCTAGGACTACAGGTGAGCCACCTTGCCTGGCTATTTGTTTTTTGTAGGGACAGGGTCTTGCTGTGTTGCCCAGTCTGATCTCTAACTCCTGGGCTCAAGCAGTTCTCCCACCATGGCCTCCCAAAGTGCTGGCGTTATAGGCGTGAGCCAATGTGCGTGGCCAATTCACATATTTTTGAAATATCGAAAATATTTCTAATCAAACCCCTCAAAACCCTGTTGGTCAGGAATAGTTGAAGAACCATTTGTCATGCATTCTCCAAAAATAGAAGGGAGAGACAATGTATGTGTCCCTGCTTGTCTCTAAGACAGCTAGCCCTAGAAATCCTCATCTGTGGAGACAGTCAGGAGAGCTGAAAACCAGCAGTGGTTCCTAGGACACAACCCAAAAGACAGCCATGGGGTATGGCAGCAGGCCTCAGAGCCTGACGATGGTATCAGACATCTACAAGTCCAAAGCAAGTAGCTGTGAATAAATAAAGCTGGGACATGAGACTTGACTTGTAAATATTTTTTAACAAGATTGTCAAAGCAGTGATTTTTTTTTTTTTATCTGGCTTTGTCACCCAGACTGAGTGCAGTGGCACGATCTTGGCTCACTGTACCCTCAACCTCCCATGTTCAGGTGATCCTCCTAACTCAGTCTCCCAGCTAGCTTGGACTACAGGCATGCATCACCACACCCAGCTAATTCTTGTATTTTCTGTAGAGACAGGGTCTCACCATCTTGCCCAGGCTGGTCTTGAACTCCTGGGCTCAAGCAATCCACCTGCCTCAGCCTCCCAAAGTGCCAGGATTACAGGTGTGAACCACTGTGCCTGGCCAGCAGTGATTCCTAAAGGGGGAAATATTAGAATAAAAGAGGGATAGATGGATATAGTTTGAAAGGGTGTCATAATTTTACGTTTGGGGGCAAATATAAACTTTTTCCCATAAAGCAAACTATCAAAAGGAAAGTTCTAGAAAATCTTGGCTAAGTGTTTGCTGAAGAAATATTAATTTTCATACCTCCTGAAAAGAAATAATAAATTATTTATTTATTTATTTGTAATTGACAAATAAAAATTGTATATATTTATGGTGCTTTGAACATGACATTTTGAAATGCAGGAGGTAAATTTTTATGTGAATCTAAAAAGGGCAGCAGTTTTAAATAGTCTGAGTTGGTAAGTTGCTTCTGTGGGCCAATTATGACAGGGTTAATGTGTATATTGGAAAGAGGTAGGGTAGAGAACAGCAGACACCCTGGGGAGGGGAGGAGACTGTCCCAGGATCATGAGGCCAGGGATTAGGATATAAGTGCTGAGGATCTCATCTGCTTGATCCAGCTGTATCTGCAGCATCTAAATCAATGTTTGGCACATAGACCAGGCTCAGTTAATATTTATTGACTGAATGCATTAATGAATGTCAAAATCAGGACTAGAAATCAAGTCTCTTTTTACCTCAGTCAATGCTCTAACAGGTCCTGGAATTAATCTTACTGTATTAAATAGAACATGTAGCAAAACTGTTAGCTGCCTATCCCAGTACCCATTTTTTCTTCCTCCTTAAACTTCCCAGCCTCTCTTGCAGCTACATCTCAGTCAGTGCAATGTAAGAGAAAGTGTTATACGGTACTTGCAGGAAGTCTTCACAAAATAAAGCAAGTGCACCTTTCCTCTTTTCTTCATCCTACTGCCTGAAATGCAAACATGGTGGGTTGGAGGTCAAGCAGTCAAATGGACCATGGGTGTATGTTTTATAGCCAGTATCATTTGGGATTTTTCTATTACAGACAGAGAAAGCTAATCCTAACTGACATTTGAGAGGCAACCCTCTGCCCACCCCGCCAAGAGACAGTGGAGATCAAGTGAAAATGTGGCACTCCAGGAAATGTCCATTTCCACACTGCAGCAGCAGCAAACGAGTGTTAGCTTTATTTGTTACCTGGACCCAGCTCCCCAGTCACTGACCCCTCTGGGCCTTTAATCAGGTCCCTGTAAGTCCTGGGACAGTGCTTGCGATAGAGATTTTCCACCAGTGTGTTGCTTCCTCTAATCACAGCCCGCCCCTCCTGGTTCATGTGGTTCCACAAATGCAGGGCATAAGAGACATTGAAGCTTGGCTCTGTATCCCACACTTCATAGTAGCGCCTCCACTCTCGATAGGAGATGGGGTAAAATCTTTGGGGGTGTAAGAAGGATATGTTCAGACACCTGAGGTCGCTCACCTCCTGGAAGTCTTCAAGTTTACACCATACCCTCAACATCCTTGTCATCAACTCAGGGCCTTGGTTGCCCCAAATGGCTGAATTATAGTGTTCAACAAAGTTTTCCATGCATTCCCACAAAAAGGGGTGGTGGGGGAGGAACCCAAATATTCCATTACTAGAGTACCGAGAAGCCTGCGCAGCCAAAAAGTTCTCCTCAGGGATGGGCCTGATGGAGATGACATCGGTGTCCATGTAGATGCCACCGTATTTCCAGATGATGGCCAGGCGGGATGCATCCGAGCTGATGTGGAGCCAGTTTCTCTCTGCGCTGGCGTTGATCTGCAGGAGCAGGTGCAAATCAGCCCCAAGTAGCCAGGGGAAGAGGGAGGGGCATCACAGCAGGAGGCCAGGCCCAGAGAGGCTGGGGAGGGGTTAAAGAAGCCAGCTTCCCAAAATCCTATTTGCCACAGCCCGATTTTGCAAGTTTACCAAACTTACCTCACTCTAAAATTTTTCATTTAAGTAAAAAGTTTGCAGCAATCAGTATCAATGGGAAAGTTTTAGCAGCTTTTAAAGATTTCATGAAATGGTTTTTTTAAAAAAACATTAAAGCATTGGAAAGATAAAGAAGAAATCCAGAAAAGATTTCACTATGCACTGTATGAGTCATTCTTCAACGTGGGTGTACATAAACTACAAATATGTAACTGTAGAGGAAGAACCAAATAAAGCCCTTAAAATGCTAACAACTGACAATGAAAAAAATCAGTATGTCTGCTATTTGAAAAATTGATAAAAAAATCTTAAAATGCATACCTTTGCTCATGTATTAATTCCTTTATTATTAAAGGAATTAATTTATTGAGGGCCTATTTACTATGTGCCGAATTCTATTAAAACTGCTAAGGATACAGCAGTGAACAAACAAACAGAAATCCCTACTGGGAGGAGACAGATAATAAATAAACCTTCTGTGTTGGATGCTGACAACAACTATGAAGAAAAAAAGCTGGGTGAAGGGACTGTGAAGGGGCCAGGGTGGAGCGCTGTATTACGTTAGTTCCCCCAGAAACTGGAATGAAGTGGGTGGATGAACCATGCCCATAGCTGAGAAAAGAGAGTTCCAGGAGGAGGGAACTCCTAGAACTCTCTTCTCTTGCAGTAGAGATTGTCCACCAGTGTGTTGCTTCCTCTAACCACAGACCTCCCTTCCTGGTTCATATAGTTCCACAAATGCAGGGCATAAAAGTCACTGAAGCTCAGGTCTGTATCCCAGTGAATACAAGGGCCCTGAGGCAAAAGCACACATGCCATGTCTGGGAACAAGGAGGAGGCAGTGAGCTGAAGCAGAGCTGAGAAGGGAGTGGGGTAGGCAATGAGATCAGAATTGGAGAGGGGTGGGGAGGGAGGCCGGATCATGTAGGCTGGGGCCAAGACTGAAGTTATTTGAAAGGTTTAGAAGAAAGGAGGGAAGTGATCTCAATTACTCTTCAAAGGGTCACTCTGGCTGCTGTGTGGAAATCAGTCTGGGGTAGGGTTGGTAGATGGCAAGGGCAGAAGCAAACGCAAGTTGGGAGTCGGTTGACATAATCCAGACATGAGATGATGGTGCTAACAGTGGGGGTGAGGGAAGGGCACATAATGAAGATGAAGCTGGTCAGGATTTGCTAATGGGCTGGGTGTGGGTGGGAGAGAGAAGAGTCACAGATGACTGCAAAGGCTAAAATGTGGGTAAAACAGAAAATGACTTTAAAAAGAATAAAAATAAATCAGCATAAATGTCAATGTTCTCATATGGAATGCTAAGATTCTGAAGAGAAATAGAAAGCAAAATGTTTTGTTTGTTTGTTTTTTAATTTTAAATACATTGGTTAAAAGGTTAAACAACCACCCCTGGCTTTTGACAAAATAAACAGTCTTTAAAATTCTGCTATCGAGTCAAATGAAAGCAGGTCAACTAAAACTTGCAGAAATCTTCACAAGTTGTTAAAAATTGTCACATTGTGCTGGGCATGGTGGCTCACACCTGTAATCCCAGCACTTTGGGAGGCTGAAGTGGGTGGATTATCTGAAGTCAGGAGTTCGAGACCAGCCTGACCAACGTGATGAAGCCCCGTCTCCACTACAAATACAAAAATTAGCCAGGCGTGGTGACAGGCGCCTGTAATCCCAGCTACTAGGGAGGCTGAGACAGGAGAATCATTTGAACCTGGGAGGCGGAGGTTGCAGTGAGGAAAGATTGTACCATTGCACTCCAGCCTGGGCCACGAGAGTGAAACTCCATCTCAAAAAAAATAAAAATAAAAATAAGCCGGGCGTGGGTGGCTCATGCCTGTAATCCCAGCACTTTGGGAGGCCAAGGTGGGCAGATCACGAGGTCAGGAGTTGGAGACCAGCCTGGCCAACATAGTGAAACCCTATCTCTACTAAAAATCCAAAAAAAATAGCCAGGCATGGTGGTGGGCACCTGTAATCCCAGCTACTCTGGAGGCTGAGGCAGGAGAATCACTTGAACCTGGGAGGCGGAGGATGCAGTGAGCTGAGATTGCACCACTGGCGAGAGAGCAAGACTCCATCTCAAAAAAAAAAAAAAAAAAAAAACAATAATTGTGACATTGTATACAATTGCCAAAAACCTAATAATAATAGCTAACATTTATCAATAATTGTTCTAAGCTCTTTTTAATCTACGCGAGTCCTCAAAAATAGGTACTATGATCATTCCTATTTTTTAAGTTAAAAATTATGACCAGGGGCGGGGCACAGTGGCTTACACCTATAATCCCAGCACTTTGGGAGACCGAGGTGGGCGGATCACGAGGTCAAAAGATCGAGACCATCCTGGCCAACATGGTGAAACCCCATCTCTACTAAAAATACAAAAATTAGCTGGGCATGGTGGTGCGTGCTTGTAGTCCCAGCTACTTGGGAGGCTGAGGCAGGAGAATCGCTTGAACCCGGGAAGCGGAGGTTGTAGTGAGCCGAGATCACGCCACTGCACTCCAGCCTGTGCGACAGAGCAAGACTCCGTCTCAAAAAAAAAAAAAACAAAAAACATAAGCGCTCCAATAAGGATGACCAGCGGAAAGAGGTTTAAGGTTCTAGCTGCTCAGAGAACAGTTGCCCATCCCCACCCTATGCCCATAATTCTCATTCCTGGGCATCATCAAGGGCTACAATAGCCCAGATCAGTGCAGAAAACCCAGTGGTCACAAGGAAGTGATGGCACCTTAGATCTTTCCTAACAGGTGGTTCCCAGCTATCCTGTGGTGGCCTAACTGGGGAAGCACATGCCACAGCTCAGTATCCCTAGGGTATTGTGGTATGATCCCTATAGATGTACAGCCTACTGTAGTATTCTGCAGGCTCAGATGGAGCAAACACTTAGGAGCTCTCTAGCTCAGAGCCCATCTTGCTCCTAAAATCCAACATAGTAAAATTAAGGTGCAGCTCAGAGCAATCTAAACTGTGTTCCATGGAACATCAGTGCCAAGAGATTATTTGTCACACTGAAAGAGGGTTCCATGCTCAAATAAGTTTAGGAAGTGATGGGTTGAATCCAGTTAGATTTCTTCAGTTCAGAAAGATAAAGAGGCTTTAATATCCTCATGTGTGTGATTCATCTGTAAGAAAAGGATGTGGTATGCAGCTTCTCCCAAAATAATTTAATTACAGATTTTTTTCAAGGAGCAAAATACAATTTAGGCAGTGTGTTAGGCTGTTCTTGCATTCCTATAAGGAAATATCTGAGACTGGGTAATTTATAAAGAAAAGAGGTTTGATTGGCTCACGGTTCTGCAGGCTTTACAGCAAGCAAAGCAACAGCATTTGCTTGGCTTCTGAGGAGGCCTCAGGGAGCTTTTACTCACAGCTGAAGGTGAAGCAGGAGTAGGCGCATCACATGGCGAGAGCAGGAGCAAGAGAGAGAGTGGGGGTGGGGGGGTAGGTGCCACACACTTTTAAACAACCAGATCTCACGAGAACCCACTCACTATCCTGAGGACAGCACCAAGTCGTGAGTGATCCACCCCCATGACCCAATTACCTCCTACCAGGCCCCACCTCCAACAATGGAATTACAATTCCACATGAGATTTGGTGAGGATATATATTCAAACTATATCAGGTAGCGTTAGTCTAGCCCAGGCATCAGGAAACTTGTAGAGTCCCAGAGCACCCTCTAGCAAGTTAGCACTGAGAGCCACAAAGACCAAGCTGGGGTGTCCCCTCCACTCCCAGAAACTGCCTCCCTACCCCTCTGCCCGCCCTGCCACTGTGCAGGGCAGTGCCACCTGCTTGTTGGGAACTCTGCTGTTGGCAGCTGCCAACACAGTGAAAACTCAATCCATGAACTGCCCCACCTCCTCCTGATGGGTCCCAATTTGAGGACTTCAAGTTTCTTCAGAAGGAGAGATATGCACTTTGGGATGTAGAAGTCACTGGGGCCAAGAATAAACTGACCCCAGGAGCCATTCCCAGCCCCAGCCCCTACCTTTCTGGCCCACCAGATCCCTCCCCATCATGTCTGTCACTTAGTCCAAAAAATGTCTCCAGCTGACAGCAACTAGGTACAAGCATGCCCTCCACCCAGGACAGTCCACCCAGTTCCCAGGCAAATGAGGTGGGTCAGGGAGTAGGCTAAATAATGGCTACCCAAAGACCTCAGGTCCTAATTCCTGGAACCTGTTAATGTTACCTTATATGGGAAAAGTATCTTTGCAGGTGGTCATTAGGAACCTTAAGATGGGGAGAGTATCCTGGATGGGCCCTAAATGCAATCACAAGTGTCATTTAAATGGATAGACAGAGGGAGATTTTACACAAACAGAGGAAAAGAGATTTGAAGATGGAGACAGAGACTGGAGTGAGGGGCTATTGGCCAAGGAATGCCAGCAGCCACAGAAGCTTGTCAGAGGCAAGGGATCATCCTTCCCTAGGAACTCAGGAGGAAATGCAGCCCTGCCAGCAGTTTGATATTGGCCCAGTGAAAATAATCTGGGACTTCTGGCCTCCAGAACTGTGAGAGAATGAATTTCTGTTGTTTTATGCCACCAGGTTGGTGGTAATTTGTTACAACAGACGGAAGAAACTACCACAAGTACCTTCATAATATCCTCAATTTTACCACCTTAGCCCACAAGGCCGAAAATATTTACTATCTGGCCCTACACAGAAAAAAAAGTTTGGTAATATTTGCTACAGCCTATGATTAGAATTTAGACAGAACTTTATGTGGCAAGCAAATAGTATTATTTTTGCTTGTGTGTTTGTTTGAGACAGAGTCTCGCTATGTTGCCCAGGCTGGCCTTTGAACTCCTGGGCTCCAGCGATCCTCCTGCCTTGGTCTCTGGAGTAGCTGAGACTACAGGTGCATGCCAGCACACCCAGTGTGAATAGTATTATTTTTATGTCAATGTTTAGATTACTTTTTGTTTTCTAAAATAATGTTATTTATAAAATCAACACATTCTCATCACTAAATTCACTCCTAATCCAATTATACGAAAACACCTACTATTATTGTGTGTTGTAGAGTTCTTTCAGGTCTTTTTTTTTTTCAATAGATGTGTGTGGGTTTTTGCATAACTTAAATCGTTATAACTATTATAATTACATTATGACATAAGGTGGTTTTAATTCCATATTGTGTTATAGTCTTCATAGGATGTCAGTTTTAAAAAATTATAGTTAAAGCCTGCATAATGGAATCATTGAGTTGTTGTACTATAATTTCTTTAAGCAACCTGATTTCAGCTCCTCTATAAGAGAAATATTAGACTGGCACATTATTCCCTTATTCTGGTTCACTACAAACTTGGGGATTACAAAATTCCTCTAAGCTCCAGGAGTTTCTCAATCATATCTTAATACAACCCAATCTCATATCGCAGCATTTCATCCATCCTTCATGAATTTTCTACTTACATCATTTTCATGTTAAATATTGCCTGGTTTCCACTTTAGGTGAAAAAAAAAATAAAGTTTAACATAAGTGGATTTAAAACTGTAGTGAAAAATAAGTGTCCTATACACCTAGAAAAGATATAAAAACTCATTCAGTTAAGAATAGTCTCCAAAGTAACCAAGATCCTAAAAGAAATAAGGCTAGAAGCAAAAGACAGCAGAATAAAGATGCACCTAATGTAAGTCTTCCCTCTTTATTTGAATCAGTTCTCAACATGGTAAAAAGAGGGCCAAATGAGAGTCAACCCAAATGTGGGTTCTATTCCCATCTCCGACCTGAGTCCTTACCCTCAGTTTACCCATATATACAATTCGTTGACATTTTAAGTTTCCCTAAACACTTACTTGATTGTACCATGAAAACAATGGTGTGTCTTCAAGCAGCCTTTTCATATCCAAAGGGAAGAGGAAAACGTTGTCTATTGCTGACAGGAAGGAAAAAGCTGGGTATGTGGAGTTTGAGGGCATCGGTGTGGAATCAGTAAGACCCTTCATAAAGAACACCACAGGCCACTCAGGATAAATCTTGGCAGCAGACTCTACGGAACAGGAGACCAAATGGGGTGGCTCCATTCTCTCTGAGGTCTCTAGAAACACAATGCCACGTCTGTGGCTCAGGAGGGCTTCCAGCCCCTGGTGGGACTTGAAAGAAGGCAAACAGAAGAGGCAGCTGGACTTCAGGGTGAACTGGTAGAGGAAGCCACAGACAAGCAGCAAGGTGACTGACAGGGAGAGCTGGAGCTCCTTCCGCATGTCCTCTTCTCTGTGCCAGCCTGCTCCTTTAAATCAACACAATTAATTAAAAATCACAGCTGCAAAACCTGACAAAGATAGCACACAAGAAAATGATACATGAATATCATTTAAAAACTTAAATTTTAAATATCCTAAATAAAATATGATGAAATCAAGTCCAGCAATATTAAAAAAAAAATGCAGCCAGGCATGGTGGCATATGCCTGTAGTCCCAACTACTAGGGAGGCTGAGGCAGGAGGATCCCCTGAGTCCAAGAGTTCAAGACTAGCTTGGGCAGCATAGTGAAAATCATCACAAAAATTTAAAAAAAAAGAAAAAGAAAAAGACAAGAAATATGTGAGAAAGAAAAATGCATCATAACCAATCAGGATTTATCTTAGATTTTAAAATGATTTGACATTAAAAATAATTAGTTAATAGGGAAAACTATTGATAAAATGCATTATCTTAACAGTCTAAAGAAGAAAAGCCATATGATCATTTTGGCTCAAGAGATGCCAAGAATGTGACTAACTTTAAGATCCATTCACAATTTTTTTAAAGTACAAGGAAACTTTCTTAAGCTGATTTTAAACAATGTCTACCAGAACATATAGCAATTATCATACTTAATATGAAACATTTGAAACATCCCATTAAGATCAGGAATATGATATGAATGTCCATTGTCATTGTCACTGACATCATTGGTTACAATCTGATAATTGTAACCAATGCAATAAAACAAGAGAAATGAATTTCTACTACGAATATTAAAAGAGGCAAAAGTATCTCTAGGTTCAGAAAACATAACTGAAAAACTAATAGAACTAAGAAAAAAAATTAACAAAGGAAGCAAACTGAAGGCTAAAGAGTTAAATAAATTGCCAAGATCACACGATTAGCAAGTAGCAGAGCTGTGACTGTAACTTGCATCCACCTGCCACCAAAGTCCAGGCTCTGAACCGTTACCTGCAGTGCTTTCCTCACCAAAAATGTTAGCTCTAACCAAGGAGAACACAGATCTCACGTCTTGGCAGGTCTATCTTTCAAATTACATATAACCCTTTTAGAAAATACAAAACAGTGAATCAGAGCCTAACTTCTAGCTGCAAATGCAGTTAACCAGTATTTGAGGTCTTAGAAATGACAAGTTCTTCCTGCTACACTTTCTGATAAATCACCACCCAATCTTCCAACTCAACAACACAGGGGTAAGTAAATCATTGGCAGATTGAGACTAAACACAAAAAGTTCCCAGGAAGCTCCTCCCTTTACTAAGTTCTCCCAAACACAGCCACTTGGGAACAAGAGGGGTTTACCAGATTTTTAAGGTGACCCACACACTAATCCTGCCTGTTTGTGGATCTATTATGGGGGTTATAAAGGGATTATTTCACCTGGAGAAAACTGTATCCTGGCATAACCTTGGAGCCAACATATCCTGCACTTGATCAGTTTAGCTTGAATCAAAATTATGGACAGAGACCCTGTAAGGTGGTACAAACTCCCCTTTGCAAGCACAAAGTTTGATTAAAAGGAAAGAGAGCCCATCACCACAAATAAGCAATGAACAAAGCCCTGCAGTCCAAAGGCCCAGTGATCTAGAATGAGAAGTGATTCCCCAGTGTCAGTCACAGTGGCTGCAGGAAGGCTCCTTTTTCCCCAAGGTCCCCCTTATGGGGTATAAGCCTCGTCCCAGTCTCAGGAAGCCAGCTTTGTTGTCCTCCACTGATGTGGCAGTCCCCACATTTCCCAAGGTGTTAGCACTCACCTGTGGCCTATTCTCCACCGCCCCTGAAATGAGCTCTTAGCAATCTTCTTTGGAGCCATCCTCTGCTGAGAGTCACCTGTCTTGGCCATGAGCAGGTATTCACAGTTCCCCCTGGATGCTCTAGTGTGAGCAGGTAGGCCTGCTCCTGAGCAGACTTTAGATTCTAACATAGCAGGTCCTACATGAAGGGAGTTAAAGCTGCCCCACTCATTGATGGCTTCTGGTTTTCTATGTGTCCAAGGACCCCAGAAACAGCTTGTAGGTCTCCACAAACCTCTTCCTTTTGGAGCTGAATTTCTTCTCTGGACCTCATTAATTCTGGGCTCAGAGTGCCTTGGCATCTTTCCAAAGTTCTCTGTAATTGGACAGATTGGTTGTTCTTTCCTATGAAGGGGAGTGGAGATTAGTGCTCCTGCTCCTTGCCCAGGGGTAACTAGAGGACCCCATCTGTGGGAGTGATAACACATTCCTGGGCCTCAGGTGGGTCACATATCTTAGTGCCTCCCAACTGCTAGCCCAGTGGCTAAAACTATTGAACAAGTGGTCAAGGCAGAGATCAGTGATGTAGTTAATGGCCTTTGTCAGGTGAGGATGAATGTGAGCATCAGCAATGCAGTGAAATCCCAAGCACAAAAGTAGGACCTATCTGACCAAGAACCAAGTAGAAAGCATGATGGAAGTAGCACTGAGCTTGGAGTTATGCCTCCAGCCACCACAGGCTGAGGGCACTAGACAAGCCCCTAAACTGCCCAGAGCCTCAACTCCCTTGAAAAGTGCAGAAAATGACCGACCTCAGGCTCACTGTGAGAATGAAAGTTCTCTTTAAACCAAAGAAGTTATTGTCACTTTCTACCAAGGAAAATAGAAGAGAAAAATAGAATTATATCAATATGGATGGTATTTGTACTCCCTGATAACAAACATTAAGTTGTTTTGTTTTGTTCAGATGAGTGAAATCTATTCCCTATTCTAACCTTGTTTTTTTTTTTTTTGTTTTTTTTTGAGACAGAGTCTCCCTCTGTTGCACAGGCTGGAGTGCTGTGGTGTGATCTTGGCTCACTGCAACCTCTGCCTCCCTGGTTCAAGTGATTCTCCTTCCTTGGCCTCCCAAGTAGCTGGGACTACAGGCATGTGCCACCATTCCTAGATAATCTTTGTATTTTTAGTAGAGACAGGGTTTCACCATATTGGCCAGGCTGGTCTCGAACTCCTGACCTCAAGTGATCCGCCCACTTTGGCCTCCCAAAGTGCTGGGATTACAGGCATGAGCCACCGCGCCTGGTCCCCAGTGAACTTTTAAGAGGGAAATCTTCAACCCTGTATAAGAGTTGATGAGATGCGTTCAGAAGCCAGGTCACTGGTACTTGGAGCCTCTGTAGGTTCATAGCCCAAAGTCCTTCCTGTGTCTTTCTGAGAAGGCCTCCTGTCATCTGAGCCACTCTACCTGGAACTTCTCAGGGCCCCCAACATCCATCCTTCAGCATTCCCTTTGGTTTGAGAAACAGAACTACTTTCCCTTCCTTCTGCACCCCTTTCTGCCTTTCCTGGCCTATACCACACTAACTTCTGTCTGTTCAGGCAGGTGTCACAGCAGCAGCTCTTAACCTGGACTTTACAGATCCCTAGAAGCTCCAAGGATGGGCTTCAGGAGACCCTGAACCCTGGCACCATATTTTACATCAGTACCTTAACCCAGGATGTCACTTGTCCATACCTTTTCCTACATATCACCTTCCCTAAGAAATGTCCCTGCTCCCTGACCCTCCTTGACACTAACTCTGCTCAAAATTCTTCTGGATTTCTTCACTACACAATCTCAGGCCTTCTCCAACTAGCCAAGCAACCCCTAGGAACCCCAATGTAGATATCTGAGTAGAGATGTACAAAGAACTACTTGTCTTTGAGCAATGGATGTGTCTGAATACAGCGATGGCAGTCACATATGCATTCAGGTGTTGTCTACTTTCCTAGGAATTTCTGAGTCGTGTGAAGAGTTCTTGCTTCCTCCATTATAATGTAAGCCAGACTTGGTCAATCCAACAGACTATGGAGCCTGGGCAATTGTTGCTGACTGATGAGAACTTAGGAAATGTGAATTGATGTGGCCCCAAATAAATTAACAGGATAAGACAAAACCTCTGAATTCAGCGTTTTTCTATTATACTTGGATGTTTGGAACTAGTGTTAAAAAAAAAAAAAAAAAGGGCAGACCAGGGAGAAAAACCATAGAACTGGAGGAGAAGAGGAGACATTTCCCCAACTCTTCAGCCCTATGGATGACCTCTGATAACCTCAATTGAAAATAGTTCAGTGTTTGGCACTAAACTTCCTCCTTCTACAGGACCCACTGTATTAAGAAGGGGAAGTTAAAATAATTTTTTTAACAATAAATGTTTGTCGAATTGAATTTCACATGAAAAGCACAATGCTTAATTCTATAGCTTCTTTGAACTCAGATTTATTGCAAGAAGGAAATTTTCAACCCAGCAATATTTGTCCTCTTTACTTTGGAGCCTTTGGAACCACAGTTCCTGTTTTAACATATTTGTTAAGCAAGCGGGGCTGATAAACTTGTTAAAGCATTCAGTTATTAACAGGGAAAAACCAATACACAAAGTGATATCTTATCAACAATGCCAATTCCCTTCACCACTGTTCTGAAGTTGGAACAAAGACTGGAATGCTGGGTTTACATGAATGGAGAGGAGATGGCTGGACAGAGGCATTTCACTGCAGACTAAGAACAATCCATAGCATAACACTAGGAAACCCATAGAGGAATAATAAAATAATTGACATGCATTAAGGACTGACATTATCAACATTAAATCCTGAAAAAAGTAATTGTTAAAAAGTATTTTTCACTAAAAATCAATGAGTTAGCACCGGAGTAAAATCTCTTTGTCCCTTAGCAATATTTTAAACTGTTCTGCATTTCCAGGGAAATGAATCTAGCCTTGTGTATCTGGTGATAATGCTCTTTGTTCTCCACTCAGCCACAGCAGTCAAACATGCCCCTGTTTGCAACACTTTACATAGCTATCAATAATTGATTTCCGGGTTTGTTCTGGAAATTATTGTGTTCACACATGTAGTTTCCCCTCTTTGTTAAATTTACTTGCAGATAAAAGAGTAGGTGGGGGATAAGGTCAGGGAGATAAGGGGAAAAAAGTTAATAAATGTTCCCTATAAACCAGTTGTGCCCCAGACACCACTTTCAAAGACTGAAGAACAGGGTCTGCAAGAAGCCTATAGAAAAGAGTGGCACCTTTCTGAGAGCGAGGGGCTATTTGAAGCGACCTTGCTAAGTTCTGTAAGCCGGAGTTTAGTTCCTTTTTCCTGTAAGGAACAGAAATCAGCTTAGGGTCATCTATGCTAAGTGTCCACATGGCACAGGACTTTATAAAGCCTGAGTGTCTGAGAATGAGCACTTTCCAATATGGCTGAAAGAAACTGTTATGGATTGAATGTTTGTGCCCCTCTATATGTTGAAGCCCTAACCCACAATGTGATGGTGTTTGGAGGCAGGGCCTTTGGAGGTAAGTAGGTTTAGAATAGGTCCCTGAGAAGAAGGGGAAGATAGATCTCTCTCTCTCTCTCTCTCTTCATATACACCATGGAAAGGCTACGTGAGCAACATAGAGAGAAAGTGGCTACAATAAATGTCTGTTGTTTAAGCCACCCAAACTGTGGTATTTTGTTATAGCAGCCCATGCTAAGACAGAAACCCCAGGGTAGGTTTCTTCTGTCCAATCCCCTTACACATGTTTTTATGAGAATCTGTTTTTGAGCCATGAGTGAAATTAGAGCTGTTCTTAAGATATACAGAACTGGGACCAGGCTTCAGTGGGGAAGGAGTAACTTCATCTGCAACAGAAACCTGTAGCAAGTGGAACTGTCCTCCTAACCTGAGGCCTCTCTGCCTTTCCTTCCTTTTGTCCTTCCACACACCCCTACTCTGTCCTCTTGCTATGTCTTTTCTCTTTAAATGGAGATCCCTGGTCTTCCTTATCTCAGTGACTGACAATCACCATGCACTCAGTTGCCCAAGCCAGAAACCAGAGGCTAATTCTTAACTCTTCTTTCTTCTTACCCCTCACATCTAAGCTATAAAGTTCAGGTCCTCTGAGAAGCAGACACTATGATGAAATTAACTGTGCAAGGTTTTATTGGGGAAATGCATATTTCAGAAAAAGAGGAAGAAAGCCTTGTATGGCTGGGACAGTTGTGAAGCCACAATGAAGATCGGAGAAAAGTTGAGGGAAGCATTCTAGGCTGGCTTGTCTAAGGCTGTCCTTGTCTAAAGAAGGTTCAGCATAATCACTGGGGAGTTCTCAAGCCAAAGTCAGTCATATAGGCTGGGCGCGGTGGCTCACACCTGTAATCCCAGCACTTTGGGAGGCCGAGACAGGTGGATCACCTGAGATCAGAAGTTCAAGACCAGCCTGGCTAACATGGTGAAACCCCGTCTCTACTAAAAATACAAAAATTAGCCAGGAGTGGTGGTGGGCACTTGTAATCCCAGCTACTCGGGAGGCTGAGGCAGGAGAATGGCTTGAACCCAGGAGGTGGAGGTTGCAGTGGGCCGAGACCACGCCATTGCACTCCAGCCTGGGAGGCAGAGTGAGACTTCGTCTAAAAAAAAAAAAAACAGTCAGTCATAGAGTCGTTCTGCGTCACCCAAAAGTGGGTCTACCTTAATACTCTTGCCACATCCAGTCACTGGATGCCTGTGGAAGGAGTGGCCTCAGCATAAAATCAGTGATGTATTTTATAGTGCAGCAGCAGCAGCCAGGACCCCTGGTCTGTTGTGCTCTTTCTAGCTGGAGGTCTGTGAGGCACATTCTCACAACTGCCACAGTGCACCCCTTGAGCTTCACAGATTTACTTCTGCACATAGGTTCCAGAAGCCTTTCTTCCTGGGAGGAACTAACAAGAAGGAGGTTACTGATGTGAACTACAGCCCCTGTCACTCTAGTTGATCTCGAGCAGCAACTCATCTTGTCCCTTCTCAATATTCATTCTAAATTCCCTTCATCCTCAGAAGGTTCCTCATCAGAGGTTGGTGGCTCAGCTGGTTGTGCAACTCACCTCCCTGAGGTGCTAAATGCTTGATTGTCGTAACTTTCTCAGTTCAGGGTTGCTGCACATGTCTGTTCACAGTTACAGTGGGGCAAGGGAGTACCAAGAGGCCCAAAGTGGATCTCATAGGTACCATATCTATTCCTCCCTGCTGCTATTGTGTGAGAGCAGCCTTACCTCCTCTTGCCAATCAGGGTTAATTACTTCTACCAGTGTAACTATTTTTTACTTGCTGGTGCCAAAGCACAAGGAGTCCAAGATGCCCTGCAGTAGTTTGTAATACAGGGGGACTCTTGCAGTATCACCTGGCAAGAATCTTCTCTATTTGGGACAAGAACCTCCAACACTGAAGAGCTCAGAGTTTCAGGAATAAAAAACACAAAATCTCCTAGTAGATCATTAGGAGTGAGGATTAGTGGGGCCACTCCTATTTACACCTCCTTAATGCCTGTATCCTTCCTACTGGGAACAAGGCACCCAATACACAACTCTGGATAGACATAAATATGTTGTGTCCTGAAGGATGGCATCCCACTCTTTCAGAGTATTTCCTCCAAGCAAGCACTTCAGTTGCACTTTTAGAAGGCCATTCCAGAAAGTTGCCTCTGGGTGGTGTGATATGTGATACAACCAGTGGATCCCCTGGTCATGGGCCCACTCCTCACTGTAAAATGGTGGTCAAATTCTATGTTATATGAGATTCCATGCCTGTGTACCAGGCATTTCATAACCCTCAGATAGTGCTGTAGCTGAGGTGTTACAGGAAGGAAAGGAAAATTCATATCAGGAATTTTCATTCCTGTGGGGATGAACCATTGGCTCTTTCAAGGTGTGATGGTTAATTTTATGTGCCAACTTGACTAGGCTAAAGGATGCCCAGATAGCTGGTAAAACATTATTTCCAGGTGTGTCTGTGAGGGTGATTCCAGAAGAAATTAGCATTTGAATCAGTAGACTAAGAAGATCCACCCTCACCAATGTGGGTGGGCATCATCCAATCTGTTAAGAGCCTAAACAGAACAAAAAGGCTAAGGAAGGGTGACTTCCCTTTCTCTCTCTCTCTTTCTCTCTCTGTTTGTGAACTGGGACATCCATCTTCTCCTGCTCTCAGACATTGGAGCTCCTGGTTTTGGGCCTTCAGACTCTAGGACTTACTCCAGGCTCTCCCCTAACCATTCCCCAGTGCCGCCCCAACAGCCCCATAAACACACAGTTCTCAGGCCTTCAGACTTGGACTGAATTACACCACAAGCTTTCCTGGTCTTCAGCATGCAGATGGCAGATCATGGCACTTTTTGGTCTCCATAACTGGGTAAGCCAATTCCCATAATAAACCTCCTCTTATATATCTACATCTATCCCATTGGTTCTGTTTCTCTGGAGAATCTTGATTAATACACAATAGAAGGGGTGTGATGTGGTCAACCAATCTGGCACCAAGTAGCCACTTGGTCCCTTCAGTAAATAATGCCATATCAGAGACTTAATGTTGATCTCTGTTGCTGACAAGTTGGGCATTCAGAGACAGCAGTAGTTAGTTTGGTCCTGGTAAGTGGGAGTCTGTGCTGTTAGGCCAATACATGGCCTCTGTCTTTGCCATGATAGCCCTTCCATTTATGTTCCCATCATGCAAATTTTGGGGTAGTGACCAGTTGCTAGATTGTCAGCAGTACCCCAGTGTTCCTGTGAGACGTCTCACTGTTGTTCTATTGGCATTTCTCTGATAATTCATGAGTTGAAGTATCACTTCACAAAAAGTTAGCTTTTTGGTTTCCTCTTGTGTAAATTGCCTTTTCATGTAATTTGCTCATCTTTCTGTTGGATTCTCTTCCTTTTTATTGTAAATCTACAACTTCCCTATAAAATATAGATATTAGTCTAGTGTTGGTTTTAAATATTGCAACTATTTTCTCCCAACATGTCGCCTGGTTTGTCTTTCTATTTAACAGATATTCTTATTTTGATGTAATAAATACAGGAGTTATTTTGTTGAATAACTTGTGTCTTGGAGATCTTTTTGAAAAAGACCTTCCTCACTCCTAAATTACAAAAATATTCTCCTACATTTTTTCTTTTTCCTGTATAATTTTTTTTTTTAAATGGAGTCTTACTCCATCACCAAGGCTGGAGTGCAGTGGCACAATCTCAGCTCACTGCAATGTCTACCTCCTGGGTTCAAGCAATTCTCCTGTCTCAGCCTCCCAAGTAGCTGGGATTACAGGCACACATCACCATACCCAGCTAATTTTTGTTTTATTAATAGAGACAGGGTTTCACTATGTTGGCCAAGCTGGTCTCAAACTCCTGATTTCAAGTGATCTTCCTGGCTCAGCCTCCCAAAGTGCTGGAATTACAGGCATGAGCCACTGCACCCGGCCATTCTGTATAATTTTATAGATTAAATTAAGTTTATTCATTCATCTGGAGTCCACGTTTGTACATGATAAGATACGGAGATTGGCTTTTCCTTTTCTCCCTATAGAGAAACTGTTTCCACAACATTATCTACAAAACATTTCATGTTTTCTCTGTTGGGTTGTGATGCCAGTGCTATCACACAGCAAGTCTCCATATGCATGTCATATATATGTACGTATTTGAATCTGTCTCTGAGTTTTTTCTTCTGTTCCACTGGTCTAATTGTTCTGTACCTGTACTTCTTTGCCTGTACTTTTAAAATTCCACTGGCTTTGTCTGGTAGTCTTAATCCATGGTAGGTATTGAAGGACTGCATCCTTTTCTGATTTCCCCACATGTCCTTGGAGCAGCTGCCTCAGCATAACAAAATGGCTGCAAAAGGCAGAAGCAATAGTGAGACGCTTGTCCTTAGAATAAATTGATAGAAATGAATGAAGATTAAGGAACAGGTTAAAAAAAAAACTGTGACTGGATAGAACATTTTCTTGGAAGAAATGAAGAAAAAAGAAGTAGGAGAGGAAGAGGAGAAGGACTAAAAGAAAAAGAAACAGGTATCAGCAATAACAGCTTTTGAGAGGAAAGAATTTGAAGAATTTGAAACTGTTTAGAAGCAAAAAAACCACAAACTATTAGTGAAAATGATAGCCCAAAATAAGTGCAGGATGTGGTACAAACATAAATTTTATCTCAAGAGATCTCAGCAGAGTTTTAGGAAAATAATAACAGCAGCCATATAATTTTTTAATCTCTCCAAATCCCCATATAAAAATGAGTAGAGCAACTATATTTTAAAACCAGAATACCACAGGCAAAATTTACTACAAAACTAGGTGACAAGGTATCCCCATAAATCCCAAAATATATGTGGATGAGGACAGACCACCAATAGCCCCAAGAATTGCAGGGTATCAGCTCTGTGCTGAAAAAAGCAGAGAGAGATGATCAGACCTGAAAGCAGAAGAAACTCAAAGCATCCAAAAGATACTCACCAGAAAGCATGGCAAGGCAATGTGGGAACAGCACCGAAACTGGGGGAGGTTTTGTCCAGTATAATAGTGCATGAAGGCAAGGAGGCCAAAGAAAATATGAAGGGGCTAGAATAGTCTGGACCTCTGTGAACTTGGAAAATTGAGCAACCAGGCCTCCTCTCCAATACGGAGCCCCACACTGAAGAGAAACTGATAGGAATAGAATGAAAATTGTAAAAGACAGGGAATTTCACTTCCAAAAAGATGAAACAAAGGGACCAGGTTGACCCTGTCACGTGAAACAAACAAAAAATAGACAACATATACAAAATAATGGTTTTTAAGACCCTGAACATCAGGCAATGGACAGTAATCCCTGAAAGATGGGAAACAAAGGTGAGCCCTGTGATTGTCCTAGCTTACTGCCTCAGGACAATTTCTAGGCCACAGTACAGGGAGGGGAAACCCAGGCAGAGCTCATAGACTCTGCATTGAAAAGACAAAGCTATCCTCATCTCTCACCTTATACAAAAACCAACTCAAGGTAGAAGACTTAAATCTAAAACCTGAAGCCATAAAAATTCTTTGCCCAAGCCAATGTCTAGAAGAGTTTTTCTGAAGATAACATCAGAAAAACTCCTCTAGACCTTCTAGACATAGGCTTAGGCAAAGAATTCATGACTAAGACCCCAAAAGCAAATGCAACAAAAACAGAAATAAATAAATGGGACCTAATTAAACTAAAAAGCTTCTGCAGAGCAAAAGAAATAAATCAGCAGAGTAAACAGACAACCCACAGAGTGGGAGAAAAAAATTGCAAACTATGTATCCAATAAAGGAGTAGTATACAGAATCTACAAGGAATGCAAACAAATCAACAAGAAAAAAATAATCCCATCAAAAAGTGGGCAAAGAACATGAATACACATTTCGCAAAAGAAGATATACAAACAGCCAAGAAACATATGAAGAAATGCTTGGCCGGGCGCAGTGGCTCATTCCTGTAATCCCAGCTCTTTGGGAGGCTGGGGCAGGTGGATCACTTGAGGCCAGGAGTTCAAGACAAGCCTGGCTAACATGGTGAAACTCTGTCTCTACTAAAAATACAAAAATTAGCCGGGGGTGGTGGTGCATGCCTGTACTCCCAGCTACTCGGGACGTTGAGGCAGGAGAATCACTTGAATCCAGCAGGCGGAGGTTGCAGTGAGCCAAGATCATGCCACTGCACTCCAGCCTGGGCTACAGAGTGAGACTCTGTCTCAAAAAAAAAAAAAGAAAATAAAAAAGAAATGTTCAACATCACTAATCATCAGAAAAATGCAAATTAAAACCACAATGAAATACCACCTTACTCCTGCAAGAATGGCCATAATTAAAAAGTCAAAAAACAATAGATGGATGGCCAGGCGCAGTGGTTCATGCCTGTAATCCCAGCACTTTGGGAGGCCAAGGCAGGTAGATCACCTGAGGTCAGGAGTTTGACACCAGCCTGGCCAACATGATGAAACCCCATCTCTACTAAAAATACAAAAAATTAGCTGGGTGTGATGGTGGGTGCCTGTAATCCCAGCTACTCGGGAGACTGAGACAGGAGAATCGCTTGCACCCAGGAGGCGGAGGTTGCAGTGAGCCAAGATCGTGCCATTACATTCCAGCCTGGGCAACAAAGCAAGACTCTGTCTCAAAAAAAAAAAAAAAAAAAAAAACACCAGTTACACCAGTTAGGATTAAAGACAGATTTGACATTGCAGAAGAAAATAGTGGTGAACTGGAAGGTACGACAATAGAAACTATCCACAGTGAAACACAGAGAGAAAAAAAAGAATTTCAAAAATGAACAAAAGATCACTGTGCTATGAGACTTCAAGTCACCTAGTATATGTGTAACTGATATCCCCAAAGAAGAGGAAAGAGAGTGAAGACAGAAAAAATAACTTCTAAAAATAATACCCAGCTGGGCAGTGGCTGCTGCCTGTAATCCCAGCACTTTGGGAGGCTGAGCTGGACAGACCACCTGAGGTCGGGAGATCGAAACCAGCCTGACCAACATGGAGAAACCCCGTCTCTACTAAAAAATCCAAAATTAGCTGGGCGTGGTGGCACATGCCTGTAATCCCAGCTACTCGGGAGGCTGAGGCAGGAGAATTGGTTGAACCTGGGAGGCGGAGGTTGCAATGAGCTGAGATTACGCCATTGCACTCTAGCCTGGGCAACAAGAGCGAAATTCCATCTCAAAAATAAATAAATAAATAAATAAAATAATACCCAAAATGTTTTCAAATTTGATGGAAATTATAAAAGCACGGACCCAAGAAGCTCAACTAACCCAAGTGTAAGAAATATGAATTAAACTATATCGACACATCATAATCAACTTGCTCAAACCCAGAGTAGAGAGAAGATATTAAAAGCAGTCAAAGATAGCAGCAATTAACAAGTAGAATTTGAATTAAAAATACAATGCCATTTACATTAGCAACCCCCAAAAATTAAATACTTAGGTGTAAATCTAACAATTATGTATAAGATCTATGTAAGGAAAACTACAAATCTCTGATGAAAAAAATAAAATAACTAAATAATTGGAAAGATATTCCATGTTCATGGATAGGAAGACTCAACATTGTCAAGATGTCAGTTTTTCCCAATTTGGTCTATAGATTCAATGCAATACCAATCAAAATCCCAGTAAGTTGTTTTCTAAATATTGTTTAAATGATTTCAGAGTTTACATAGAGAGGCAAAAGGCCCACAATAGCCAACATAATATTGAAGGGGAAAAACAGTTAAAAGACTAACACCACCTGACTTCAAGACTTATTATAAAGCTAAAATAATCAAGACAGTGTGTTATTGGCAACATAATAGACAAATAGATTAATGAAACAGAATAGACAGCCCAGAAATAGATCCTTATAAATACCGTCAACTGATCTTTGACAAAGAAGCAAAGGCAATACAATGGAGAAAAGATAGTTTTTCAACAAATGGTGCTGAAACAACTGAACATCCACATGCAAAAAAAAAGAATCTAGACACAGACCTTACAACCTTCATAAAAATTAACCTAAAATGGATCACAGACCTAAATGTAAAACACAAAACTATAAAACTCCTAAAAGATAGCTCAAAAGAAAATCTAGATGACCTTGGGTTTGGCAATGACTTTTTAGATACAACAGTAAAGGCATGATCTACAAAAAAAAAGAATTGATAAGTTTGACTTCGTTAAAATTATTATTTCTCCTTCATGAAAGACACTGTCAAGAATTTTTTAAAGCAACAAACTTATAGAAAATATTTGTAAAAGACATATCTGATAAATGACCGTTATCCAAAATATACAAAAACTCTTAAAACTCAACAATAAGAACATAAATAATCTGATTTAAAAATGGACCAGGCCAGGCATGGTGGCTCATGCCTGTAATCCCAGCACTTTGGGAAGCCAAGGCGGGTGGATCATTTGAGGTCAGAAGCTTGAGACCAGCCTGGCCAACATAGCGAAACTCTGTCCCTGCTAAAAATACAAAAATTAGCCAGGCATGGTGGCATGTGCCTGTAATCCCAGCTATTAGGCGGGCTGAGGCAGGAGGATCACTTGAACCTGGGAGGTGGAGGTTGCAGTGAGCCGAGATCGTGCCACTGCACTCCAGCCTGGGCAACAGAGCAAGACTCCATCTCAAAAAATAAATAAATAAAATAAAATAAATAAATAAAAATAAAAATGGACCAAAGCCCTTAATAGATACCTCACCAAAGAAAATATGCAGATAGTGAATAAGCATATGAAAAGATGCTCCACATCACATGTAATTAGGGAATTGCAAATTAAAACTGTAGTGAGATCCACTACACACCAATTAGAATGACTAAAATCCGAAACACTGACAACAAATGTTTAGCAAGGATGTGGGGCAACGAGAACTATTATTCCTTGCTATGGGAATGCAGAACGATGTAGCCACTTTGGAAGACAGTTTGGTAGTTTCCTACAAAACTAAACATACTCTTAACATGCGATTCAGCAGTCACAGTCCTGCGTATTTACCCAAGGGTGCTAAAAGCTTGTGTCCACACAAAAACCTGCACATGGATATTTATAGCAGTTTTATTCACAACTGCCAAAACTTGAAAGCGACCAAATGTCCTTCAGGAGGTGAATGGATAAACTGTGGTACTTCCAAGCAATGAAATATTGTTCAATGCTAAAAATAAATGAGTTATCAAGCCATGCAAAGACATGTAGACACAAATGCATATTGCAAAGTAAAATGGCTGGTCTGAAAATGCTACATGCTTTATGTTTCCAACTATATGACATTCTGGAAAATGCAAAACTATGGAGCTAGTAAAAAGATCAGTGGCTACCAGGGTTACAAGGAAGAAGAGATGAATAGACAGGGCATACAGGATTTTTAGGGCAATGAAACTACTCTGTATGATACCATAATGGTGGGTACATGTCACTATACATTTATCCAAACCCCTGGAATACACAACACCAAGACTGAACCCCAGTGTAAACTAGGGACTTTGAGTGATAATGATGTAGCAATGTAGGTTTGTCAATCATAACAAATGTACTACTCTGGTGGAGGATGTTGATAATAGGAAAGATTGTGCATGCGTGAAGGTAGGAGGTATATAGGAAATCTCTATACCTTCCTTTTAATTTTGTTGTAAATCTAAAACTGCTCTAAAAATACTGTCTTTTTTAAAAAGCAGTTAGAGGTGGAGAAATGCATGTTACATACAAGGAGCAAAGACATGGATGACAGCAGATTTCCCATCAGAAACTATACAAAAAAGAAGGCAGTGAGGCAACATTTGAAAGTGAAAAACAACAAGAAGAACTATCAACATAGAATTCTACCCCCTGTGAAAATATCTTTCAAGCCAGGCACGGTGGCTCACGCCTGTAATCCCAACACTTTGGGAGGCCGAGGCGGGCAGATCAAGAGGTCAGGAGATGGAGACCATCCTGGCTAACACGGTGAAATCCTGTCTCTACTGAAAATACAAAAAATTAGCCGGGCGTGGTGGTGGGCGCCTGTAGTCCCAGCTACTCGGGAGGCTGAGGCAGGAGAATGGCGTGAGCCTGGGAGGCGGAGCTTGCAGTGAGCCAAGATCGAGCCACTGCACCCTAGCCTGGGCAACAGAGCCAGACTCTGTCTCAAAAAAAAAAAAAGAAAAGAAAATATCTTTCAAATTTGAAGGCAAAATAAAGACTTCTTTAAGTTATACAAAGGGTGAAAGAATTTATCACAAATAGATTTGCAGTACAAGAAATATTAAAATAAGTCCTTCAGGCAGTAGAAAAATTATATGAGGAAATATGGATTTACACAAGGGAATGAAGAACACCAGAAATGAGTATATATGAGTAAATATGCAAAGGTTTAAAAATAACTTTAAAATTTTTCAAATATAAGTCATTGTTTAAATAAAAATCAAAACAATGTAGTGTGGAGGTTATAACACACATAAAAGTAAAATATATGACTAAATAGCATAAACGCTGTGAGGGAAGCAATGGTAGTATATGATTATAAGGTCCTTACACTATATGCAAAGTAGGATATCACTTGAAGGCAAAAAGTCATAACTTAAAGATATGTATTATAACACTAAAGTATCCACCAAAATGACACAACTGAGCTTATATCTAATAAGACAACAAAGGAGGTAAAAATTGAATCATAAAAATAGCAGATTATTCTACAAGAAGTCAGAAAAGGAAGAAATGGGGAACAAAAAACTGATGAGAAAAATAGAAAAAAGAAAGCAATATCAGTGACTTAAAATTGACCATATCAACAAGCAAAAACCAAAATGGGGAGAAAATGGAGAGCAGATAGGCAAAACAAACAAACAGACAAAAAAAAAAAAACACCCCCCCCAAAAAACAAAAAAGCTCTCAGTAATTGTATTATCCTGAGACTTTTGTGTGAATAATGTAGTCAAAATAAATGAGTGATTATAGAGTACTCTAATTCTATCATAACCTAGCTCCTTGAAAATCAGGATTTCCAATGTGGTGGATAGAAATATATCCAATATAGAAAAGGTTAAGCAAAACACCCTATAGTCCAGAATTTGAATTATAAGTATCAGTATGAACTTGGGATATTTTGCCGTGTGTGTGTGTGTGTGTGTGTGTGTGTGTGTGTGTGTACATTTCCTAGCTATCATTGAAGACCATTGTAAACAATGGTCAATACAGTAGCAATTAGCCATCCTTTAACCCAAACAGATTGTGGTTTTGAAATATGCCTAAGAAAAATTAAGGCTTTTAGGGCAGGGCGCGGTGGCTCACACCTGTAATCCCAGCACTTTGGGAGACCGAGGTGGGCAGATCACGATGTCAGGAGACCGAGACCATCCTGGCTAACACGGTGAAACCCCGTCTTTACTGAAAATACAAAAAATTAGCCGGGCGTGGTGGTGGCTCCTGTAGTCCCAGCTGCTGGGGAGGCTGAGGCAGGAGACTGGCGTGAACCAGGAGGCAGAGCTTGCAGTGAGCCGAGTTCACGCCACTGCACTCCAGCCTGAGCGACAGAGTGAGAATCGTCTCAAAAAAAAAAAAAGAAAGAAAGAAAAAAGAAAAATTAAGGCTTTGAGAGGGAAATACTTCATTCAAGGCCTGAGGCAGGAAAAGTACATGTTTAATCTAGAATATATTTTCACACCAGATAGCAAGAAAGCTACTAGGGTCATGTCAAATGATTCAGGAACCAACTTGAGGAGGCTTCTACTGAACAAAAACAGGATACTCTTAGCTTTATAAGGCATAATCATTGCAATTGATCAAAACTCTTCAAATATATTTAAAATCCTAGACTCATGATATTTTTTAAAAACCTAATTGACCAGTTTTGGATCATGATAGATACCCAAATCACTATCTTGAAAATTCGTAAGAGAGAGAACCAAAGATTCATTTTATATTTTCTATATAAAATTGTCCTTGTGGTTACTGACAGTAAAAAGAGTAGTTATAAAAATATTTCAACTTATAGATGTATGTAAAAGCATTCCAACTAATACATGGCAAATAAATTATTGAGTTAGAATATTACAATTTTGCAACTCCCCGTAAATTAATGGATCTAGGCATTGGGCATCAACAGCTGCTAATATCAAAAAACGAGTGAAAACCAGGCATTATTTGCCTCCTGATGAATGAATACAGCACCACCTATGGACTTTTCAAAGGGATTATACCTAAATCCAATAAAGCCTCTGGCTCCAGCTGCCAATTTGCGGTAATACAGCCAATAGAGAAATGTGTTAAACTGTATCAAGAGCAAAATCCAGACTGTGAGAAACCACACATCAGAGGTTCCGATGTCTTAATCTGAAAAAATTGTAAAGCAAACAAAGAATGGAGGGGATTCCTGAAGATTAAAAGATACTTTAAGGCTGGGCGCAGTGGCTCATGCCTATAATACCAGCACTTTGGGAGGCCGAGGTAGGCAGATCACCTGAGATCAAGAGTTCAAGATCAGCATGGCCAACATGGTGAAACCCCATTTCTACTAAAAATACAAAAAATTAGCCAGTCGTAGTGGTGTATGCCTGTAGTATCAGCTATTCAAGAAGCTGAGGCAGGAGAATCCAGGAGGCAGAGGTTGCAGCGAGCGAAGATCGCGCCACTGCACTCCAGCCTAGGCCACGGAGTGAAACTCCATCTCAAAAAAAAAAAATGCTTTAAAGACATAGCAATTTTTGAATATACAATACTAAACTGTAGTGATTAGGATTGTACATGGATGGAAAACTGAAGAAACACAAAGAAGTGATTACTGTAGAAGACAGGATAATGGATAATGAAGGAAGGGAGGGAGTTGAGATCAGAATGGGGCATATGGAGGGTCTTCTGAGATGATTGGCAAAGTTCTAGCCACCCAGGTAACCTGGGTGGTAATTACAGGAGTATTCACCTTATAATAATTCAATAAGCCATATACTTGTGTTGTAGAATCTGATTCTGTGTTTTATTTTATTTTATTATTTTATTATATAAAAAGGCCTGCCAGGCACGACGGCTCACATCTGCAATCCCAACACTTTGGGAGGCCAAGGCAGGTGGATCACTTGAGGTCAGGAGTTCAAAACCAGCCTGGCCAACATGGTGAAACCCTATCCCTACTAAAAATACAAAAATTAGCCAGGCACAGTGGCACATGCCTGTAATCCCAGCTACTCAGGAGGCTGAGGCAGGAGAACTGCTTGAACCCGGGAGGCGGAGGTTGCAGTGAGCTGAGATCGTGCCACTGCACTACAGCCTGGGCGACAGAGCCAGACTCCATCTCAAAAAAGAAAGAAAAAAGGCCTAATGATTACAGAATCTTTAAGGGTAAGTCAGAGACAATGAAAAGCAAAGTTATAAATTCCCTATTATATAAAAACTTCTACAAATCAATAAGAAATTAAGATTTAATTCAATAAAAAAACAGGTAAAAATTGGCCAGGTACAGTGGTTCACACCTGTAATCCCAGCACTTTGGAAGGTTGAGGAGGGAGGATCCCTTGAGTCCAGGAATTTGAGACCAGCAGGGGTTACATATCGAGATTCCATCTCTACAAAAATTTTTTAAAAATTAGCCAGGTGTGGTGGTGTGCACGTGTAGTCTCAGCTACTTGGGAGGCTGAAGCAGGAGCATCACTTGAGCCCAGGAGTTCAAGGCTACAGTGATTTATGATGACACCACTGTACTCCAGCAGTCTAGGTGGCAAAGCGAGACCCCATCTCTAAAAAGAAAAAAAAATTATGACTAGACAGTTAACAGTAAAAGATAAGCAAAGGCTTATAAAATTTAATAATATAAGGTGTTGGGGAAGATGTGGAGAAACATACATTCCTGGAGGCGTAAATCTGTATCAACTTCTGTAGAGGGGAGTTGAGCTATACATATCAAAATTATAAACCAACATATCCTTTTTTTTTTTTTTTGAGACAGGATCTCACTCTGTCACCCAGGCTAAAGTGCAGTGGCATGATCTCAGCTCACTGCAACCTCCACCTCCTGAATTCAAGTAATTCTCGTGCCTCAGCCTCCCCAGTAGCTGGGATTACAAGTGCACGCCACCACACCCAGCTAATTTTTGTACTTTTAATAGAGGTGGGGTTTTGCCATGTCGGCCATGCTGGTCTTGAACTCCTGGGCTCAAGTTATCTGCCCATCTCACCCTCCCAAAGTACTAGGATTACAGGTGTAAGCCAGGCCTGACTAGCAATTCCATTACTAGGAATTTATCCTAGAGATCCAGTTACACATGGGTAAAATGACATACATATTCATTTTCATTGTTTTTATTATCAAAGGGTTAGAAACAACCTAATGTATATCAGTAGGAACTGGTTTAATAAGATACATTTATATAATGCACCCATAAAAAAACAAAAAAGACTTGTGTATGGACATGGAATCATCTCCAAGATATATTGATTGTTAAAGTGGAAAAGAGTAAAGTAACAAATAGAATATAGATTACCACCATATTCCTCAAAAGAGAGGAGAAAAAGATAAATTCAACTTATAATGTTGATTGACTCTAGAGAGAGGAACTGGGTGACTGGAAGACAGAGATAAAACAGATATGTTTTATTGTGTGAATATATGAGTAATTCAAAAAAAGAAAATTTAAAGAAAACCAAATGAGTATCCCAACAATGATGAACACAAGCTTATGATGAGAGTTCATAATTTTGATACAGGTATTACTGAAAAATTCAGGAAATCACCAGCAGTTTCCCACTTTGGACTCAGTAAGTCAGTAGGTGGAGAAGCTCAAAATGGACAAAGAAAAGCAACTGAAGGGCTGGGCATGGTGCCTTAGGTCTGTAATCCCAGCACTTTGGGAGGCTGAAGTGGACGGATCTCGAGGTCAGGAGCTCCAGACCAGCCTGGCCAACATGGTGAAACTCCATCCCTACTAAAAACACAAAAATTAGCTCAGCTTGGTGGCGGGCACCTGTAATCTCCAGAGGCTGAGACAGGAGAATCACTTGAACCCAGAAGGCTGAGGTTGCCATGAGCCAAGATTGCGCCACTGCACTTCAGCCTGGGCAACAGAGCAAGGCTCCGTCTTGAAAAAAAAGAAAAGAAAAGAAAAGAAAAGCAACTGAAATGCTTTGGAATCCTTTGATAATCTCACCTAGCCTTCCTTCTCCACATTTTATTTGTTAATAATAAATATAGTGGTCATATCAACATTTCACAGCGTTCTTTCTTGTATCAGTACTTTTATATACTTGATGTTGAGGCCGGGTGTGGTGGCTCATGCCTGTAATCCCAGCACTTTGGGAGGCCAAGGCGGGCAGATCACGAGGTCAGGAGTTTGAGACCTGCCTGGCCAACATGGTGAAACCCCTGTCTCTACTAAAAATACAAAAATTAGCTGGGCATGATGGTGGGTGCCTGTAATCCCGGCTACTTGGAAGGCTGAGGCAGGAGAATCGTGAACCCCAGAGGCGGAGGTTGCAGTGAGCTGAGATCGCACCATTGCACTCCAGCCTGGGCGACAGGGCGAGACTCAGTCTCAAGAGAAAAAAAAAAAGAAATGATGTTGAATGTC
Source organism: Homo sapiens (assembly GCF_000001405.40). Taxonomy (NCBI): domain Eukaryota; kingdom Metazoa; phylum Chordata; class Mammalia; order Primates; family Hominidae; genus Homo; species Homo sapiens. The sequence continues at coordinate 138,152,066 of NC_000003.12, forward strand.
CTATGTAATTTCACTTCTATAATTCATGTTAAAATTTTACTTTTCCAATTTGTTAAATTACCAGAATGGCATCAACACTTTCAGGTGGTTTGGGATCACTGGCAGTTGTTAATTGACAACTTTATAATGTTATTCTATCACATCCAGAACCATGGACAATTTCTTCATTTATTTAAATATTAATGTATTATTTTTAATATAACTTAAAATTTTTCTTTATTGATGTCTACTCATTTTTTGAACCATTAATTTCCAGAAATGTTATCATATTTGTTCTTGCTATTTCATTTGCTATCATTTTTTCTTACTGGTTATTGCTGATGTAGAAAAATGCCACAGTTTTTTTTTTTTCTTTTTTTTTGAGACAGAGTCTTCCTCTGTTGCCAGGCTAGAGTGCTGTGGCGCGATCTCGGCTCACTGCAACCTCCGCCTCCCAGCCAACGCTTATATTTCTTATTTTCTTTTATTATTTTATACTTTTGACCAAGACCTCCAATAAGAATATTAAACAATACCTGTAAACCAAATGTCCACCTATATTCCTCTCATTTGTCACACTACTATAATTAGAATTTCACTATTATTGGTGTGATTATTTTATTAACATTAATTTATCTCGTTGTACTATAAGCTCCATGAAGACAGGAGTTATACCTGGTTTTTCTCATCCATTATGTCCCTGGTATAGTGCCTGAGACCTATTTATCTCAGTAAATATTTCTCGAATGAATAAATGAGTGGTCTAGGGTGATAACGAAAAATTGAAGAAAATAACAGGTGAAGGCCTTCTATTTCTTCCCTTGCACTTTCCCCCCACTCCAATACAAGCTCATTAACACTCAGAAGTATATGTATAAGTCAGGACATTTTGGTTGCAAATACCAAAACTTACTGACTAAATTAAACAACTGGGAAATTTACTGGAAGGAGGTAAGGGAATAGGGGATTGGTAATTAGAAGATGAAAGGAAGACTGGAAAACTAGGCTAAGAAAAGAGAAATTCTGAGAATGTAGAATAGATAGTAGAAATTACTCAATAGTTTTGTCAAGCTACTGCCACTGGAACTAATGAGCACCAACAATTTTCATCTCTTTATCTCTCTGATCGAGATTTGTATTCCAAGGAAGGAGCATCCAACTGGTACAACTTGAATCACGTGACTTCCCATGAACGGTCAAGAGCTGGACACCAGTGCAGTAAAGGTGACTCTCAAAAAAATAAGATGTGGTACTAGTACCAGAAAGAGGAATGCAGGCCAAAAATAAATGACTTCCACAACTTCTGCCACTTTAAAGGTTCACCTGAGATATTGCCAATTCCAATACTTGGATAAACTAGAAACTAAAAAAAAAAAAAAAAAAAAAAGAGTTGGGGAGGGATAAGAGGATAAAGGGGTTCAGAACGAAAGCAAGACATCTCTGAGTATACCTTTCCATATAGTTTTGACTTTTGAAACATGCAAATGCTTTAAAATTCAAAATTAAAAGAAAAAAGACAGAATAAGAAGGTGAACTTTCTTAGGCAGAAAATATATTGTATTAGTCAATTTTCACACTGCTATAAAGAATACCCGAGACCGGGTAATTTATGTAGGAAAGAGTTTTAATTGACTCACAGTTCCCCAAGACTGGGGAGGCCTCAGGAAACTTACAATCATGGCAGAAGGAGAAGCAGGCACATCTTACATGGTGGCAGGCAAGAGAGAGAGAAAGAGAGAGAGAGAGAGAGAGAGAAAGAAAGAGAAGGAGGAACTGTCAAACACTTATAAAAACATCAGATCTCGTGAGAACTCACTATCACAAGAACAGCTTGGGGGAAGCCATCCCCATGATTCAATCGCCTCCCACCAGGTCCCTCCCTCTATGCGTGGGGATTATGGGGATTACAATTTAAGATGAGATTTGGGTAGGGATGCAGAGCCAAACCATATTATATATACTGTTCTGCATCTGGCTTTTTTCACTTATAACCTAGAACTTACTCCATAACAGTTTATGAGAGTCTCTCACATTCTTCTTTCTTTAAGTGTACAATTCAATATTTTCTTTCTTTTTTTTTTTTTTTTTTTTTGAGATGGAGTCTTGCTCTGTCACCGGGCTGGAGTGCAGTGGCTTGATCTCAGCTCACTGCAACCTCCACCTCCTGGGTTCAAGCAATTCTTCTGCTTCAGCCTCCTGAGTAGCTGGGACTACAGGCACGTGCCACCACACCCAGTTAATTTTTGTATTTTTTTTTTTTGAGTAGAGATGGGGTTTCACCATGTTGGCCAGGATGGTCTCAATCTCTTGACCTAGTGATCCGCCCACCTCGGCCTCCCAAAGTACTGGGGTAACAGGTGTGAGCCACCGTGCCTGGCCACAATTCAATGTTTTCAATATTTTCAGAGTTGTGTAACCATCACCATAATCTAATTTGAGATCATATTCATCACCCCAAAAAGAAACCCTGTATTCATTAGCAGTTATTCCTCATTATCTCCTACTCCCTTCCTTCAGCCTTAGGCAACCAATAATCTACTTTCTGTCTCTAATTTGAACATTTCATATAAATGGAGTCTTACATGTGGATTTTTGTGTCTGGCTTTTTTCACTTAGCATAGTGTTTTCAAGGTTCATCCACATAGCATGTATCAGTACTTCATTCCTTTTTACTGCTGTGTAATATTTCATTGTATAGATATACCACATTTTATCCAATCATTGGTTGATAGACATTTGGGTTATTTCTACTTTTTGGCTAACATGAATAATGCAGCTATAAATATTCATGTATAAAATTTCATGTTCCACATTCTTCTTTTTTTTAAGGCTTCATCTTACTCCTTTGGGTGTTTGTTCAACTAGTCCTCTCCTGGTGAACTTTTAGGTTATTTCCAATCTTATGCTACTACAAATAATGCTATGATGAATAACCTTGTGCTTATGCTTTTTTTAATTTGGGGACATATATCATTAGGTCATATTCCTAGAACTGGGATTACTGGGTCTATATAGTTTATATTTTGGGAAGATAAGAACTTTGTTGGTGATGAGTTGCAAGTATGTATCACCAGTTTGTCATTTACCTTTTAACTTTGTTTATGGTATGTTTTCTTTGCCATGCAAAAGTTATCTACTTTTATATATAGTCAAAATGTATCAGTCTTTTCCTGTGTTTGCATTTTAAGATACAGTTACAAAGGCTTTCCTCCGTTCCATGTTATAAGGAAATTTACCTGTGTTTTCATCTGGTATTATAGGATTTCATTTTTCACATGTAGATCTCTGATCTTTTTGGAGTTTATTATGGTATATAAAGTATAAACCCAAGTTTCTTTCCAAATAAATATCCATATATCCAACTCTATTTATTAAAAACATCATCTTAGCAGGTGCAGTGGCTCATGCCTGTAATCCCAGTACTTTGGGAGGCCAAGATGGGAAGATTGCTTGAGGCCAGGAATCAAGATCAACGTGGGCAACATAATGAAACCCACCTCTACAGAAAAAGTTTTAAAAATTAGACAAGAGTGGTGGTACATGCCTGTAGTCTTAGCTACTCAGGAGGCTGAGGTGGGAGGACTGCTTGAGCTTAGGGATTTGAGGCTGCAGTGAGCTATGATCACCTGCACTCCTGGGTAACAGAGCAATATTCTGTCTCTGAAAAAACAAACAAAAACATTCTTTTTCCTCAGTAATTTGAGATGCCACTTAATACTAAAACTTTATATATGTTTGGGCCTATTTCCAGTCTTTCTGGTCCATTGATCTCTCCAATGCACCAATACTACACAGTACTACATTGTTTTAATTACACAGGATTTTTTTTTTCTTTAGTCAGTTTTGCTCTGTCGCCCAGGCTGGAGTTCAGTAGTGTGATCTCAGCTTACTGCAACCTCCACCTCCTGGGCTCAAGCGATCCTGCCACCTCAGCCTCCCAAGTAGCTGGGACTACAGGTGTGCTCCACCACACGCTAATTTTTGTACTTTTTGTAGAGATGGGGTTTTGCCATATTGGCCATGCTGGTCTCGAACTCCTGGCCTCAAGTGATCCTCCCACTTCAGCCTCCCAAACTGCTGGGATTACAGGCGTGAGTCACCGCACCCGGCCCATACAGGTTTTATAGTATGTTTTAATATATAATATGCCCAGTATCCCTCCATTGCCCTTTTTTGGAAATTTTCCTGTCCTTATTTCTCCAAGTAAACTTTAAAATCAACTTGTCTAGCTTTAGAAAAACAAACAAAACAAAAAAAACTACTGGTATCATGACTAGGATCATTTTAAATTTGTATAACTTGAGAAGAATTGATATGTTTAAAATTGTCTATCTATCCAAGAATAAGAGATATTTTACCATAAAGTCTACTTTTGTATTTTTCAGGTATATTTTATGGTTTTCCTCATTATATGTTTTGCCTACTTCTTAAGTATTCTTGTTGGTGTTATGTCACTGGTAATTGTGTGTAAACTGATTTCTATGTTAATTTTATCTTATCACTTTACTGAGGTATAGGATTGTTTGAATTACTTTTAATCGTAATTTTTTTTTTTTTTTTTTTTTTTGAGACAGAGTCTTGCTCTGTCGCCCAGGCTGGAGTGCAGTGGCGCAATCTCGGCTCAATGCAACCTCTGCCTCCTGGGTTCACACCATTCTCCTTCGTCAGCCTCCCAAGTAGCTGGGATTACAGGCACCGCCCCACCACACCCAGCTAATTTATTGTATTTTTAGTAGAGACGGGGTTTCACCATGTTAGCCAGGATGGTCTCCATCTCATGACCTCGTGATCCGCTCACCTCGGCCTCGCAAAGTGCTGGGATTACAGGCGTGAGCCACCGTGCCTGGCCTAATTGTAATTTTCTTGTTTTCCACCTAAACTATGAGATCACCTGTATATGGATGCCTCTTCTTTTGCAATTCTGATTCCCCTCATTGTGTTCTCTTTTGTGATTGTTTTGTTCTTTCCAATACAATGTTAAAACGTAATGGAGGTAGTGGGTATCCTGTTTTGTTCCTTTGCTTTGATGGGAATACTTAGTGCTTCCCCATTAAGTAAGATGCTACTTATTTTTTTTACAAAATCAGAAATGGGTGTTGAATTTTGTCAAAGACCTTTTCATCACCCATGATGATAATCATGATGTTTGGCCTTAGGTATATTAATGTGTGGATTATATAAACAGACTTCCTAATATTGAACCATCTTTTTTTATCAGTCATGCCATATCATTTTAAAGTGTGCTATAGGTTGCTTTCTAATATTTTATTTAGGATTTTTGCATCAATATGTATATGTGAGATTTACAGGGTTTTTTGTGTAATTTTTTTCAGATTTAGACTTCAATGTGATACTTTCATAAAAAGAAACTGTAAATTTTATTTAATTTTATATATTTTAAAACAATTTATCTAACATTATAAATTATCTGGCCTTCTTTTTTTTTTTTTTTTTTGAGACGGAGTTTTGCTCTTGTTGCCCAGGCTGGAGTGCAATGGCATGATCTCAGCTCGCCACAAGCTCCGTCTCCCAGGTTCAAGCGATTCTCCTGCCTCAGCCTCCCGAGTAGCTGGAATTATAGGCATGCGCCACCATGCCTGGCTAATACTGTATTTTTAGTAGAGATGGGGGTTTCTCCACGTTGGTCAGGCTGGTCTCGAAATCCTGGCCTCAGGTGATACACCCACCTCGGGTGTTGGGGTTACAGGCGTGAGCCACCGCGCCCGGCCAGAAATTATCTGGGCTTTGGGTAGTTTCCTCCTGAAACCATCTGGGTCAGGAGGTTCTTTAGTATGGCAATCTTTCTTGCTTTTCTTTTTTTTTCTTTCTTTCTTTCTCTTTCTTTCTTTCTTTCCTTCCTTTCTTTCCTTTCTTTCTCTCTCTCTCTCTCCCTCCCCTCCCCTCCCTTCCCTTCCTTTCCTTCTTCTTTCCTTTTCCTTCCTTCCTTCTTTTCTTTCTTTTTTTCTTCCTTCCTTCCTTTCTATATTTGTGCCCTCTCTCTCTTTCTTTTCTTTTCTTTCTTTCTTCCTTTCTATATCTGTGCTTTATTTCTTGATTAGGTAAGCTAGAGGATTATCTAGGTTTTTTTGAGAAACATCATTTATTAACTCTAATATTTGTTTCTGCTTTTTTCTTTAATAAAAATTTCTGGGAAAAAAACAATAAATGGCAGAATTTTTACAATTCAATTAAATCAGCAATCGGGGGCAATTCATAGCTTTTTCTTTCTTTCTTTTGAGACAGTCTCACTCTGTCGCCCAGGCTGAGTGCAGTTGCAAGATCACAGCTCCCTACAGCCTCAACCTCCTAGTCTCAAGCAATCCTCCCTTCTCAGCTGCTCAAGTATCTGGGACCACAGGCATGTGAAACCACACCCAGCTAATTTTTTTTTATTAATTTGTAGAGACGAGGTCTCACTTCAGCCCAGGCTGGTCTCGAACTCCTGAGCTCAAGCAATCCTCTTGTCTCAGCCTCTCAAAATGTTGGGATTACAGGCATGAGCCATTGTGCCTGGTCATAGCTTTAAATACTTTATGTAAATAATGAGAATAAAAATAAGTGGGCCGGGCTGGGCGTGGTGGCTCAGGCCTGTAATCCCAGCACTTTGAGAGGCCAAAGCGGGTGGATCGTTTGAAGCCAGGAGTTTTGAGACCAGCCTGGCCAACATGATGAAACCCTATTTCTACTAAAAATTCAAAAATTAGCTGGTCATGGTGGCGGACACCTGTAGTTCCAGCTATTCAGGAGGCTGAGGCAGGAGAATCGCTTGAAGCCAGGGGGCAGAGGTTGAAGTGAACTGAGATCGCACCACTGCACTCCAGCCTGGGGGACAGAGCGAGACTCTGTCTCAAAAATAAATAAATAAGGGCGGGGCGCAGTGGCTCATGCCTGTAATCCCAGCACTTTGGAAGGCCGAGGCAGGCGGATCACGAGGTCAGGAGATCGAGACCATCCTGGCTAACACGGTGAAACCCCGTCTCTACTAAAAGTACAAAAAAATTAGCCGGGCATGGTGGTGGGTGCCTGTAGTTCCAGCTACTCGGGAGGCTGAGGCAGGAGAATGGCGTGAACCCGGGAGGCGGAGCTTGCAGTGAGCTGAGATCACGCCACTGCACTCCAGCCTGGGCAACAGAGCAAAACTCCATCTCAAAAAAAATAAAAATAAAATAAATAAATAAATAAATAAAGCAAGCCGGGACCGTGGCTCACGCTTGTAATCCCAGCACTTTGAGAGGCCGAGGTGGGCGGATCACGAGGTCAAGAGATTGAGACCATCCTGGCCAACATGGTGAAACCCTGTCTCTACTAAAAATACACAAATTAGCCGGGTGTGGTGGCATGGGCCTGTAGTCCCAGCTACTTGGGAGGCTGAGGCAGGAGAATCGCTTGAACTCAGGAGGCGGAGGTTGCAGTGAGCCGAGATCATGCCACTGCACTCCAGCCTGAGTGACAGAATGAGACTATCTCAAATAAATAAATTAATTAAATTAAATAAGTGGGCCAGGCGAGGTGGTTCATGGCTGTGGTCCCAGCACTTTGGGAGGCCAAGGCAGGTGGATCACCTGAAGCCAGGAGTTCGAGACCAGCCTGGCCAACATGGCAAAACCCTATTTCAACTAAAAATACAAAAATTAGGCCGGGTGTGGTGGCTCAAGCCTTTAATCCCAGCACTTTGGGAGGCCGAGGTGGGCGGATCACCTCAGGTCAGGAGTTCGAGACCAGCCTGACCAACATGGAGAAACCACATCTCTACTAAAAATACAAAAAATTAGCCAGACGTGGTGGCACATGCCTGTAATCCCACCTACTCGGGAGGCTAAGGCAGGAGAATTGCTTGAACCCGGGAGGCGGAAGTTGTGGTGAGCTGAGATGATGCCATTGCACTCCAGCCTGGGCAACAAGAGCAAAACTCTGCCTGAAAAAAAAAAAAATTAGCTGGACATGGTGGCAGGCGCCTGTAGTCCCAGCTACTTGGGAGGCTGAGGCATGAGATTCACCTTGAAATACCAGAATTGCCTTGAACCTGGGAGGTGGAGGTTGCAGTAATGAGCCAAGATTGTGCCACTGCACTCCCACCTGGGTGACAGAGTGAGACTTTGTCTCAAAAAAAAAAAAAAAAAAAAAAAAAAGTAAAATGAGTGAATTATTCAACTCAAAAAAGAAAGTAAACCAAAAAATGGAAGGAAATAAAAATAAAATCCCCCAAATCCTAGACCGTTATTAAGTCAAATGTTGACAAGGTAGAAGCCAAGTGCTACATTATTATTCTCCTAGATTAACTCCTGGATTTAGACTGCCATGGGATGATGAGATCCTGGAACAATCTTGGATTCCACGACTTCTGATATGAAGTACGGAGTGACAATCTCTTCAGGTGGCCCAGGTATTTTAACCAGAGATAGCACAGAGGTGTAGTTTTTCTATATGGATCTTCAAAAATACTTTAATTTAGCAATCCATCACGCAGCATGAGGGGCAGTTATTTGTGCAGCTTGATCCTTGCTAGTAATTAAAACTATGGGGTGAACTATGCCAAAAATGACCTACATAGTTACTATAGTTACATGAAAATTAAAGCTAAAGTTAAAACACAATATGCTGGCCGGGCACAGTGGCTCACGCCTGTAATCCCAGCACTTTGGGAGGCCGAGGCGGGCAGATCACGAGGTCAGGAGATAGAGACCATCCTGGCTAACACGGTGAAACCCCGTCTCTACTAAACAAAATACAAACAATTAGCCAGGCATGGTTGCGGGAGCCTGTAGTCCCAGCTACTCAGGAGGCTGAGGCAGGAGAATGGCGTGAACCCAGGAGGCGGAGCTTGTAGTGAGCCGATATCTCCCCACTGCACTCCTGAACGACAGAGTGAGATTGCATCTCAAAAAAAAAAAACAAAAAAAACTCAATATGCAAAAGTCAGCAGGGTTATACTAATCTCAGCAAATTAAGATTGTACGTTTACCAATGTTTAGTATTCAGAGTAGTTTATTTCCTGAAATCTTATATACCATCTTCAATTTCAATTTTTATTTGACAGATATTAAAAGCTGATCAGGAAAAATATTTATAATAAATGAAAAGAAAGCATACATCATAATATATACAATGACTTGATTTTATAAAACAAAATATAATATAGCCATATTGTATACATCAAAATGTTTACAGTGATAACAAGTCCTTGGAGGCAAAAATCCTTGTCTTACTCATCTTTATGGTCCCATATTATAGCAGAGTGCTTGGCACAGAGTAGATGTTAAGTAAGTGTTTATTGTAAAAATGGAAGTGAATAATGTATGTCTTCAAAAAAAAAGATACCCAGTCAAGTAAATATATGAAACTTTAATATGTTTGCATCTGAAACATACAAAAGCCTAAAGATAAAGTCAATATCTAACTAAAATTCTCTAATGTATCTTCATTATTATAAAGTTAAGTCTTTAGTCAAAAATTCAGCTCTAAAAATACAGTCTCAAAAAATCACATATCTACATATAATACTAAGACAAGTAAATTGTCGGCCAGGCACAGTGGCTCACGCCTGTAATCCCAGCACTTTAGAAGGCCAAGACAGGTGGATCGCCTGAGGTCAGGAGTTGGAGACCAGCCTGGCCAACACGGTGAAACCCTGTCATTACTAAAAATGCAAAAATTAGCCGGGTGTGGTGGCGGGCACCTGTAGTCCCACCTACTTGGGAGGCTGAGGCAGGAGAATTGCTTGAACCTGGGAGGCGGAGGTTGCGGTGAGCCGAGATCACGCCATTGCACTCCAGTCTAGGTGACAAGAGTGAAACTCCATCTCAAAAAAACAAAACAAACACAAAAACAAAACAAGTAAATCATCTTAAGCTGCATCGTCATCATCATCATCCACTGCAGCGTAAATGGCTTGATTCCTCCTCTTAATTTTCTTTCTTTGTTCAGGTTCATGTTCATCACTCAGCCTCTTCAATGGCACCTTGGTTAAGTCCTCTCCATTCCCTGACTCCACAGTCCCACCAGGTTTCCCCTCTCTATCAATTGTGGAATCCACCGTATCATCAGAAGATACAATCATAGAGCCTGGCAAGATCCTGACATCAGAGAAACTTGCAGAAAACTCAGAAGCTTGATCAGAAGGTTCTACCGATGGTGTATTCATGCCACTATGTGCACTTACAATACTATCTTCATCTTCTTCTTCATCTAACATTATTTCATCTGGATTAATAGAAGACAGAGCAGATGTGTCTGTATTATATTCACTCTGGTCTTCTCCAGAGTCATTACTCTCCACATCATCCTGTTCTTCATATTCACCACACACATGATGTTCTTCCTTGGACTTCTGAAGCCTAACATTGATGTCTATGATGCCAAGTTGGGCACAAAATTCAGTTGTCTGAGGATTGATCCTATGAATCAGCTGCATTTGTGTCTGTGGCTTGCTAGGATCATAACAAGCAGCTGTTACACTAAAGTTACATGGAACCTTGAGATCATGATTCAATTTTTCCAATACTTCTTTCATACCTTCTTCTGTTGCACTATAATCCCACCTATAAAAGTACAAAACAATAGCTTTTTACATTTTATCAGCTCTAAACAATAAATGATGAAATCTAATTACAGACTTCAGGTGCAAGGATAAAAAATAAGCCATCTATCAAAATTCCATTTTTAAAGTTAGAGTTAATTTAGCAAAGGACCATTTAGAAAAAAAAATAATTCTTAGAAAAAGCCATCTTTAACTCATACTCCAAAACAATTTTAATGTGTGGACTATATCTTCACCATATCATGGTTTTATGTACACTTATTCACTTATAAATTTATTTGAGGTAATGCTCAACAGTCCATTTTCCTGTCTCTTTTAGATGGAAAACCTGCAAACTTTGAATTGTTCTGACATTCATTCAACAATAATTCCCTTGATTAAAAACAAAGGTGGAGGCCAGATACAGCAGCTCACGCCTGTAATCCCAGTACTTTGGGAGGCCGAGGGAGGTGGATAGCTTGAGCTCAGGAGTTCAAGACCAACCTAGGCAACATGGGAAAGCCCCATCTCTACCAAAAATACCAAAAAATTAGCTGGGCATGGTGGTGCATGCCTGTGGTCCCAGCTACTCTGGGGGCAGAGGTGGGAGGATCCCTTTAGCCCAGGAGGCAGAGGATGCAGTGAGCCAAGATCCAAGATCACACCACTGCAGTCCAGTTTGGATAACAGAGCTAGACCCTGTTTCAAAACAAAACAAAACAAAGGTGGGAGATATAAAAATTATGCATGCAATGGAAAAAGCAGGTCCTAAATAAAGTCTGACTTACCTTGCATGCAGGCCATTATTTTCTGGCATATTCCACAGGCGCCCAGTCACATTAATAAGATCATCCGTAGCCCTGAGAATAGTGAGCCATTCAATATCATATTCCAAGTAATCAGGAGCACTGGGGTCATGTTCTATCTCTAATATCTACAGGATGAAATCAATGTTAAGAAATACATATATATTTGTAACAGTCTAATCACTTTAATATAATTTAATAAAATAAAAAGGAATTTAATTTAAATTTAATTTCAATTATTTAATTTTAAATCAATCCATTTAATTTTAAATTAATAAGTAAGATACCCCCAAAGAATTCTCAGAATACATAAATTACAAACAGAACAAAAAAATTCCGAAAGGAAAATTATATTTTTTTAAGTCTCTGGAAGAGTACAACTATATTATAAAGCCACTTCACTCTTCTTACCTGAAGAAAATCTCTATGTGGTAAGCATTTGTCCAAGGCTAAAAATTTGGTTGCTCTGGCTGTCTGTCCTTTATCCTTTGCCTGGACAATATGAATCATGATTTAAGAAAGAATGTTAAAACAACCACAGGTAATTCTTCATACACGGAATAGGATGAAAATAATCTTTATCACACATACCCCTAAGTTGTGTGTCAAAGGAATGACTGTTACTTTTCCAAAATTAAGTTAATTCTATACCCACTTGTGTGATAAAAGAGAAGGCATTTAACTTCTCAGACCTTCAATTTCCATACAAAATTCAAGGCAAAAACTAATGATGATGATGATGTTAACTCAAAGCATTGAACACACATAAATCAAAGCATATAACCCAAGGATTAAAGATAAACAAAAGAGCTTAAAAGTAAACTGGCAGAACTTAAACTATACAATTTTTAGAAGAACCCACAGGAGAAAATCTTTGTAACTCTGGGTTAGGCAAAGATTTCTTAGCTACAACACCAAAAATAGATGTGATATATCCATAGAATGAACTATTACTCAGCAGTAAAAAGGAATGCAATATTTATACATGCTACAACATGAGTGAATCTCAAAATCAAGCAAACGAAAGAAATCAGTTGCCAAAGACTATATATTTTACGATTCCATTTAAATGAATGTTCAGGAAAGGCAAATCTATAGAAACACAAAGCAAGTTAGTGCTCCCCTGGGGCTGAGGGCAGGAACAAGGATTGCCTTCAAGCAGGCACAAAGGATCTTTGGGGGTGATGGACAAGTTCTAAAACTAGATGATGTGATATTAGCACAACTCTGGAAATTTACTAAAAATCACTGAATTGTTCACTTAAAATGTGGTTTTTTTCTTTTCTTTTCTTTGTTTTGAGACAGAGTCTTACTCTGTCGTCCAGGTTGGAGTGCAGTGGCACGATCTTGACTCACGGCAACCTCTGCCTCCCGGGCTCAAGTGATTCTCATGTCTCAGCCTCCCGAATAGCTGGGATTACAAGCATGTGCTAACATGCCCAGCTAATTTTTGTATTTTTAGTAGAGATGGAGTTTCGCCATGTTGGCCAGACTGGCCTCGAACTCCTGGCCTCAAGTGATCCACCCGCCTTGGCCTCCCAAAGTGCTGGGATTACAGGCATGAGCCACCATGCCAAAACATATTAATTTTATGCTATGTAAATTATACTCCAATAAAGGTTTTTTTTTTTCAAAAGTGAATTGACAGAAAGAAACGTGGAAAGAATCACAAACATGTAGGTCATTTTGGAAAAGGTTAAAAAAACTTTCCCCAGCATCTCTAGTTAAAACCTGAACTCCAGAGCATGGCCTCTAAAAGGCAGTTGTGATCTTGTTCCAGCTTCATCATGGAGGAAAAAACACAAGGAAGCAAACTATGGTATCTCCTGCTGAGGACCAAGCAACAGTTCAGTTCTGGTGAGGTACAAGTTGAGTATGCCTTATCTAAAATGCTTGGGACTAGAAGTGTTTTAAATTTCAGATTTTTTCAGATTTTGGAATATTTACAGAATACATACTGGTTTAATATCCTTAATCCAAAAATCTGAAAATTGTGTGTCATGTCAAAAATTTCAGATTCTAGAGCATTTCAGATTTCAGATTAGAGATGCTCAATCTGTATTAAGAAAAATGGAAGGCATGGCCAGGCGCGGTGGCTCATGCCTGTAATCCCAGCACTTTGGGAGGCCGAGGCGGGTGGATCACGAGATCAGGAGATCGAGACCATCCTGGCTAACACAGTGAAACGCCGTCTCTACTAAAAATAGAAAAAATTAGCCAGGCGTGGTGGCGGGCGCCTGTAGTCCCAGCTACTCTGGACACTGAGGCAGGAGAATGGTGTGAACCCGGAAGGTGGAGCTTGCAGTGAGTGGAGATCGCGCCACTGCACTCCAGCCTGGGCAACAGAGCAAGACTCTGTCTCAAAAAAAAAAGAAAAATGGAAGGCATGGAGATTATAGGCAGATATTGGCAGCAAAGCAGTCCAAGGAAAAGTGATCTCTGGTGTTGGTAAAGGGGATAAAATAGAAAGTGGCAGTCAGAGGAAGTTGAGGAGACAATTACAAAGAGGTCAAACATATTATTAATGCAGAGATACAATGAAAAGAGTAACCTCTCCTTCTCCCAGTGAAACTGGGAAGTGAGAAGAATAAATCCACAACAGAAAGGGCGTATAGGTATATTTTCAGACAAAACCTTCCAAACCGTGTTTGAGGAACATTTTTAAAGTATACCTCTAACACAGAAGTGTTTGGTTAAGTAAGTCTGGGAAGCGTCACATTCTACTCTTGAGAAAGGCAATGCCCATTAGTGCAATAAAGACTCTCAGAAATTCTCTACATGTCTCCAAGAAGAAATCTGTAACTCTGTTAACCCAGCATTTTCTACACAGTTTTCCTATGGACTACTTTATGGGAAAGTCAGAGTTCAGCCAGAATCAGAGGTGAAAGGAAGAAATGCATACTTCCATAGAAGTTTCATTATAAGTATATATTTATTTTCTACCTTCCATCAAGTACATCATCCATGCAGTTAAGCAAAGAAAACTGGGGGTCATCCTGGACTTCTTTCCTCCCTCAGTCACCAAATCGCAATGATTCTCCTTCTAAAATCTCTCTAGAATCTGCTTCATTCTCTGTATTCTCTCTTTGCCTTAGGTTAAAACCTTTTCTTTTACATAAATAGCCTGCTCTGCCTCCCATTTTACATTACTCCAATCCATACACAACAATGCTGTCAAACTAATCGTTCTGAAATGAAAATCTGATTTCATCACTCCCCAAATTTCCCCATCATCTTTGGTTAAAATCATAACTCCAGAGCATGGCCCCTAGAAGGCAGTTATGATCTTGTTCAAGCTTCATCAGTCCCTATGCCTTAGTCCCACAGGAACTACCTACAAGTCCCCAAACACCCCATGCTCTCAGACCTCGAGCCTCTGCACATGCCAGTCCCTCTAAATAAAATACCCTTACAATGTGTTTCTTCCTGGCACTTCAAGACTCAGTTCAGCTATCACCTTTTGAAAACCTTCTCTATCTTCATCTCCCATGTTCCCATCCCACCACAGTCTGGCTTAGGTGCTCCCACTGCCTACGTTTTCTCTCAAACTTATTATACTGTTTTGTAATTGCTTGTCTTTCCCAGAATCATATATTGAGCTACTCACAAGAGGTAAGTTATCTTTTACTTCTTTCTCTAACTTTACAACTGTGTCTGGTCCATAGATGTTCAATAGTGTGTGTTAAATGAAAGAATAAACATTTTGTTTTCTACCTGATGCTGCATCAAGGCGGCAAACTTCACATGAAGGTGGGCAGAAAACCAATAAGTAGGTTTGAGATGCTCTAAAAGCTCTGAGGCAGCTGGACTTCCTAATGTGTTATTTTCCACTTCTTGTCGGAAAAAAGATTTAGTCTTAAGAAGTTGCTTCTTATTTCCATAATGATATATACTTCTTGGCCAATCATGAGACAAGAATATATCTATAGGCTGCTTCAGCTTTCAAAAGAGAAAAAGAGAAAGAAAGAAAACTCTTAAAACAGATTAACCAAAACAATCCCCTCCCTTCTCTCTACCACCATACAACCATTCACCCACTGAGATCTCTAGAATTCTGTATAATTCATTCTAAGGACACTTTAAGAGAGTGATAAAAATACTAGGCAACTCATTCATCTAGGCAAAGAGAAGCTGCATTTTCTCTGCTCATAAATCATTCTTATTTTCAGTGGCAAGGCAAGGCAATGGAGACAGACTCTGATTAGACTGCCAGTCATCTAAGATCTTTAGCACTTAGCTTCTAAAATACACGATAACCATAGTTCTTTTCCTCTTTGGTAAAGAAATTATTATTTTGGGCCGGGCGCGGTGGCTCACGCCTATAATCCCAGCACTTTGGGAGGCTGAGGCAGGTGGATCACCTGAGGTTAGGAGTTCGAAACGAGCCTCACCAACATGGTGAAACCCCATCTCTACTAAAAATACAAAAATTTAGCTGGACGTTGTGGCATCTGTCTGTAATCCCAGCTACTAGGGAGACTGAGGCAGGAGAATCGCTTGAACCCAGGAGGTGGAGGTTGCAATAAGCCGAGATCATGCAATTGCACTCCAGCCTGGGCCACAAGAGTGAAACTCCATCTCAAAAAGAAAAAAAAGAAAAAAGAAATTACTGTTTTGAAGATCCAGAGACACTAGATTTCACGAGACCTCTAACATGACTGATTCAGTAAACCCAAAGATTTACCAGGAAAAAAAAAATTCTAATAGGCTCACATAGTATACACTAAAAAACTGTGTTTACTACATAAATTAGTATTTCATTAAACAACTTAAGGAAACAAAATATACTCCAGACTTTACTTATCCCCAGAACCTTCAAGTAATCTGAAACGAATACTTGAAAAATGAAATTAAAACAACTTAAATACCGGCTGGGCACAGTGGCTCACGCCTGTAATCCCAGCACTTTAGGAGGCCGAGGTGGGTGGATCGCCTGAAGGTCAGGAGTTCGAGACCAGCCTGGCCAACATGGTGAAACCCCATCTTTATTTAAAATACAAAAAATTAGCCGGGCGTGGTGGTGGGCGCCTGTAATCCCAGCTACTCAGGAGGCTGAGGCAGGAGAATCGCTTGAACCCAGGAGGCAGAGGTTGCAGTGAGCCAAGATCGCACTGTTGCACTCCAGCTTGGGCAACAGAAGTGAAACTTTGTCTCAAAAAAAAAAAAAAAAACTTAAATAACTGCTCAAGACAATACAAAATATTAGATATTAGATAGATATGACTAACCACTGAATAACTGGTATGGCCAACAGATGCAACAAAAATTCAAACTAGGGTAATGACTCTAAACTAGAGAAGTCATGGCTGGCTGGGCATGGTGGCTCATGCCTGTAATCCCAGCACTTTCGGAGGCCAAGGCAGAAGGATCGCTTGAGTTCAAGAGTTTGAGACCAGCCTGGGCAACATGGCGAAACTCTGTCTCTAAAAAATATGAAAAAAATTAGCTGGGCGAGGTGATGCATGCCTATAGTCCAAGCTATTCGGGAGGCTGAAGTGGGAGGATCACCCAAGCCTGGCAGATTGAGGCTGCAGTGAGTCAAGCCATGATCATACTACTGCACTCCAGCCTGGGTGACAGAGTGAGACCTTGTCTCAAAAAAAAAAAAGAAGAAAACTCATGGTTGGGAAATGGCATCTAAGTTGGGTCTTAAAGGACTGGTAGGATTTAGATAGGTGAAAGAGAAAATCTATTTAAGGGAACTGTATGCACAGGGCATAAAAGAAACACTTGCAAGAATTGTTAGACTCCTGCAGAGGCTCTAGAGACAGTGTGATGGGCATGAGTGCAGTCAGGCAGGCTCTACCACTAAACTTTGGGAAGTCCTGGGCAGGTTACTTACCTGTCTGAGCCTTGGCTTCTCATCCTTAAAGGGATGAAGTTAAGAGTTACATCTATTTCATAGGGTTTGAGTGGAGATTATATGAAATACCAAGTGTGAAGTCTGTTTAGCCCAGTGTCAGCCATGTAATGGGTTCTCAAACAACCTAGTTTCACCTACTCTGCAATTAAGCAGTGTTTCCATACCACCTTCACAATTTTCCCATTTCCTCTATCATCTTTACTATTACTTATTTTCTATTTAATACCATTACTTAATTACTATTACATAAAATAAAATGTTTATTTCAATATTTTCTTTAAAATATCACTTTAACATTTTATTTTAAATATCACTTTAATAGGTATTCTTTAGCCTTAACCTAAGTAATATTTGAAATCATGAATTAAATCTTTCATTCTTACTAAAATAAACTCGTAATTATTGAAGTAAAAAAAATTTTGCCGGGCACAGTGGCTCACACCTATAATCCCAGCACTTTGGGAGGCCAAGGCAGGCGGATCACCTGAGGTCAGGAATTTGAGACCAGCCTGGCAAACATGGTGAAACCCCATCCCTACTACAAATACAAAAAATTAGGCAGGTGTGGTGGTGTGCGCCCATAGTTCCAGCTACTCAGAAGGTTGAGGCACAAGACTTGCTTGAACCCAGGAGGCGGAGGTTGCAGTGAGCCGAGATCGCGCCACTGCACTTCAGCCTGGGTGACATAGTGAGACTCTGTCTCAAAAAAAGAAAAAAAAAAGGTTCATCTGTGAACCTCCTAAAAACTCAAGATCCACATTTTAAAAATACAGAATTGCTCTTCTTGAAAGTAGTATACCAATATGACCAAAATACATTTTGGCACAGAATTACTTTAAAATGTTTTCAAGTCTGCTGTAATGCGCTTTTTACGTACCTGTTTTAATTTATAGACTTCAATATTTCTCACATGATATATACTCCTGATTGTAGATGAATTATAAGGGGGGCACTCAAAATGACCTTAGATTGAAGCAGAAAAATAAGCTATATTTAATTTCCTTAAATACTGCAAATACAAAGACATATACACAGGTCTCCAAAATATCATGTACACCTTCAATATATACGATTTTAAAAAGTTATCTAGGGAAATTTTTTAAAAAGATGGTGGACTGCAGTCTCCTTCCTTTGCAGGCTCAAATAAGGGTGTATCTGCTTTCTAAGGTCCCACACATGGTTGCTGGCACACTTCAGTTACTTTCTAACTGTTGACTAGAGACTAGTTCCTTATGCTCCCAATATTAATAAAATAACAAATTATTGTTGTTTTAAGCCGAAAAAGAAATATGTGTATTATATGCATAAATGATATCCCTGAGATAAAATAGAAAAACCTGATAAACAGCTTCCCAAAAGTGGTTCCAATTTGTACCCACACCTGCCACAGAGAAGACAGCCTATTTTGTACCTCCATTCCAACAGTTTAGAATAAGAAAGAGCCAAGTGGCAGGGAACAGACTTGTAACAGTTACATTCAGGATGTAAGTTTTAGCTGTCAATGTAATTCATGAAATTTGTGAAATCGATGTGAATCCAAGCTATTCCTTTAACTTTGAAATCAAAGTATAATTCATTCAGACACAATGAAATTAATATGCAGTTGTGATATACTTATATAATGGAATACTATTCACAAATGAACAGATTAGATTACATGTATCAACACAGACTTCAAAGCATGTTAAACAAAGAAGCAAGTTTGAGAAAGATACAAGCAATACGATACATTTATATGAAGCTTAAAACAAGTACATTGTTTAAAGTTCTTACATATGTGGTAATGATGTAAAATAATCAAGTAAATTATAATCACCAAATTCAACACAGTGACTGCCTGGCAAAGACAGGGAGGGAAGAAAAGAAGGGAACGGGATTGAGGACAGATAAACAATGAACTTTAATTGTATCTATACTGTTTTATTTCTTAAAAATAAAAATAAAAAAATAGCAAAATACAGGCCGGGCGTGGTAGCTTACGCCTGTAATCCCAGCACTTTGGGAGGCAGAGGTGGGTGGGATCACTTGAGGTCAGGTATTCGAGACTAGCCTGACCAACATGGTGAAACCCCGTCTCTACTAAAAATACAAAAAAATTAGCCGGGCGTGGTGGTGGGCGCCTGTAATCCCAGCTACTCAGGAGGCTGAGGCAGGAGAATGGCTTGAACCTGGGAGGTGGAGGTTGTAGTGAGCCGAGATCGCACCACTGCACTCCATCATGGACACCAAGAACGAAACTCTGTCTCAAAAAAAAAAAAAAAAAAAAAAAAAGCAAAATACTAAGACTTGATAAAACTATATCGAGGATACAAAGATATATGAAAGAGTCAAAGTACATATCATGCTTAACTTACTCTGGGGCATGCAAGTTCTAAAGTTTAAAAATAATTCTCAAAACAATACCTTTTCGATAGTCATGAGATTTAAAGATACCAGAGATTCCACCGATCCTTACACCTCGGTATTTTACCACACCAGCCAAACCTAAACAATACAGTTAAATAAAATTACTGTAGGCAAAAGGAATCTCTACACCGACTGAATAAACCATTCCATTTAGATGGAATTCCACACAGTTCTAAAATTATTTGAAAATTAAGCACCATGATGAGGTTATGCTTTTTACATAATAATATGCCAACAGTGTATTAGGGATATATTATAACAGTATATAAAGGTAAGGTCTGGAATTAGATGAGCCAAAACACTAAGTAGATTCTGGAAGGGACAAATGAGATAGGGTACTGAAAGTGAAACAGACATAATTTGGTACCTAACTGAATACACGGGTGAGGTAGTGGGAGGTGGAAAATGTCCTATGATGGATTTACATGTATAAACCTGAAAATCAACAGGTATAAGGTATAAAGAACCTACAGCTTCTAGTTTCATTTCTGATTGATCATCTTCTGACAATTTCACTTCTTCACAATATTGTAATATAGGATGAATACATCAAAAGATGATCAGTAAGTAGCAAAGTAGGGAAACTAAATTTCTGAAATATGATCTCATCATTGGTAAAATCTATAAACTGTTCTAGAAAGAATATACATTTAAATAAAGGGATGAAGCTGGGTGCGGTGGCTCATCCCTGTAATCCCACCACTTTGGAGGCCCAGGTGGGCGGATCACTTTGAGCTCATGAGTTCGAGACCAGCCTGGACAACATGGCCAAACTCAGTCTCCACAAAAAAATACAAAAAAACAAAAAAATTAGCCGGGCGTGGTGGTACACGCTTGCAGTCACAGCTACTTGGGAGGCTGTGGTGGGAGGATGGCTTGAGCCTGGAAGGCGAAGGTTGCAATGAGCTGAGATCAGGCCACTGCACTCCAGCCTGGGCAACAGAACCAGACCTTGTCTCGAAAAATAAAGGGATGAAAAGGCTATATAGTTTATAGGGGCCAATATTGAGACAATCTAATCAAATCTGAAAATCTAAAAGCAGATTATAGGAAATGCAAAGGATAAAAGGAATCCAATCAGCTAAATCCTGAATGCAGGAAATGCTGCAAGACAAATTTCCTGTTTTCTTCAGCAAGTAAATGGCATGAAAAAGCGAGACAGGGAGACTATTTTAGTCTAATAGACTTCAGAGTCATGACAACCAAATGAAATGGGCTGGCCTTGTCTGGGTCCTATTTAAACCAATTGTAAAGCAGACATCTTTACATTAAGCAGGGAAATCTGACCACGAACATGGCAATAGATAATGATTACTTCAGTTAAGTATAATAACAGTACTGTAGTAGTATTTTTAAAGATCCTTATCACTTAAAAACATGTACTGAAATATGTATAAGTGAAATAATCTAACGGTTGGACTTGCTTTAAATACTCTAGTCATCTCTTCCCACAAAAAAAAAAAAAAAAATCCAGGAGATTGCAATATAATAGTCGTTGAAGCTGGTTAACAGGTACTGAGATTCATCATACTATTCTCTACTTTTGTGTATGCTTAAGAATTTCTATTAATAAAAGTTTAAGGTCTTTAATTCAATAAAAATTGTAAGAAAAAATGAAGGGACTACAAATAGTGTGTGAGGTCTTTGCAATTATATTAGCTAGTGCTTAAAACACTAGATGAAGGGCATATTTTCATGATCAACCATTTAATAATTAACTATCTTAATTAAATTTTCACGATTAAGTATTTAAATTAATGACATTCTCCAAACACCATACATGTCAAGACACAGTCCAACTAACGCAAATCCTGATAAGCTCTTCCATCCCAGGAAAAAAAAGTATCCACAAACACAATCACATACCTAAATAATAAATGTTTGGTGCCACCCAGCCACCATAGGGTAACTCTTGCAAATGATTTGAGGCTTCATGGTTTCCCCCAATGAAGAGCGTGAGAACTGGAGCCTTTTTCTCTCCAGAGTAATACCTAGAACATAAGAGCAAAGTCAGTTACCACAATTAGGCATAGCAGAAAAGCAAATAAGTTCCGAAAAAAAAAAAGAAACTGAGTTCATCATAAAAAGTTAAAAAGCTCTTTCAAAAGGAATTGCCTGGGGCTGGGCGCGGTGGCTCCCTCCTGTAATCCCAGCACTTTTGATGGCCGACACAGGCGGATCCCCTGAGGTCAGGAGTTCGAGACCAACCTGGCCAATGTGGTGAAACCCCGTCTCTACTAAAAATGCAAAAATTAGCTGGGTGTAATCCCAGCTACTCGGGAGGCTGAGGTGGGAGAATCGCTTGAACCCAGGAGACGGAGGTTGCAGTGGGTCAATATCGCGGTACTGCACTCCAGCCTGGGCAACAAAGCGAAACTCTGTCTCAAGAAAAAAAAAAAAAAAAAAAAAAGGAATTGCCCAGTATCCATCCTTGCCCTTAGGAATGAAGAGCTTCCACCTTGAGCCTCAAGTCAGTGCCCGTTCAATTAAGTCAAGAACTGTTTCGAGTTCATTGCCATAACCTCATCTTCTAGAACCACAACAAGCACATAGCAGGGGCCCAGTAAAAACTTCAGGATCATTGAATGAACTAATTCCAGAGTCCTATCAAGTACAAGGTAGCTATCTAAACCTGTCAGCTTCTTCCTCCAGGTTATCCCCTCCCAGGCTTCGACACCCTTTGAAATGGATAAGATGTGTATGGAAAGAAGGAAAGTGACATTTCCTAAGCACCTAATGAGATAGGGTGCTAGTGAAACTGACATAATTTGGTACCTAACTGAATACAGTACCGAACTGAATACATTTCCCGCCTCCCACTACCTCACCCCTGTATTCAGTTAGGCACCAATTAGAGATACAGAGAGAACAAAGACAGGATCTAAGGGAAACAGGCAGCCAGTGGCAGAGGGAACCCAGTCCCACCCCCCCACCGCCAAGTCCGGGCCCGGCCGCGTCCTCACCTGTAGAAGGTTTGCATGTGACGATACTTGGGCGGCACGGCCATGCAGCGTAGATCCGCCTCGTTGCGCACCGCCTGGAAGTCGCCGCAGCACAGCAAGAGGTCGACAGGCCCCGGGCCGCGCCGCTCTGCCAGCGCCAGCGTCTCATAGATCTTATCCAGCTCGCCGTGGCAGCAGCCAGCCACAGCCACCCGCATTCTGCCGGCCTGAGGAGGTGAGCGCTGCCTGCAACGCCCTACACCACAGCCAGCCCAGGACCGACTGATCGCTCAGCTCCCGCCAACTTTAATAAGTATAGCCACCGCCTGGGTGTAGACTCCTGCAAAATAATTCACTTCCGGTTTCCAGATCTCGCGAGAGAGGGACCGGGAAGGTCAAACCTAATTCTGGGATCCCAGGGAACTTATTTTCTTTTTTTCCTTTTTTCTTTTTTTTTAATTATTGTTTTATGCAGTCAATATTTTTTTGTATATACATCCACAAATGTACTCTTTCCATCCTTACTCTTTTCTTCCTGGATTTCCATTTTTCTCTTTGGAATCATTTTTCTTCTGTCTGAAGAGCTCAGTTTAAGTTTTCCTGTTTGTTTAGTGTAGGCCGACGACAGATTAATTTTTTTCTAGATATTTGTTTGTTTAAAAATTTCTTTCCACTCTGGGGAAAATGGTGAAACCCTGTCTCTACTAAAAATACAAAAATTAGCTGGGCGCAGTAGCGCACGTCTGTAATCACAGCTACTTCAGAGGCTGAGGCAGGAGAATCCCTCAAACCCAGGAGACGGAGGTTGCAGTGACCTGAGATCGCGCCCCTGCACTCCAGCTTGGGCGACAGAGCGAGACTCCGTCTAAAAAAAAAAAAAAGAGACAAAAGAGAAAGAGAGAGAGAAGAAAAGAAAAGAAGCCAGTGTGCTGGCTCACACCTGTAATCCCAGCACTTTGGGAGGCAGAGGCGGGCGGCTCACGAGGTCAGGAGTTTGAGACCAGCATGGCCAACATGGTGAAACCCTGTCTCTACTAAAGATACAAAAAATTAGCTGGGCGTGGTGGCGCACACCTGTAATCCCAGCTACTTGGGAGGCTGGGGCAGGAGAATCGCTTGAACCCAGGAGGCAGAGGTTGCAGTGATCTGAGATCGTGCCATTGCACTCCAGCCTGGGTGACAGGGTGAGACTCCGTCTAAAAAAAAAAAAAAGAAAAAGAAAGAAAGAGATGTCTTTGTTTCACCTTAATTCATAAAGGGTGTGTTTACTGAGTACCGAATACCAGTTAAGCAGTGTGTGTGTGTGTGTGTGTGTGTGTGTGTGTGTGTGGTTTTTTTTTTACAAAGCATTTCAAAAATAGCATTCTATTATCTTCTGGCTTGCATTATCTTCTACTGAGAAGTCACCTATAAACTTAAGGTTTTTTTTCACTGAAAGTAATGTGGGTTTTTTGTTTGTTTGTTTGTTTTTTGTTTTTTTGAGACGGTCTCTCACTCTGTTGCCCAGGCTGGAGGCAGTGGCACGATCTCGGCTCACTGCAACCTCCGCCTCCCCAGTTCAAGCGATTCTCCTGCCTCAGCCTCCCAAGTAGCTGGGATTACAGGTGCACACCACCATGCCCAGCTAATTTTTTGCATTTTTAGTAGAGACAGGGTTTCACCATGGTGGCCAAGCTGGTTTCGAACTCCTGACCTCAAGTGATACGCCCACCTCGGCTTCCCGAAGTGCTAGGATTACAGGCGTTAGCCACCGCGCCCAGCCAGTAATGTGTCTTTTTCTTTGCTATTTACTGTTTTCTCTTTCTCTACTTTCTCTCCCTACTCCTTAAAGCTATTTTAATAAAATATATCTAGGTGGTTTTTTTTTTGAACTTTACTCATTTATGCTTTCTGAATCTATAGCTTGGTATCTTTTTTCAGTTTTGGAATATTCTTGGTCAGTATCTACTTAAATGTTGCTTTTTTTTCTGTCTTTTCCTACTCCTTTGGAATTTTTCCATGGTATTTTACCTATCTTTTATTTCTATTCCATAGTTCTCATTTTTATCAGTGTTTTATTTTGGATAGTTTCTAATAACCTCTCTTCTAGTTTACTAATCCTATTTTGTTCTATGTCCAATGTACAAACTCATTTATTAATGTTTTAACATTATAGTCCTTTTCAATTTTAGGATTTATATTGGATTCTTTTCCAGTGAAGCCAATAGTTTAAAGAGATTCTTTATCTTTTAATTTATTTCCTTCATCTTTTCCTCTCTTTCTCTCATATATTAATCATTGTTATTTTAGGTTGCCTGTCTTCTAAGCCCAATATCTTACTTATCTGCAGAGCTGATTCTATTGTCTGTTTCTGTTTCATTGGATTCTTAGTTTAAAAATCTCGTTTTTTGGCCGCGGTGACTCCCACCTGTTGTCCCAGCACTTTGGGAGGCCAAGGTGGATGGATCTCTTGAAGCCAGGAGTTCGAGAGCAGCCTGGCCAACATGGTGAAACCCTGTCTCTACTAAAAATAAAGAACTTAGCTGGGGGTGGTGGCGCATGCCTGTAATCCCAGCTACTTGGGAGGCTGAGGCGGGAGAATCGTTTGAACTCGGGAGGCGGAGGTTGCAGTGAGCCGAGATTGCGCTGCTGCACTCCAGCCTGGGCTACAGAGTGAGACCCTGTCTCAAAAAGAATAAATAAATAAATAAATATCTCGTTTGTGTGTGTGTGTGTATATATATATATATATATATATTCCAGGATACATGTGCAGGTTATGCAGATTTGTTACACAGGTAAACGTGTGCCATGATGATTTACTGCGCCTATCAACCTATCACCTAGGTATTAAACCCAGCATACATTAGCTATTTTTCCTGATGCTCTCCGTACCTTGCAGATCACTTGAGGCCAGGAGTTCGAGACCAGCCTGGCCAACATGTATCTCTCCAAAAATACAAAAATTAGCAGGGCGTTGTGGCACATGCCTGTAGTACCAGCTACTGGGGAGGCTGAGGCAGGAGAATTGCTTGAACCTGGAAGACAGAGGCTGCAGTGAGCGGAGATTGCACCACTGCACTCCAGCCTGGGGGACAGAGCAAGACCCTGTCTCAAAAAAAAAAAAAAAAAAGAGAGAAGAAAAGAGGATTCTTGGGCTTGGTCTGTCTTCACCTATCTTTACAGGTCCTTGAGTCCTAGCAGTCTCACGGATGATAAAATTCTAAATTAGGATAGTAAATAGAATCCCCAATAGTAGGAATTTAGTTTGATAAAATTAAACTAAGATAAACGAGCAAGCAGGCGCAAATGGCGAATTCCTTAGGACGAACTTCTCAAGGCAAAGACAATTGCCTGAAAGTGAATCAGAATTTAAAAAAATTTTGACACCCCAAAATAATTATTTTTAAATAAAACTTTAAAACCCACCAAGGATTTAAAAACTATCTCCCTCCGCCGGGTGCGGTGGCTCACGCCTGTAATCCCAGCACTTTGGGAGGCCAAGGTGGGCGGATCATGAGGTCAAGAGTTTAAGACCAGCCTGGCCAATAGGGTGAAACCCCGTCTCTACTAAAAATACAAAAATTAGCCGGGCGTGGTGGCGCACGCCTACTACTACTCCTCCTCCCAGCTATTGGGGAGGCTGAGGCAGGAGAATTGCTTGAACCCAGGAGGGAGAGGTTGCAGTGAGCCGAGATCACGCCACTGCACTCCAGCCTGGGAAAGACAGAGCGAGACTCCGTCTCAAAACAAACAAACAAAAACAAAACAAAACAAACAAACAAACAAAAAAACGACCTCCCTCTAAGAGTTTCTAAAATTATCAGTTTTTTTTTTCTTTAAGTGGCCAAGGACTTTTTATTTTCCTGACAAATAGTTTTCCTAACTAGAATGCAAGCTAAATGAAAGTAGGTGAATATTTCTAAAACTTTCAGAAAGGAAGATGACCAAACTGGTAAATAAAGAATGAGTGGGCTAGGCGGAGTGGCTCACACCTGTAAGCTCAGCACTTTGGGAGGCCGAGGCAGGCGGATCACTTGAGGTCAGGAGTTCCAGACCAGCCTGGCCAACATGGTGAAACCCTGTCTCTACTAAAAATACAAAAAATTAGCTGCGCGTGGTGGTGAGTGCCTGTAATCCCAGCTACTCGGGAGGCTGAGGCAGAAGAATCGCTTGAACTTGGGAGGCAGAGGTTGCAGACACTATACTCCAGCCTGGGCAACAGAGCTAGACTCTGTCTCAAAAAAAAAGAAAAAAAGAAAGAAAGAAAGAAAGAAAAAGTGACCAAGACAAAAACAAGCAAAGAAAACACCTCTGGAAAACTTAATCAAGAAAAGATAATCTAATCAAGGCAGTACACAGAACAATAAATCCATCTCTTCCCATTTAAAAAAACTAATTAAAATGAATATTATAGGAAAAAACACCAAAATTAATTAAAAATGAAGCAGTACATGTAAACAGAACAATGATAATAGGAGACACTGTAAAGATTATCAAAGATACGAAGACATTGTGTCCAGAGTGATGTTGGAGCAATTTATTTCAAATTTACAAGGAAGATATGATTTTCATGATATTTAAATTGATCAGGAAGGTAGAAAAATATGGAAATCTAATATTTCTGATTAGTTTTAAATATTTTATTTTCCTTCTGTATAGATTTTGTTGAAATATAATAGAACAATGGATGCTTTTTACATTGTTAAATTTAACTTTTGCATTTTATTTTTAATCTATGGGAATTGTTTTCCTCTAGATCTTTTTTCTCCATGTAAAAAATTTTAATTAAGGTATAGCTTACTTAAAGTAACATAAATAACATTTTAAGTGCACAGTGTGATGATGCACATATGACAACCACCCATATCAAGATATAAAATATTTCCAGGCCAGCCATGGTGGCTCATGCCTATAAACTCAGCATTTTAGGAGGTCAAGGCAGGAGAATTGCTTGAGGCCAGGAGTTTGAGAACACCCTGGCAACATAATGAGAACCCTTTACAAAAAAATTAGAAAGAAAACATTAGCTAGGTGTGATGGTGGGTGCCTGTGTCCCTAGCTATTCAGGAGGCTGAGGTAGGAGAATCACTTGAGCCGGGGAGGTCAAGACTGTAGTGAGCCATGATCATGCCACTGCACTCCAACCTGGGTGACAGAACGAGACCCTGTCTTAAAAAAAAAAAAAGAGAGATTTACCAGAAAAAAAAAAAAACATTATTAGGGCAATTGACAAAATCTGAATAAGATCTGCAAATTAGATAGAAGGATATTAGCATTAATTTCCCAATTTTGATCATTTCACTGGTGTTATATAAAGGAATTCCTTGTTTTCAGGAAACACACACTGAAATATTTAGGTGTAAATGGACATCATTTCTGAAACTTATTCTCAAATTACATATATATATATAAGTAAAGATATATATATATCTTTACTTCTCTGCTCATACCTGTATTGCAGGGGCTAGAAGCTAAGGAACCACATTTTTTGGATTCCCTTGCCACCTTAGTTCTGGATTAGGTTTTACAAGTGGGAGGCACTTGTGTGAGATTAGGAGGTAGAGGAAAGGTAAAAGCTGTTTCTTTTCTGTCTCTGGCAACTGTGGTAGCAGCAGACAAGCCTGACCTTCTCAGTGGCAGCCAGCACCCTAAGCTCCTTCAGTGGTGATGAACGTTCTGCAGCTCCTGATCTCAAGTAAAATAAACCCTGCCTGTTTGCAACTTTAGGTCTTCCAATAACTTGTCATCTTTTTGTTTAAAAAACTTAGAAGGGATTCTGTTTTCCTGTATGATATGCCAGTCAAGATGTTATTCATGTAAAAGGCAGCAAGCAGATGTTTTTGACCACTGAAAAGAACTCCAGGGAGACAACACTCATGGACCCTTCCTAAAAAAAAAGACTATAATGAAATCCAGCCAAATAAGAGGTGAATAAAAATAAGAATTCAGGAAGGAAGAATTGTGTTTAAAAGATGGATGATTAAAAATGGAGCAGTGTAAAGGGACAGGAAATGTTGCAGAGTAGTTAATACAAGGTAGTTCAGGAAGGCCTTGCTGTTAGGGTGACATATTGAGCAGAAACCTGCATGAAATAAGGGAGTGCACTATGGTGTATTTGGGCAATGGGTTTTCAAATTCGCTTATAAGTAAAGTGTTAACAAACATCAGGAAAAACATTCATCATTGCTATCCATATCTTATAATTGAACTAAGTGATTATGGCACCTATTACCACCTGATGGCAGCACGCTACAAGAAAGCTGAGAGACAGAGACCTATGCCTGATGCAGTAAAACTGTAGTCAGTAATTGTACAGAAAAGCAAACATCACAGACAGATAAAAGAGTCCTGTGGTGTCTCTAATCTCTGAACTTATCAGAAATTTGGTAGACTTTCTGATTTTAGCAGGAAAAAAACAAGGAATATCTCCTGTGTATAGGTTTTATGGCTTCCAAATTATGTTCCTGTATTGTTAAGTGGTAAAAAGATCAGATCTGTTTTGTGTAATTTGTTATTATTGCTTCCCCATTTGAAATGCATCTGCCTAATGTGGTCACCCTTGCTTGAGGGAAGTAGGGGAGCCTTTCTATTACCTGGGCAATCCAGAAGGTCATATAACCATCAAAGATGGGCTGATAGTATATAGAGTGTTTCTTCTTCACCTATAAATAATTGGGGCTCTTGTCCTAATATGATTTTGGACAATCTGCCAGTGTTTCCACATCTATATCCAGGGAAGTAGTATCTTAATTGTTCGATTAGACAAATGTTCACGGATGAGCCATGATCTGTGTGGAATAGCATGCAGGGCTTTGCCTGCTTCATTCCTATTTACACTTCAGGTCAGAGCTTGGGTGCCAGCTCTACCATAAGGCCCTCCTATGATCTCAGTTCTGGTGAGGTTTCTCTCCTATGTACTCCCTTGGCCCCACACCCTCTCACTTACCACCCTACAGTGTAGTGACTTGTTAGCTTGACTCTCTACTTCTTGCCTGAAAGCTCTGTGAAAACAGGGAATATATCCATCTTGTTCATAATTGTATTCCACTCCTGGGCATTGTGCCTGGCACATAGTAGGTACCTAGTATATCTCTATCTATCTATCTATCTATCTATCATCTATCTATCTATGTTTTGTCAAATGAATAAATTTCCAGGATCCTTAGCTAGGTTCTCTTTTGTGAAATTCTTTTCATTATTAAAATAAATTAAAAGAGTTTCTTTTTCATTATTAAAGAAAAACAGTTGCTCAATCCACAGTGACTCAATTTTTTACACTTACATTTTTCATTGTGTATTTCCTAAAAACAAGGGCATTCTTTCCATGACAGCAGTACAATTATCAAAATCAATACATTAGCAATGATACCTTATCTACAGACTTTATTCAAATTTTTCCAATTTTCCCATTGATGTCCTTTATAGCAAAAGAAAAAAAAGTTTTCCCTTTTCTGAGATCCAATTACAGATCACAGGTTGCATTTAGCTGTCATATCATTTTGGTGTCCTTTAATCTGAAACAATTCCTCAGTTTTTCTTTCATGATATTTTTGAAGGGTATAGGTATGTTATTTTGTAGAATATTTCTTAACTAGGGTTTATCTGATGTTTCCTCATGATTATATTCATGTAGTTTTGGCAAGAATACCACAGAAGTAATTTTGTGTTCTTCTCAGTGCATGATATCATGGTGTTTATTGCATTACTGGTGATACCAATTACAATGACTTAAATAAAATGTTACCTACCATTAGTAGGTATCTAATGGCAGGTACTCTACTATCCTTAGTATCTTGTAGAGTGATACTTTAAGACTGTGTAAATATCCTGTTTCTCTTAATATTTTCACCACTTAGTTGTGGCATCCATTGATGATTCTTGCTTGAAACAATTATAACTCACACAGTTGTCAAGTGTTGATTTTCTTTTCTTTTTTTTTTTTTTTTTTTTTTGAGAGAGAGTCTTGCTCTGTCACCCAGGCTGAAGTGCAATGGCACGATCTCAGCTCACTGCAAACTCTGCCTCCTGGGTTCAGGTGATTCTGGTGCCTCAGCCCCCACATAGCTGGGATTACAGCTGTGCGCCACCATGCCCAGCTAATTTTTGTATTTTTAGTAGAGGCAGGTTTTTGCCATGTTGACCAGGCTGGTCTCAAACTCCTGGTCTCAAGTGCACCCGCCTTGGTCTCCCAAAGTGCTGAGATTACAGGTGTGAGCTACTGCACCCAGCCTGATTTTCTAATTCTATCATTTCTTCTACATTTGTAAGTTGGAATTCTACCATAGCAGTAATTCAATTTTTAAATGAGTATTTTCTTTTTTACTGTGGTTTCTAATTTTAAAACTTTGTAAACATCTCACTACTTCTATTTTAGCCATACACATATTTCTTTTATTTTCTTTTTAGTTTTTATTCTGAGACATGGTTTCACTCTGTCACCCAGGCTGGAGTGCAGTGCCACCATTTCAGCTCACTGCAACCCCTGCCTTCTGGGCTCAAGCCATCCTCCCACCTTGGCCTCCCAAGCAGCTGGGACCACAAGCTCAAGGCACCATGCCTGGCTAATTCTTGCTTTGGTTTTTTTTTTTTGGTAGCAAAGGGATTTTGCCATGTTGCCCAGGCTGGTCTTGAACTCCTGAGCTCAGCTCAAGTCAGCCCATCTCCGCCTCCCAAAGTGCTGGGACTACAGACATGAGCCACTGCGCCTGGCCAGGCATATACATTTCACACCCTCTGTGGACCTGATGAATTATTGATGCATTATTTCCCACCGCAAAAGCCCTTGTGGACTTTCCTTTATAGGTTGGTTGCTTAGATGAACATTCGGTAGTCTCATCTGGGAAAGTCCTATTAAGTCCCAGAGGACTGTAGGAGCTCTGGAAAGAACTTTGGAACCAGAGAAACCTGTACCAAAATTGATTCAGCCTCTTACTCCCCAAGCAACCTTAAGCAAATTATTGAACCTCTCACAGTCTCATTGTTTTTTTTTTGTTTTTTGTTTGAGACAGTGTCTTGCTCTGTCACCCAGGCTGGAGTGCAGTGGTGCGATCTCAGCTTACTGCAACTTCCACTCCCAGGTTCAAGCAGTTCTCCTGTTTCAGCCTCCCGAGTAGCTGGGATTGCAGGCAGGTGCCACCACGCCTAGTTAATTTTTCTATTTTTAGTATCGACGGGGTTTCACCATATTGGTCAGGCTTGTCTCAAATGCCTGACCTCAGGTAATCCACCCACCTCGGCCTCCCAAAGTGCTGGGATTACCGGCGTGAGCCACTGCGCCCAGCCTCACAGTCTCACTTTTATTCCTGTCTGCTGAGGGAAAGAACCATGTCTTTGTTCCACTTCAAAACTCTAGTTCAGTGCATTCACAAGAAAACCTGTAGTTAGTGTCTGTTGAACTGCATTGTATCTCCTCTATACTGTTGTTAGTCCATTTTCTTTTTTATTTAAAGTATTTCATCTGTTTTCCTTTTTTTTTTTTTTTTTTTTTTTGAGACCGAGTTTCGCACTTGTTGCCCAGGCTGGAGTGCAATGGCGCGATCTTGGCTCACCACAACCTCCGCCTCCCGGGTTCAGGCGATTCTCCTGCCTCAGCCTCCCGAGTAGCTGGGATTACAGGCATCCGCCACCATGCCCAGCTAATTTTTTTGTATTTTTAGTAGAGACGGGATTTCTCCATGTTGGTCAGGCTGGTCTCGAACTCCCGGCCTCAGGTGATCCACCCACCTCGGCCTCCCAAAGTGCTGGGATTACAGGTGTGAGCCACCGTGCCCAGCCCGTTTTCAAGTCTTTTTAAAGATTCTTCTAAATTTCTTTTGGGACCATTCAGGTTTTGGATTATACCTATCTCCCCACACTTTAAACTTTCCTATTTTTGTATAGATACATTTCTCTCTGGCTTTGTTTCTCATCTTAGGCAGTTCCACAAAGATATTTATAAAGATTTTTCAGATTTTTTTCTGGCTACTTCTTGTTTTGCATTTCATTTTTTTTCTTCATTAAACTCACACTTTGTTGTCTTTTTTTTTTTTTTTACAGAAATTAATACTGCTCTAAGAGCCATGGAACGACAGGGAGAAGTTTCATTTCTGTTTGCAGAGTAGTCAGCATGGATATTTTCCTCTCCTCACCACAGTGCCAAATTTAACTGTTTTTGTTTTTTTCTGCAACCTCCACTTCCCGGGTTCAAGCAATTCTCCTGTCTCGGCCTCCCGAGTAGCTGGAACTACAAGTGCATGCCACTATGCAAGGCTAATTTTTGTATTTTTAGTAGAGATGGGGTTTCGCCATATTGGGCAGGCTGGTCTTGAACTCCTGAACTCAGGTGATCCATCAGCCTCAGCCTCCCAAAGTGTTGTGATTACAGGTGTGAGCCACCGCGCCCATGCTTAACTGTTTTGTTATCGTCACATGCAGGCTGAATCAAAAATTCCTTTTATCTTCCAATTTCTACTCATTACTTAAGAGTGTACCTAAAGTTATTTATCAGCAAAATTTGAACTGGGAGCAAGATTCCTGATCTCCAAGCTTAGGAGTTGGCTATTCAATGCTTTCTTCCTGTAAAATGTCTATGTCAGTCTTCTGGATATAAAACAGGAAAGCCTGGGTAACAGACAGAGGTGTGAGATGTCTTGAGTCACATTTCTAGCTCCTCCCCGCTCGGATTTCAGCCACAGCAGCAGTGACAGTTCTGTGCAAGCTCAGATTTATGCTGCCTATATCCCACCCTAAGATGAAACCTGCAGACTCTGCTTTTTTGTATCAGGTTAAAGAAGCCCGTTCTGTTCTGGGCACAAATATAATCCAGGAGGGCAGGGAGTTAATAGCCCTAGGGAAATCCTCAACCAATACATATGGTATTGGTGGATGAATGCTGTAGCTTCAAGATGGACAATCCAGAGAGGTATTCTGTATGTTTTCAGAGGTGATTGAGGAATAAACAGTGGCATCAATAATGGACAATTATCTTGAATATTTATTCTTTCTTTTTTCACTCTCCCTGACCTATCAATTTTGTTCCCTGAAAGCACTTACTAAATAAACAAAATGCACCCAAATCTTCGTCCCAGGCTCAAACTAAGCCAAAAATTCGTACAACAAACATTTACTAAGTGACTGTGCTAGGCACTGAGATAGACAACCTAGAAGATAAAACTCCCAGTGCCTGTCTTGAAGTGTATAGTGAGACAAACACGGAAACAATTAACAACAACAAAACCACCCTACAATTAAAGTGAAGTATGAAGGCATGGGGGAAAGGGTATCTAACCCATGCCTGGGGGAGACAATTCCTGGAGGATGTATTGCTTGAGCTAATGGATGGAGTGTGGATCAAATACAGTTATAATGACTCTATATACTATGTATTAGGGTTATGTTCTGCCCCATTGCAGTATGCAGTACATGATGTGATTTTAGGTGGTCCATGGATGGACATTTAAACTTTTTGTAGTTAATGTGTACTAGAATAAAAATAAGGAGCACAACAAACTTGATTTCACAGAGTATTATGGTTTAGGATAAAGCCAAAAATTTTTAATGAGTTGAAATTGGCTTTAAATAAAAATATTGAATGAATAATAATACCTAGGTGCAGATTGGCAAAGATTGTGTAGGTGGTGTACAGATTACCCAAGTTTCAGAAATAGTATTATAGCAGAAGGACTACCTAAAATAAAATTCCTGCCTTCCAGGAATTCAACAGTTTGTTAAGGAACACAGACCCATAAGCAGGGGTGGTAAATGCTACACTAAATTTGGAAACCAAGTACAGGAGGAAGACAGGAAAACAGTGAGGAGCAGAGTGCGGGAGAGGCTACCAGCTACAAGACCAGTTGGAAGGCTATTGCTGTAGTCCAGGGGAGAGGTTACAAGAGCCTGAATTAGGGTGTGGCTATAGAAATGGAAGGAATACAAGTAATGTTAACAGGCCAATTGCAACCATACTGTGAAAACCTTACTGGTTGCAAGCAGTACGAAGGTGAAACTTATCCAACCAAGTCAAGGGCAGTGTTGCACACACACACACACACACACACAAAGTAGTAGGACAGCTGAATTAATCAAGTATAATTGAAAGCATACTTTTATTTAGCTTCGGTTATGAGAGTGTTTTAGTGCGAAATATTTAGATATTTGCCCCCATTTTCCCCACTTAACTCAGAAGCTGGAGAAATGTTAACACATATTGTATAACGCTTTCTATGTTCTAGGTTTTTTCTGAGAGCTTCACGTTTGTTGACTCCTCTATCCTCATTAACCTTTATTTTATAGATGAGGAAACTCAAACAGAAGGTTAGATAACTTGCCCAGGGTAAAGCAGCTGATAAATCAAGTAGCTAGGAAGAAACCCAAGCATTCTGGCTATTCTTAACACTACACCAGAATAAACGGGGCCGGCACACAACGCTAAGGCAAGTCACGTATCTGTATCGGATCGTGAAACAATCACTCTTACGGTTGGCAAAGGTTCTGGGATCGCAATTTCCCCACCTATAAAATGGAGATAACGACGCCGGGAGTTTGGTGCAGAGAGAGAGAATGAATATGAAAGTGAACTTCAAACTATGTATGTGGCTCCACGTACTACTTTTTCCAAATATGAATACTGGAATCCATAAACTGCAATTTATCAGTCCGTAAAACTCGTAGCGTCAGGGCGAGACTCCGCCTCTGGGGCCCCGCCCACCGCGAGCGGCAGGTGGGGCCGGCAGATCTTCTTTGCGCATGCGGAAACCGCTGCCCGCTTCCACCTCTAACCCAGGCTCAGAGTAGCTGCTGTTTCTGAGAGAACGATTCGTAGGACAGCCCCTGACGCCATTCCCTTTTGCCCTTCTTTCTGCGGGCCTTTCCGGTACTTGAGCGGTGTCCAGAGCGTGGCCAGTTCTCGTCTATCTGGCTGCCTTTAGGGAGCGGTGCCTAGCGTTGGCCAATAGTTGGCTGTCGAAAGTGCCGGCCCCCGCGCCGGCGCCTGCAGCAGCCGGGTGGGAAGGCTCAAGATGGCGTGCTTGTTGGAGACCCCAATCCGCATGAGCGTCCTTTCGGTGAGTGACCCGCCGCGGCCGCCCGCCCGCCCTCCAGGAAGCCTCATCCCGGTCTCCACCATTCCCCCAAGCGTGGTGTGCCTCCTGGGCACCACCCCCTGGGGTGGACCCCGGCTCAGTCTCGGGCCAGGGAGTGAGCGAGGGTGGAGAGGCGGGATAGACGGGCAGAGGGGACCGCGGCCGAGCCAAAGACGTTTCCAACTCCGGGAGCTCCCGCCGGTGCGGGTTCCCAGGATGGCGTCTGGCAGGCGGGGTGGCTGGGCTTATAGACAACTGGCTGGGCGGCGCGGCTTGGACTTTGCCAAGCGTTTCACTGAGCCTTCCTTTTAGCGATGCCGCTTCCCGGGGGCCGAACGCTCTGCCTTGTGAAGCGCCGGGCTTGCAGCCGGCCTGAGAACGAGCGCCCACTCAGCTCTCCCGGGCTTTGGCAAGAAGAGGTGCAGGCTCCTTGGCCCCCATTTCCTCAGAGCTGCCAGGCCAAGTCTGTGCGGCTTCTATCGCGTCCCAGCACCTGGGCACCGGCTGAAGCAGTTTGCTTTTTGGCAATGGTGATTCGTATCAGCTGCAACTCTTCCTAGTGTGTGTGGTTTTTTAAGCCCCTTTCCTCCGCTCTGCTCAGAGGTCGCGGCTCTGAGTCAGAGGAACTCTATGTTCCCTGTGCCTGGTATTCCGTTTTTCTTTAAGGGGAGTCAAACATTGAAGGGGGGAAAAGGGGGTGAGATTTATTTCCCCATTGTTGAAAGAAGGGAACGTATTGACATGCCAGGAAGTAAAACCTGTTTTTTTTTTTTTTAAAAAAAGTTTTTTTAAAGAAAAAGACGACTTTCACCTTTCACTATGTTGCTCTTGAACCAGGACCAGGAATGAAAGTTACTGGGAGATAACTTCGAAGGATTTTGCAACAAATTCGAGCTGTCCGACTCTGAGAATGGTCAGTTTACCAATGGTTCATTTGCTATTGTTGGAAACAAGCAGGCAAATACTGATTGACCATCTTTTAGACTTGTGGAAGCCAGTCTGATACTGAGAGGGTAGTTGGATTATAAATGACTTGTCGGGTTCCTAGAGTCTTGTAACTACAACCGGTTTCTTTTCTCTTCTCTGACTTGTCCCACAAACAAACTCACCTATCTGAAAACACCTAGGACATTTGCTTATGATTCAGGGTTAGAGCAGTGTGGCAGACCTCAACCTTGAAAAGGCTTAAGTTGTCAATACAATAATAATTTTGTGAGGCTGTCAACAGATTTTTCCCCTGATCCATTTTAGCAGTCATTTTTTCTTATTTTTAAACTGCAACTAAGGAAATACTGTTTACCTAAGTATTAGATCAGATTAGCCTGTTACTCCATCACTGACTGTAATACCCAGGAATATTCTGTGGGAGTGCAGGCCAATGACTTTTACCTCATTATGTTAAAAAAAAATAGTATGTGTCTTGGCTGTTCTCAGTTCTCCTTTAATTATTCATTTAGATTTCATTTATCCTTCAGTTCACCTGAAGTTTACTTTTTGGATGTTGTCAACTTGTATAATGCATATGATTGAAAGTTTTCATTTGTTTCACTTCCTTGGTAAATAATATTTTCTGCTTATTTTATTCAAAAACTTCTTGAAGAGTATTTTCTATTAATACTTCTATTTAGGATTTGCCTTTAGCCCTAGTCTCATTAGGGGCTTTTTTTTTTCTTTAATTAAAAAAAAAGGATTTCCGTAGTCCCAAAGTCTGGTCTATCAGATCTTCACTCCTAGAGCCTTGGGGAAGTAGGAGCTTTTGGATAAATGATTTAAAATGTTTCAATTCACTGATTTTACTAATTTAAAGTGAAACCTGTACCTTTCAAAGTACTACCCAGAGCACCATGTTTTGAAATGCAAACTAGAACAGGAAACATTCATCAGAAATTATCTTGAATGGTTGATTCCTTTAATAAGCTACAATGTACCAGTTACGTACAAGCTCTGTATTGTATACGTTAGAGAATGCAAGGATGAGATCAGAAATGCGTTTCAGGAGCTCATAGTCTGGGTGACGCTATAATTTGATAAACATAATTTCAGCAAGGAGGCATTCAAGTTGTTTTAAAGGATTTCCATTTGAGTCTCTTTATACCTTCTCCTTGGGAAATCTCATTGATTTTCCTGTACCCTTAACTGATCAGTTCACACATCTGCATTGCCAACCTTGACTTTCTTCTACATCTAGTCTTACATCTTAAATTGTGTGGATGACACCCATCGCTTCCAATAAAGCACATTCCTTCTCCTAAGGGGAATTAGTTATGAGTTCCCAATTTCTGTTAATGGTGTTATCTTTCACTGATAAGTAACTGTTAAACCTCCTGAATAATCTCTGATTCTTCCTCCTTTCATCCCCCTGTATCTACCAGTTGTTAAGCTCTGTTGCTTCTTTATTCTTAGTGTTTCTTATATCTTTCTCTTCCCATGACCACCCTCATTCAGGACTTTGTTGTTTTGTGCCTGCACTACCACAGCGTCCTTTTAATTATTTTTACTGTCTTTAATGTCTTACACTCTCAGTGCAAGTCCATGTCTACTTAAATTTTCCTAAAGAACTCTTCCTACAGCCGCTCCTCGGTTTCTTTTCTTGATTGAATTTGTTTTGCCCAAAGGCCCAAGTTTATATTCAGCTTCAGAGTTGAGATTCTTTATTTTCTTATCTTTTTTTTTTTTTTTTTTTTTTGAGATGGAGTTTTGCTCTTGTTGCCCAGACTGGAGTGCAGTGGCGCAATCTCGACTCACTGCAACCACCGCCTCCGGGGTTCAAGCGATTCTCCTGCCTCAGTCTCCTGAGTAGCTGGGATTACAGGCATCCACTACCATGCCTGGCTAATTTTTTTGTATTTTTAGTAGAGACAGAGTCTCACCATGTTGGCCAGGCTGGTCTCAAACTCCTGACCTCAAGTGATCCACCCACCTTGGCCTCCCAAAGTGCTGGGATTACAGGTGTGAGCCACTGCACCCGGCCGAGATTCTTTATCTTCTACATGAACCTGCTATCCTGTATAAACCGGCTTTCTCAGGTTAGAGTGATACAGAATTCTTCCAAACTCCAGTAAATCTTATTCTTCTTACTCATTTGTACATATGAATTTTAACTTTGTATATATATATTCTGTACATCTACTTTGAGCTTCTGCCATTTGCTAGGCAAGCATGGTGTTGAGTTTGGGAATACAGCCGTAAGCTACACAGACCTCTGTCCTTTTGGAAATGTTAGCCTAGTGGGAAAAATAGATATCAAATAATCACACAGTTTGTGAATGGTGATTAGTATTATGAATGAAGTATATAGGGTGCTGTTCAAAACATGTCATAGAGGAAACTGATCTAATATGGAGGGCAATAGGAAGAACTAGGGAAGGTTTCCCTGAAGAAGTGATGCTGAGCTGAAAGTTCAAGGATAAGTAAGAACTAACTAGAAAAAGTGACAGAAGAAGAGCATACAAGGCAAAGGGAACTGCTTTTGCAGAGGTCTTTAATAATACTCTATCTTGTCGTATTAGAGAGTAAATTAATTCAGAAGTAACACTTTGTCTTGCAAATCCTAGGTACTCAGTAAATGTTTGATTGAACTATCTATTTTGGAGGGTTGGACAAACTCTCCAGCCCTGTTTCTAGACTGCACTATGACCACCCCATCCCTCTTTGGTTTGCATTTAACATTACAACATCACCCTTTTCAACAAATTCATAAATTTCTGCAATGTTTTCTATACTTTTGAATTATGTTGATTGCATTTTTAAAAACATTTATTTTGAAATAATTATAGATTCACAGGAAGTTGCAAAGATAGTACAGACAGGTCCCTGTGTACACTTCACCCAGTTTCCCTCATAGGTTACATCTTATATAGTTACATTATAGTATCAAAACAAGGAAATTGATCTTGGTATAAGTATGTATCTGTTTCTGTATCATTTTATCACATGTTTATTTGTGTTACCATTACCACCACTGTCAAGATACAGAACTATTCCGTCACCGCAAAGATCTCCCTCATATTCCCTCTTTATAGTCCCACCTACCCAGCCTCTCCCCGCAACAGGTATCCCTAACCCCTGGCAACCATAATCTGTTCTCCATCTCTATAATGTTGTCATTTTCTATAATGTCATATGAATGGAATCATACAGTATGTGACTTTTTGAGGTTGTTTTTTGTCACTCAGTATAATGCTTTTGAGATCTATCCATATTGTTGTATGTAGCAGTAGTTCCTTTTTATTGTTAAGTAGTATTTCATGGTGTGGATGTACCACAGCTCGTTTAACCATTTACCTGTTGGGCGTTTTGGTTGCTTCTAGTTTTTGGCTATTATAACGTAGTATGAACAATCATGTACAGGTTTGTAAGGACATAACTTTTCATATCTCTGAGCTAAATGCCCAGGAGTGCAATTGCAGGATCAGATGGTAAATGCATGTTTAATTTTAAAATAAACTGACAAACTTTTCCAGAGTGGCTGTACTATTTTACATTTCTACCAGTAATATATGAGACATTGTTTCTCTGTATCCTCACTGCCATTTGATACTGTTATTATTTTTATTTTAGCTGTTTTAGTAGATGTGTAGTAATATCTCATCATGGTCTTAATTTGCATTTCCCTAATGATTAATAATGTTGAGAATATTTTTATTATTTATTTATCCTTTTTTTTTTTTTTTTTTTTGAGACGGAGTCTCCCTCTGTTGCCCAGGCAGGAGTGCAGTGGTGTGATCTCAGCTCACTGCAAGCTCCGCCTCCTGGGTTCACACCATTCTCCTGCTTCAGCCTCCTCAGTAGCTGGGACTACAGGTGCCCGCCACCACACCTGGCTAATTTTTTATATTTTTAGTAGAGACGGAGTTTCACTGTGTTAGCCAGGATAGTCTCAATCTCCTGACCTCATGATTCACCCTTCTCGGCCTCCCAGAGTGCTGGGATTACAGGCTTATTTATCCTTTTGAGACAGTCTTGCACTGTCACCTAGGCTGGAGTGCTATGGCGTGATCTCAGTTCACTGCAACCTCTGTCTCCTGGGCTCAAGCAATCCTTCTGCCTCAGCCTTCCAAGTAGCTGGGACTACAGGTGTGTGCCACCATGCCTGGCCATGTAGACGGGGTTTCACCATGTTTCTCAGGCTGGTCTGGAACTCCTAAGTGTAAGCCATACTCCCAGCTCAGCCTTTCAAAGTGTTGGGATTACAGGTGTGAGCCACTGCACCTGGCCTGAAAATCTTCGCTTATTTGCCATCCATGTTTTCTCTTTGGTGAAATATTTCTTCATGTCCTTTTGCCCACTTTCTAATTGGAGTGTTTGCTTCTTTACTGTGGTGTTTTAAAAGCTCTTTATAGGTTTTATTTTTATTTTATTTTATTTTTGATATGTGTTTCGCTCTTGTTGGCAAGGCTGGAGTGCAATGGCCTGGTCTCAACTTACTGCAGCCTCTGCCTCCCAGGTTCAAGCGATTCTCCTCTCTCAGCCTCCCAGGTAGCTGGGATTACAGATGCCCACCACCATGCCTGGCTAATTTTTGTATTTTTAGTAGAGATGGGGTTTCACCATGTTAGTCAGACTGGTCTCAAACTCCTGACCTCAGGCAGTCTGCCCATCTTGGCCTCCCAAAGTGCTGGGATTACAGGTGTGAGCCACCGCGCCGGCTTATCTTATTTTTTGAGAGAGTTTTGCTCTGTCATCCGGGCTGGAGTGCAGTGGTGTGATCTCAGCTCACTGCAACCTCTGCCTCCCAGGCTCAAGAGATTCTCGGGCCTCTGCCTCCCAAGTAGCTCAGATTACAGGCGTGTGCCACCGCGCCCAGCTAATTTTTTGTGTGTATTTTTAGTAAAGATGGGGTTTCGCCATGTTGGCCAGGCTGGTCTCAATCTCCTGGCCTCAGGTGATCTGCCCACCTTGGCCTCCCCAAGTGTTGAGATCATAGGCGTGAGCCACCGTGCCCAGCCAAAAGCTCTTTATATGTTTTAAATCTGAACCCTTTGTAAGATAGGTATTTGCAAATATTTTCTCCTAATCTGTAACTTGCCTTTTCATCCTCTTAACCACAATTTAAGATGAACCTTGATCTCATACCTTATACAAAAAGTAACTCAAAATGGATCATAGATTTTATCATAAAATAAAACTTTTAGAATAAAACAGGAGAAAATCTGCAGAACCTTAGGTTTGGTGAATAACTTTTAGACATAACACCAAATGCATTACTTATTAAAAAATTGATAAATTGGACTTTACCAAAATGAAAACTTACGCTCTGTGAAAGACCCTGTTAAAAGGATGGTTGCATTTAATTTTGGTCACTTTGTAATGGTAGAGAGGTAAGGTAACAAATTGTCTTTGAATCACTTTGTAGGCTATTATAAACAGCTGGGCACTTGTTGATTTTTAATTGTCTTCTTTACAGTCCTTTCCCAGTGGCATTACGTCTTTTTTTTTTTTTTGAGACGGCGTCTCGCTCTGTCTCCCAGGCTGGAGTGCAGTGGCGCGACCTCAGCTCACTGCAACCTCCGCCTCCTGGGTTCATGCCATTCTCCTGCCTCAGCCTCCCGAGTAGCTGGGACTACAGGCACCCACTGCCACGCCCGGCTAATTTTTTGTATTTTTTAGTAGAGACAGGGTTTCACTGTGTTAGCCAGTATGGTCTCGATCTCCTGACCTCGTGATCCGCCCGCCGCGGCCTCCCAAAATGCTGGGATTACAGGCGTAAGCCACTGCGCCCAGCTTTTTTTTTTTTTTTTTTGAGACGGAGTCTCTGTCGCCCAGGCTGGAGTGCAGTGGCGCGATCTCGGGTCACTGCAACCTCCGCCTCCCAGGTTCACACCATTCTCCTGCCTCAGCCTCCCGAGTAGCTGGGACTACAGGCACCTGCCACCACACCCAGCTAATTTTTTTGTATTTTTAGTAGAGAAGGGGTTTCACTGTGTTAGCCAGGATGGTCTCGATCTCCTGACCTCGTGATCTGCCCACCTTGGCCTCCCAAAGTGCTGGGATTACAGGCGTGAGCCACCGTGCCCAGCTGTCATTATTTTTTTTTTTTTGAAAAATAGCTGTTAGAACTGTATAGGGTATTCCAAATCTGGATATTCCTTCATTTTGTTCTGTTCTCTACAGTTATAAGCATATTGTTGGCCTTGCCTATAGCTACTTAATGATTTATTCTCTTACATCCATAACTGGCAATAATTAGGAAAAAAAATTGCTGTGAAGTCGAACCCACTATCCTGTAAACATAAATTTGGCCTCCCTAGGTTTTTAGTAATAAATGCAAAATAAAATCTGTACAGCACATTTTAAAGTTTGCCATTAGTTTACAAAGCACTAATAAGTACAGGGTATGTCAGTAGGTGGTCCTAAAATAAATTCATCAGTAAATCGCCAGGTGCAGTGGCTCACACCTGTAATCCTAGCATTTTGGGAGGCTTGGGCAGGTGGATCACCTGAGATCAGGAGTTCGAGATCAGCCTGACCAACATGGTGAAACCCCGTCTCTACTAAAAAATACAAAAAAATTAGCCAGGCATGGTTGCAGGCGCCTGTAGTCCCAGCTACTCGGGAGGCTGAGGCAGGAGAATGGCGTGAACCCGGGAAGTGGAGCTTGCAGTGAGCCGAGATTGCGCCACTGCAGTCCGCAGTCCGGCCTGGGCGACAGAGCGAGACTCCGTCTCAAAAAAAAAAAAAAAAAGAAACTATCTCAAAAAAATAAAAATAAATTCATCAATGAATCAATGTGAACTTTCTAATCTTTAATGGCAGTGTGTGAAAAATGAGAGGTGCTCATTGTATGTTTCTGGACATCTTGCTGTGTATTTAAGGAAAGACTAAGATAGTGCATGTTCAGGAAGTCTTTTAAACTCTGCAAAGAATCAGAAACACATTTATGTAGGGTCTTCAGATTTTACTTTTGAGACCTAGCCTTCTTATCACCTCCTATTTTCGCTAAATTTTAAAATACTTACTGTCAGCAGACAGGAATGTCAGTGATTCTGACTTGTATGTTTTTCAATTCTGATTTGGCATTTGTTTTGCAGTACCATCTGTCCTGTTGGCTTCTGGGTAAAGAGACGGTATTACATGAAAAAAAACAAAGCTCCTATTATCCTCTAGAAATTGGAGAGC
Organism: Homo sapiens; assembly: GCF_000001405.40. NCBI lineage: Eukaryota > Metazoa > Chordata > Mammalia > Primates > Hominidae > Homo > Homo sapiens. The sequence goes on from NC_000003.12 coordinate 138,195,736, forward strand.
AGCTGCCTTCACTGAACAGTAGTGCTATGATCCCTGGGACTGTTGAGATAGAAATTAAAGGTATTGCAAATAAGAGCAGTTTTACAGAAATAGCCCCCTGCCCCACCACTTGTCATTTTGTTGAAAAAAAAAAAAAAAACTGTTTTGACCACATTCCCTAATTTCAGAGGAATGAAGAGTTACATTTTCTAGCATATTCATAATGTAGGTATTAGAGGAAGGAGGAATGATGAAACAGTGTAAGGCTTTATATTAAAAATAAAAAGTTGTGGTCCAATGGGGAGTTTTCAACCTATAAGATCTATTAATATTGGGAGGTCTTTACCACCTGGAAAGTAATTATCGAACACATGCTTCTTTTGCCTTAGGGGTGTTTTTAAGAATTTCTTAGGCTTTCAGAAAGCTAATGGTGATTGATGGGATAAGGGAGACTAAGGAAAAGGAAAGAGTCATGATGATCATTATGATAAAGCATGATTCACAGGATTTATGCCTTTTTGGCCAGGTGGTATCATCTTCTGAGACGGTGAGAATTAGGAGAGGAATTTGTTAGGGGAGTAAGTAGGAAAATGAGTTTCATTTTGGACATGCCAAATTTGTAGTCAGTTGGAAAAAAAGGTTGAGTACCTAAATCTGGGGTCATGATCATTATTTTGGCATCATCAGTGTATTGATCTCTGGTTCTTAGCTGTTTAAGGATGAGAATCTCAATACCTGCTTTCCCAGGAGAACATGCATATGCCTAAATAGTTGCATAATTTCTAGAGATTGCTGGATTCCCTGAAACCCAGAAGTCACTCCAGAATTAACTTCTTCACCTGTCCCAGTGTGAGTCAAGAAAATGTAGCAAAAGCCAGGCACGGTGATTCACGCCTGTAATCCCAGCACTTTGGGAGACTGAGGCAGGTGGATCATCTGAGGTCAGGAGTCTGAGACCAGCCTAACATGGTGAAACCCCGTTTCTACTAAAAATAAAAAAAAATTAGCCAGGTGTGGTGGCGCACACCTGTAATCCCAGCTACTTGGGAGGCTGAGGCAGGAGAATTGCTTGAACCCGGGAGGCAGAGGTTGCAGTGAGCTGAGATCGCACCCTTGCACTCCAGCTTGGGCAACAAGAGTGAAACTCCGTCTCAAAAAAAATTTTTTTTTAAGTCATTTAAAATCATTTTGGAATGGTAAAGATTGTAGCAATAAGGTATTAAAACTCATGTGAGCTATTATGTGTGGGAATTGTTTCTGAAGAGCTACAATTTTTTACCCAGAGTATGCCAGTAATCTCCTAGAAGGTGTACTTTGTTCACAGAAAGGGCATTGTGTAGCAGGCCTGGGATGCAAAGCTAGGTTATCTGGAGATCCAAACAAACTACAAAGTAAGGTGATTGTGGGTCTGGACACAGGCAAAGTGGAATAGACAGATTCGAAGTGGCCTGCGATATTGCCGTGATTGTCACAGGCCACAATGTGGGTGACAGGTCAGGTCTGACAGATCTTGAGTGGTACTGTAATAGGAAAGTGAATGCACCAGCTGCTGCAAATGATGGGCTGAGTCTGAGGCAAGCACCATGGATAGCTCCAAGGCAGGGCTATTACTGCCTGTAAGAATCTGAAGCAAATAAAGCCCTTTTTTATCAGGAAGGCGCCTGGCCTGTCTGAACAATACTACTTCGAAGGTGTGCCATGAAAGATGGTACCCAGGATCTCTAAGTAATTACATGACAGCAATTTTGAATAATAATTTCAACTATTCTTATGGGCCAGGACAACACCTCACCCATATCTGAATAGCCTCACTTTGTTATGTGAGGATTGAGAAGTTGGCATTTAAATACATCCTAGTGGACTTCTTGGGTCATCTTATCACCTTGGGAGGCATATAAATGAACCTCAACCAATCCAGAGGATATCTCAGTCTTTGTGAAACTCCTGATCATTTTTGTAACCTTGCATGTGCTTTCCAGAGATAGTTCTTGCTCCCTTGGACTTTCAGATTATGCTGTCTCACACAGTGGGTTCTTATCTCATTTGCTCTATCCAGAGGTATCTTTTATTGACCCTCCGTTTAAGCATTCTCATCTACAGTGAAGAGTAAATGAATTGAATTTAATAGTGAGAAGAAACCTTAAAGATCTTCTAGAGCCAGATAGCTCTTTATGATTTATACCATATTTTAAAAGGGAAAACATCATAGTACTTGATTAGAAGCATGAATGCTAAATTACTTTCAGTCTTGTGACCACCAAGCATTTTATGGCAATATTTAATAGTTTACAAGGGCAATAAGAATGCATTATCACATTAAAAACTCACTACAGAGCCAGATGTGGTGCCGTACACCTGTAGTCCCAGCTCCTCAGGAGGCTGAGGCTGGTGGATCACTTGAGTCTGTGAGTTTGAGATTTGAGACCAGCCTACACAGCATAGCAAAACCCTGTCTCTTGGGGGCAAAAGCCAAACAAACAAAAAAAAAACTCCAGAAAAAGTAAAGGCTGCTCTTCATATCCCTTTTAATCTAACTGTGCCCTGGCTTTTCTTTTATGAAAAAAGAAACTCCCTCTTTGTTTGAGTATAAAATCATGGAATCTTTTCTTGGAAGAAACCTGCAGATAATCTTTAGTTCATTCTTGTCATTTTTTATTGAGGAAAACTGAAAACCGGAGAGGCTGGCTTGCCCACTGTAATATAAAATATCAGAGTCAGATCTCCAGACTCCCACTTTTTAAAAACAAAATTGTGTGTATAGCCTTATATTGTATATTCTTTATTATTATTATTATTATTATTATTATTATTTTTTGAGACAGATTCTCACTCTTCTCACCCAGGCTAGAGTGCAGTGGCACCGTCTCGGCTCACTGCAACCTCCGCCTCCCGGGTTCAAGTGATTCTCCTGCCTCAGCCTCCTAAGTAGCTGGGACTGCAGGTGCGTGCCACCACACCCAGCTAATTTTTTGTATTTTTAGTAGAGCCGAGGTTTCACTGTGTTAGCCAGGATGGTCTGTATCTCCTGACCTTGTGATTCCCCTGCTTCGGCCTCCCAAAGTGCTGGGATTACAGGCATGAGCCACTGCGCCCGGCCATATAGCCTTATATTTTAGAGTTTTTTTTTCAAATTTGATAAGCACTGATTAATTTACTATTTATTTTTGATAACGTGAAGTCTGGTTTTTGGTCTTTGCTGAGAAGTCAGGCTTACCTCTTATGCTATACAAGTATATTAAATTTAAAAATTATATATTTTAGTGTTTTTATGATTGTGTTTGTGAAATTAAAGTAGATTCCATGCTAGGAATCTCAGTTTCCTTAGTATGTTACATTCTACACTGTTGAGGCCCAGATGCATTGTGAAGTAACATTTTAGAAACTTTCCGAAGTTACTAGAGGCTACAGTACAGAGCTTTGATTAATCTTGGGAGGGAGGATGCAGTGAAACTTGACGTACCAAAAAGTGAATAAGGATAAAATTGGTTGCAAAAATAGTACACAAGGGGTATAAAAGGAATTGAATGTTTTAAATCTCATCAAGTCCTAATGGGGCTAGAAGTTTACCAGAATACAAAGAGCAAAACAAAATAAAACCAAAAAAGCCTACATCAAAATCTTGGGTTTTGGATAGTATTTGGGAATTTTCTTCTGATTTTTTTCTCCTTTTGGAGAAAATTGGAATGTAGGAATTTTGGAATACCTAAGAAGGACATGATAGCTGTCTCCAAGTAAAAGGTCTGTCTTTGTGGATAGTGTTATCCTTTTTTGTTCCAAGTAGAGGCAGATTTTTTTCCCTCAAAATTAGGAAAGAATTGCCTAACAATTAGTTTTGTCTAATAGTGAAATTAACTCTGGCAGTGAAATAGTACACATCACCAGAACTCTTCAGGCAGCAGTTAGGCAGTTGTATTTAATATTGTTTGTCTTTCATGATTTCATGAGAACACAACCAGAACGAAGGGGAAGACGTGATTTGAAATTAAAGCACAATTTAGTAAAATGCTGCTTTTAAAGTATTGGTGTCTGATATTCTGTATTGTGGTAGTCCTAATCTCTGTAGGGACAAGTACAAATACATTGTCACTGGGCTTTAAAATGAATAATTGAGAATTTGTGATTGATCTGAGCAGTGTACTTGGTGGCATTTTAGTAAATTGTCACAGTGACAAAAGGAAGTATTTTTTGAACTGAGGGTTTTGGAGGTATCAGAAAATCAAATTTTGGTTTCACATTGTTTTAGGGATAGAAGGAGGTTCTGGGGCTCCCAGTTGACCGGAAGGTTGAGTTGTTTCAGTTTGTGGTTTCCCAACCCTATCAGACTCACACACTCTGCTTATAATAGATATTTTGTGGCACTTTTTTGGCTATCTTGAAGTGGCATTCATAGATAAGTTAACTGTCCTCACATGTAACTTTTAAAAAGTTGATATAATGCTCCAGCTGTAATAAAGGAGAAAGGCATGAAGCTAATTTATAACATCATTTAAACCCGTAAATACTCAGGTCCTGCTATACCAGAAGTAATTAAGTAACGGTATGTTTGTAAATATACATAGTTTTGTTGTGAATGTGACAGTTACACTGCAGACTGATATATGTTGTAATGTTTTTATGTGACTTTCTGAAATGAATGACTTTTGGTAAAGTTCCTACCAGGACAAAATACCACCTTTTCTTTATTCACATGAGTTACATTCTTGGAAAATCGATTGTACATTAAAATGGTACAAAACATATTTTGTGTTTCTATGTAAAATGGAATTATACTCTAGGTTTTTTGCCTACATGACTGGAGAGTGGAAAGTTGGGGGATGTGTGCCTATTATCCCAGGACATCTAGCATCTTTAGTCCTTGCCCACTAGATATCAGTAGCATTTGCTGTCATTGTGACAGCCAAAATCATGTTTCAGACTTAAAAAATGGATCCTGATTAGAACTGCTGAGAGCATGGGGCTTTCTGAGTGATGTGTGTGTCTTAGCATACACCCTTCCCTTTTCTCACCTCCACTTCCATCTCCCCTCCAGTGTGTGACAGTGTATAGTATAAGCACTTGGAAACAAAATATGCTATTAAACATTTTTTCCATGCTGGGTCTAGCCCTTAATATAATGATATCACTTATTTATTATGTTTATTGCTTTTTCTCTTTCTCCCTTTGTTGAAATGTACACACCCTTCAGTGGGCTTTTTTTTTTTTTTTTTTTTTTTTTTGAAATGGAGTCTCCCTCTGTTACCCAGGCTGAAGTGCAGTGGCGTGATCTTGGCTCATTGTAGCCTCTGCTTCCTGGGTTCAAACGATTCTCCTGCCTCAGCTTCCCCAGTAGCTGGGATTATAGATGCATGCCACCATGCCCGACTAATTTTGTATTTTTAGTAGAGACTGGGTTTCACCGTCTTGGCCAGGCTGGTCTTGAACTCCTGACCTCAGGTGATCCACCCACCTTGGCCTCCCAAAGTGCTGGGATTACAGGCGTGAGCTATGCCTGGCCTATTTTTTTTTTTAATGTTAGTTGCCTAGAATAGTGTCTGCATAGCTGTTTAAATATTTTCTTGACCAACTCAGTTAAAAAATACACTTCAGCATTGTTTTGTGTTCTCAACTGTATACTATATCATCGTAATACTAAATTACATTTTCTTTCTCAAACACTTTTTTGCTTTAGAGCTCTTGCATATGTTGTGCTCTCTACCTAGAGTCCTTGTCTTCTTCCCCTCCCTTTTTTTTTTTTTTTTTTTTTTTTTTTTTTTTTTTTTTTTTCCTGAGACAGAGTCTTGCTCTGTCTCCAGGCTGGAGTGCAGTGGTGCACTCTTGGCTCACAGCAACCTCCACCTCCCGGGTTCAAGCGATTCTCGTGCCTCAGCCGCCCAAGTAGGTAGCATTACAGGCACACGCCACCACACCCGGCTAATTTTTGTATTTTAGTAGAGACGGTGTTTCACCATGTTGGTCAGGTTGGTCTTGAACTCCTGACCTCACTCTCTGCCCGCCTCGGTCTCCCAAAGTGCTGGGATTACAGGCGTGGGCCACTGCGCCCGACCTTACCCTTCCCTTTTTCACCTGGCAGATTAATATTAATCTTTCAGATTACTCATCCTTACTTAGAGATTATTTTCCATCTTGTCCCTAACTTCAATGATATCTTCAATTTTCTTTTTACGTTGTGTTCACTTTTATGATTACACTAAATCACTTTAATATGGTTACACTTGTAACTTGCTTGTTTACATGGTGTTTCCTTTCTGTGCTATGAAACCCTGAGGGTAAGGAACTCTGTTTACATCCAGAACCTGGCATAATTCCTGGTAAATTAATGATACAATTTGAATTTCATTTAAAATCGAACTTTTGTAGAGTTCAAACTTCCTATTTTTGTGTTTGTTTCTTTCATCTCTCCCCAAACCAGGATTTTCTCTCACAATGCTGAATTATGAACAGTTTTATCTTGAAGTTCCTACTAGTTTGTGGACTAATTGACATGTTAAATTTTGATTAGCAACCACTGGTTTAAACATTCATTTCGTCTGGGGTCAGAATACCTCATTGGGAATTGTAATGCTATTTTAATTTCTAAAGAGCAAATGAATTAAATGAATAAGTAGATATGAAAATGAACTAGAACATACTAAACAAGTATATTTGGTTTTTGCTGAGTATTTAGCTTAGTTTGAGAGTAAGCTGCTATTAGTTGAGGATGGGTATTTTTGAATAATTTAACTTTAACCATGAATGTGAATAACTGAGGACTATTAGTACCCTTGTCAAAGCAAATTACCCTCTTTGCACAGAAATAGAATTACTCTGAAAATCGGTATTTCAGGATACTTTTACAGTTTACAAGGGATTTTCTGTGTGATTTGAGGCACAGCCTGAGACGTGATAACATCACCATTTTATTATTAAAGAAACAGTCTCAAATTTTACCTTTTTCCAAAGTTGCATAGCTAGTAAGTGGTAAAACTAAAATTCATACCTAAGTCTTCAAATGCCAAATTATTTGTTCTTTCTGCTACATGATATCTGAGTATGTTAGAAATAAAGAACACTATATTTTGATAAAATATACACAGAGCAAGACTTTATTGAAATAAGTTTGGTATTTTCCTATTAGCCTTCAAATTTTTATTCTTCATTGTCTAATAAACTAATGGTTTTACCCTAAAACTTGAGTTGAACACTTATTTTTCCCATTTTTTGAGTTAAATCCTATTCATGACAAGCCTGGAGTTTAAACCCTACCTGAATAAATTTTTTTCAAAAGGCAATGGTTTAAATTCACCATAGTCATGGGTAGTTTATTCAATCAAAGGGACAATCAGAGCCTGTTGTAGTTTGCCTTTTTAGGACATCTCACTAGTTTCCTGAGCTATCTGTAAGTTTTTCTGCTTTTCTTTTGCACTATTAAAGACAAACAAAAGGTGGGATTGATTACTCAGCTTAATTTGTCTCCAACAATCTTATTTTATGCATATTATTCTGTGACAGTTATTAATGATGCCCTCTTTCACTCTTAAAATTATCCTGATTTGGATGATAAATTCAAAGGCCTATAAGTTACCTATTGCTGTGTAACAAATTTCCCCAAAACTTAGCTGCTTAAATCATTTATTATCTCAGTTTCTGTAGGTTAGTAATACAAATGTGGCCTAGTTGGTGCCTCTGGCCCAAGATCTCTTATGTGGTTGCAGTGAGGGTGTCAGCAGGAGTCACAGTGTCATCTGAAGGCTCAGTTCAGGGAGAATTCAGTTCTAAGCTCACTCATGTGGTTGTTGGCAGGTTTTAGTTCCATGCCATGTGGGCCTCTCCACGGGGCAGCTCCACAGCCTGACAACTAGTTTCTGTTAGAGAAAAAGGGAGGGGGCAGGGAGAACTTGGAAGTTTCTGAAATGGCATCTTATTACCTCTGCTGCATTCCATTTGCTAGAACCTACTTACTTGATCCAGTCCTCACTCAAGGTGAGGGATTGCACGAGGGCGTGAATATCAGGAGGTGGGGATCATTGGGGCCTATCACAGATAGTCACCTTAATAAAAGGAAAACTGCTTCCACATAATACTTTTCCACAATGGAATACAACTCATTACCTGTTGCTGTTTTTGTTTTCCTGAATAAATTTACTTCAGACTTCTCCCCAGCTCTCTTATTCATGGCTGCTTCTGTGCATTTAATTGTAGCTGGAGAAAAACAGCCATGCTGATGGGTTTCCTGTCAAATTTATAATCACAAGCCTCAGTAAGCCCCTTATTGCTCTCTGGCAGTCCTGGTCCATTTTCCTGGCCCATTCAGTGTCTTATTCCTTCTCCTCTTTCTTCAAACCACTCACATTTCTTCCTCTATTTTTACTTTCCAAAAATAGAAGTAATCTGAAGAGAACTTTCACAAGCTCTCACCACCATATCCACCCAGGCTGGAGTGCAGTGGCTTGGATCTTGTGGAGTGATCTTGGCTCATTGCAACCTCCGCCTCTGTGGATCAAGCGATTCTTGTGCCTCAGCCTCCTGAATAGCTGGGATTACAGTCACCCGCCACTACACCTGGCTATAATTCCCTCTTGTTATTGTACTTACACATGCTCTACTTGACTAGTAAATCCCATTCTCCCTCAGTTATTCATGAACGTTGTTACAGTTCTCTCCCTTCTCATGCAGCATCAAATTGTCTTCTCTATTAAAACATTTCCGTCAATGAATAAGCATGCTCCAATTTATTCTGTCTTAAAAAATAGACTCTCTCCTGAGTCTACTTCTCCCTCTAGCTACTATATTTCTTTACTCCCCTTTACAGTGAAAAGCCTTCTTTCAAGGTTCTTGTTCTTCTGGTTCTTCTTTTCCCATTCTCTCTTAAACTCTCTCCAAGCAGGCTTTGGCCCCACTGTACTGCTGTTGTCAAGATCAGTGAACACCTCCATGTTCCTAAATCCAAAGGTTAGATCTTAATTATCATCTTAGCTACACATCACTAGGATTTGACATAGTTGATTAGTCCCCTTTTGAAATAGCCCCTTGATTTGACATCCTGGATTTCTTCACTCTACACTGGCTGCTTGTTTGACTACTCCAGAGCAGAGTCTTCCAGTCTTGCGGTATCCAGGATCACTCCCTTAGTTAATTAATTTCATTATATGCTGACAACATCTGATTTACACGTCTAGCCCACAACTTTTTCCTAAACTCTAGGCTTACATATCCACTGCCAACTTGACATCCTCACTTGGATGTCTAATATGATTCTCAATCCTAACATGTCCACAACTGAATTTTTGATCTTCCCAGTCAAATTCAGACCTCCTACAGTCTTCCTCATCTCATTAACTAGCAACTCAGTCTCTTTTCTTTTCTTTTCTTTTTTTTTTTTTTTTTTTTTTTTTTGAGGTGAAGTCTCACTCTGTCACCCAGGCTGGAGTGCAGTGACGTGATCTTAGCCCACTGCAACCTCCACCTCCCTGGTTCAAGTGATTCTCCTGCCTCAGCCTTCCGAGTAGCCAGGACTAAAGGTGCGCGCCACCATGCCCGGCTAGAGACAGGGTTTCACCATCTTGGCCAGGCTGGTCTCGATCTCCTGACCTCGTGATCTGCCCGCCTCAGCCTCCTAAAGTGCTGGGATTACAGGCGTGAGCCACCACGCCCGGCGGCAATTCAGTCTTTTAATGTGCTCAGGGAAGTAAGTGTTACCCTTGCCTCCTTTCTTCTCTCACACCCTACATCGAGTCTAATGGCTTATCCATTTTATAACTTCAGCACTTACCTGGAATCTGAATACATCTTCCACAGTGTTTGGTCTAGTCCATGCTACCATCATCTATGAAATAATAGCATTACCGGTGATGGAAATAACCTCCTTCCTAGTCTCCCTACTTTTGTCTTGTATTCCTTCCCTTTCTCCACACGTGTCTGTTCCTAAATTGCAACCAGAGTGATGCTTTAAAAACATAAGTCAGGGCCAGGCATTGTGGCTCACGCCTGTAATCCCAGCACTCTGGGAGGCTGAGGTGGGAGGATCGCTTGAGGTCAGGAATTTGATATCAGCCTGGGCAACGAGGTTGAGACCTTGTCTCTACTAAAAATAAACAAAACATAAGATAAGTACACACATAAGTCAGATCATGTGTCTATTTCCCTAAACCCTCTAATGGCTTCCCAACTTGGACCATAAAAATAAAAATCCTAACAATGACCAACAAAGTTCTATACTAGTGCTATCCAATGGAAAAAGGCAAGCCACATACGTGATTTAAAATTTTCTAGCAGCCATGCTGTCTAAAGTAAAAAGGAAACAAGTGAAGTTGATTTTAATGTTATTTAAACAAGTAAAGCAAAATATTATTTCAATATATCTGTGTAATAAGTTATTACTGAAATTTGTTGCAAAAATAGCAAGTCTTCAGTATCTGATGTATAGTTTATACAATTTGGATGCTAAATTTTTATTGGAAATACTTGATTCATATTTAGGTGTCATAAAGTTTATAGTTGAAAATGTAAACTCATATACCCAAGTAGTTCCAAATCATTCTTAAAAGTTTTAAAATAACTGAATCCAGTATTGGTTTTTTAATTTTAATTAAAGTTTAAAATATAAACAAAATTCACTTCCTAGCCACATTTCAAATTTCAATTGCCATATGAGGCTAGAGGCTGGCTTACTGGACAGTGCAGCTCTTTACCATCTGGCGCCTGTTCTCTGCCTCATCTCCTGCTGCTTTCTCCTTTGCTCATTCTGCTCCAGCTATAATGGCCTCCTATTCTTTGATTATGGCAGATACTTCTCATTTTAGGGCATTTGAATTTGCTGTTCTTTTTGCCTAAAAAAAGCTCTACCCCTAGGTAGGTGCACAGTCTGCTCCTTCACCTTCTTTAGGACTTCGCTCAAATGTCACCTTTTTAGACGTTCTTTCTCTTATCAACCCATTTAATATCTGTACAAATTGCCTTCTCTCCCTACCTCTTATATTTCTAGGCTGCCTTCTGAAAGAAGAGAGAAGAGGACTGGGAGGGGAGAGGTGACCTGATCTACAAGGAGCAGTGAAATATCAGAATTGTCCTATACAGATAAATGAATACATTAGACAAAAGCGTAGAGTAAGATAAGGTTGAATAAGTGATCATACCCCTTCAGCTTGCTTGCTGTCTGAGCAACTTATATGATTATTTTTGCGTATACATAACAATTTCAGATACTAAGCTTCTTAAATGCAAGGCTCTGCCTTAATGTCCTCTTATACCTTCTTTGGCATCTAGCATGTAACTTTGACCAAAAGGCAGTGTGAAATCTCCAATTGTGGTCCACCTATTGGTTAGCCTTTTGTGTTTTACATCCTGCGGTGCCTCTCTATCCTCTGTTCTTTTCAGTGCCAGCAACTAGTATACTTGCTGATTGTTTACTTGTATTGGCTTTGCATGCCCTGTGGCAATGATTGTGACATTGATTCTTTCTTTCCTTGTCCATCCTGGTACACTCTTACTCATTTTCCAAAGCCAATTCCTGAAAGAAGCCTTCCCTGATTCCCCTGGTTTACAAATGTCCTCCTCAGTGCCGCCTTTATGTTGTGTATACTATAATTCTTATATTCTAATAGGGAAATAATCATGTAAACATAGTAACAAGAGAATATGAATTCTTGAGAACAGGGACTGTGCCTTGCTTATCTTCTTTATTAAAGATAAATTTATTTTTAATGCTTTCCTCAGTGCATGTTATATTGAATGAACCAGGCACAGAGCAGCAAAAGAATTGCTATTAATGGGGGAAACTTATGTTAAGATACACATCATTGAGAGGTAAGAGATGTGGAGCTATAGACAGTAAAGATAGAACAGTAACATCAAAATCAATCTCTGGATAGGAGGGTCTGAGGTACTTAGAACTTACTATGTCAGAAAACCAGGAAAACATGTACTCAAATGGAGTGGCAAAACTTACCTGTTTGTATTATAGTAGTGCTTTTTTTCAGTTCTTCTGTAGCTTTTGGTTGTCATATATTGTTTCTTGATATGTTCGTACAGTTATTTGTGTCCTAACTGTACATTTGAAGATCTGACAAATGGGTAAAGATCATGAGAAGCCCCATTTGTAAACCGAGGGATTGAGCAGATTATTGTTGAGAGTCCTTCTAACTCTGTGATTCTGTTATTTTGAGGAAAACATGTGTTAGCAGGTGCTTTAATGGTACCCTGGTGGGCACAAGAATTTTCACCACTTTTGCCTCTTTGCTTCCACTGTTTGTTCTTTAAAAATGAAGTACATGCTAAAAGCAAGCATTTGAGCTGGATGTAGTGGCACATACCTGTAGTCAAGTTACTTGGGAGGCTGAGATGAGAGTATTCCTTGAGCCCAGGAGTTTGAGATCGGCCTGGGCAAGACGGCATCTCTGTTTTTTTTTTTTTGTTGTTGTTGTTGTTTTAAAGGAGGTATTTGAGTTGCCTTTGAGGATATTTTGGTAGCAAATTCAGAATACGAAAATATGTGTTGGCTGGGCACAGTGGCTCATGCCTGTAATCCCAGCACTTTGGGAGGCCAAGGCGGGCGGATCACGAGGTCAGGGGTTCAAGACCAGCCTGGCCAACATGGTGAAACCCCATCTCTACTAAAAATACAAAAATTAGCTGGATGTGGTGGTGCGCGCCTGTAATCCCAGCTACTCAGGAGGCTGAGGCAGGAGAATTGCTTGAACCCGAGAGGCGGAGGTTGCAAGTGAGCCAAGATCATGCTGCTGGACTCTAGCCTGGGCAACAGAGCGAGACTTCGTCTCAGGGGAGGGGGGAAGAAAATATATGTTGACTTAGTTAACTATATTATCAGAAAACTAGAGTTTGTGTAGTTCTCCAGAGTTATTTTTGGTGGCTCAAAAGTTTTAAGCTGGTACTGTGTCTTGGTAATTAACTTTTACTGATTTGGAGTTCTGAGTAAATTGGAAAAGTTATTTCTTCCTCCCTATAAGAACTTATTGCTAACGGCGGGGGAGTATATAAAGATATTTCAGCAGGCATCAGAAAAAACAAGCAGGGGACAAAACTTTTTCTCTGGTTCTTAAATATGGATTCTTTATTTTAAATAATATGAAGCATCAAAAATTAAATATTAAAAAAGAGTTACCCTCCAAAATAAGTATTACAAGAAATAACACAATAGAAAAACTTCACAATACAAATGAAAAGGAGGTAAGTGTCTTCCCTTTGTACTCTTTCTAATTCTACCCACCCTTATCCAGTTCAGTTGAGACAGCTTGGGTGGCCTACAGATCACTCTAATTCTTAATTGTTTTCCTTCACAGAAAGTGTGACAACTCCTTTATTTATTTTTACTTCTGCCTCCAGCAATGAAGCTTCTCTACATTAGTCTAAGGATTTCCTCTTGTACCTAGACTACCCCTTACAGACTGTTTCATGGAGTCCTCACTCTTCCCTGGCTGAGAGCCAGATTTTGTCCTTTTGTGTATACTAATTTATAGAAGTAATATTCCTATCTATTAATTATACGTACATGACACCCAGCAGTTAGTGAAGAAACTTAGCTTGCTGCTAAGTGTATATGCTAACATATTTGCCTAGGTCTTCTGTTGGCAAAACTTCTAGGGCTCGCCACAAAGGTCCCACTGTCTAGCTATGTGTTTAGTGAGAACTAGGAGTCTTCTTTCTTTTCTGTCTTACTGTTTATCTTTGTCATGAGCTTTTTTTCAGACTAATGTAATAAAGTATTTACAAAAATATACTTAATATCTTCCTGATGATTCTTCTGAATGAACAAAGTGATGTGCTTTGTAATTACGTTGATTTTCCAAACTCTCCTGCTAGTTTTAAGACATAGTAAAATGTATACCATGGACATTCTTACTTTTGAAATTGGGCATTCTTAGAAGAAAAATATTGATCTTTGACATCTTGAACTGAACACTACAGTTTCCCATTATTTTGATACCTGAGAGAGAAAAGTCACCTGCTTAAGTATCCCATATCATGAGGAGGCAAAACTAAGTATTTCATATAAATTTTAATGCATCTACCTTAAGTTAAATTATCTAGTCACTTGATATTGTGGGTGATGCTGTGAATTTGTGATTTGCATGGCTTCAGATGTCATAATTTTTCCCCCCACTTTCTAGGAAGTAACAGCTAGCAGTCGCCACTATGTTGACAGGCTATTTGACCCTGATCCCCAGAAAGTTCTACAAGGTGTCATGTAAGTAGTATGTATTTAAGAGTCTATCAAAAAGTTGTTTGTTTTCATGTTTTAATCTGCCACATATTTTAATTTTGAAAATACAGGGTTATACCTTTTTTCTTTCATTTGGCTTCTTTCTAGAAAGACTGCTTGACATTCATGACGTTTAATATTTTACCATAAAGAATTGTCTTTTGAATAGTTGTTAACTGACATGGTTAGCTTCATTTTTTGTAGAATACTTGTTTCACATTAAAAAAATGTTTTCTTTGGAGAATGCTTTTGCTTCTTTAATATCCACAAAAGCAGGAGAATAAGATTGATGGTCTTTCATAATTGGAATGCAGTGAAAGAATAGACCAGTAGGGTTTTTTGTTTTGCTTTGTTTTGTTTTTGGTTAACTCATTAACTGTCACCAAGATTGAGTCTCCTGTTGATGTTTTAAATTTCGAATTTAGAAAGCTGTCAGAAAATTTAAACTCTTAATAACCATAATGCCTTTTTTTCTCCAAAATTTCATGTTTAATGAGAGGAAACATTTTTAAGCAACATACCAGAGGTAATTATGCTCTTAAAAAATTAAGAGAAGCAAGTAGGATAAGATTTCAGATTTATTCCCTTTCCTTTGAGTTTCAGATTATCATACTCTTAGCGCATTAGTTCTAAGGAGGAAGGTCTAGACTAAGGCTTATCATGGGGTTGGGAAATGTGAAGGATCCACAGGCCTGAACTGTGTCTATGGGAAGAAAGACACAAAAAAGGGTCAAGATACATTTGGGTAATGATGAGGGCGCCCATGAGGGAGGCCTCTTTCTTTTTCTCTAATCCCATAAGCATTGTCAGCCAAATAGTACTTTAACTTGTGCTTAGCCATGGCAAGGCTGGGATGCTTTGTTTATACAAGTTTCTTCGGACTGCAGTTCTTAAAGCCTCTCTCCCCAAAGGCATTGTAGGCTTTGGAGTTGTGAATTTATAAAGGGAGGTAAAATAAAAGTGCTGTAAAACTGCTTGGCTATTCAAATTGAGCTGGAAGGGAAGGTGGGAAGCTGGTTAGGATCCACCGAGATACTTGACGCTTATTTTCACGGCTTCTCAGTTTACAAAAAACGGTGGTATTTCTGGTGTTCTCATTATGTTAACTTTGCCTTTGTTCCCTTAAGTAGGAGACTTTATAATTATTTAATCACTCCTTTTTAGACTAGTTTAATTATTACCAGGAAAAATGGTTTATTAAATCCATCTATTAAATAAATCAGTTTGGGTTGTACCTACACACACAAGTTCGTCAAGGGGGCAGGTTTTACTTAACACTCTTCCTTAGACAGATACTCTCCACATATAACCAGATAGCTCCGTATATAGATAATTCTAAGTATTACTTAAAATTACTCAATAAATGGTTGAGAATGTTAGACTTATTAAGTGTTCAATAAATGGTATTAAAAGATGATATCACTGCTACTATGTTTAGGAGAAAGCTGTTTAGTAATCAAGAATTCTGTGTGATAGACTGGTAGAGTTCTATCTGATATGAGTAGCTGATTCGAATGTTGTCACTTTGAGAAATTTTTTACTTACCAAAGAACACTAGTTTCTCAAAAATTGATAAAATACCAAATGATAAAAGTGGGAAAGATAGAATTATGACAAAGCAGCTAAAATGTAGTTTGATAGCCTTAGTGTCTTTTGAAAAACTACCAGTTTGAGACCTAATTAGCTGTCAGCTAGACATAAAGAAATGTTTGTGTGAAGGAATGGTAGAGTAGAAGGAGCGTGGGGTTTGGAGTTGGACCATAGTGGTTTGAATTCCTAATTCTGACATTTTCTGTTATGGTCCCTTTCTAGTGGTGTGCTTGGACAAGTTTTGTAATTTCATTGAGCCTCAATTTCATCATCTGTAAAGATAACACTGCCCATATTGCCAGGTTGATGTGAGAATTAAATCAGAATTATAAAATTCAATGTCTGATACGTTGTGGATCAGTTGGCACTTAAGTGGTTAGTTGTTATTAGCTCCAATTTAAAACAACTTAAAAAAAAAGATAATTCTCCTCAAAGAAGAGAAAGGGGGAAAAAAACAGAGGAGACAGTTCAAACTAAAGTAGAAGAGAGAGAGGGACTAAAATTCCTAACTCAGACAAGAGAATGTGAGTGATAACATTCTAGTAAACGTGATTGCTACTTAAAATACTAAAATCTGTTTATAGTTTAAAGGGGACAGATCACCCAACATTTTTTTTTCTTTATCTCAGAGTAATACTGATCTTATGGAGATAGTGTAGTGTGATTTGATAAAGCTTCCTTTTCTCCAGATAGAAATATTTATTCTTTCTGACTTCTTTCTTAAACTTTGTTACTGTCTGAAAATTAATTGTACATGGTCAAGAGAATGAAAAGTGGATTACTTTCAACATTATCTGTCTTTAAGTAATCTTTTTTTTTTTTTTTTTTGAGACGGAGTTTCACTCTTTTTGCCCAGGCTGCAGTGCAATGGCGCGATCTCGGCTCACCGCAACCTCCACCTCCCGGGTTCAAATAATTCTCCTGCCTCAGCCTCCCGAGTAGCAGGGATTACAGGCGCCCACCACCATGCTCGGCTAATTTTGTATATTTAGTAGAGACGAGGTTTCTCCATGTTGGTCAGGCTGGTCTCGAACTCCTGACCTCAGGTGATCCACCTCTCGGCCTCCCAAAGTGCTGGGATTACAGGCGTGAGCCACCGCGCCTGGCCTAAGTAATCTTGTTTAATACAATATGTATAGAAAAAGGGAATGAAAATGGTATTTAGGAAAAGAGAGTTGACCAATTTTTTGATTTTTATACACCTCACAGTCATCATTAAGTCACCATTAAGTCATCATTAAGAGACCATTACTAGACCAAAATAGGTAGGTAGAAAGATGGCCACAGAGTATAAACAACCAAAGGTAGCCTATTAATTTTAGGGAAGGAAAAGGTAGAGGCCGAAATAGCATTAAATCCAAAATATTTAATTGAAAGGACATAAAATAATTGACAAAAATTGTAGCTTTGACTACAAGCCAACCAGAGTTTTATCATTTTTCTGGCTCTTTCAAGTTTGATTTTTCTCAATAAATGTTGTGAACATATACGAGGCATGGTGGAAGGCATGTGTAGTTAACAGTTGCTTGGGAGGCTGAGGCAGGAAGATTGCTGGAGCCTAGGAGTTCAAATCCTGCCTGGGCAACACAGTGAGACTCTATCTTGAAGACAAATAAGATTGTGAACATGTGTAGCATACTAGCAGGAAAAGCAAAATCAAATTAAAGATGAATAATGATTCTTCATCATAGTCTACAACTAATCTACTAGCTGAGTTAGAGCTATAGATCTACCCATAAATATGGGAACTTTGTAGATAGCTCACATCACAGTGAACCATTTTACCTAGTCAGTGAGTATGCCTTGTTGAAAGATTAACATTAAGCATCAGAACTGCTTAATTTTCAATTGTTGAAGAATGCAGAGTTATCTAGAGATAAATTTGTTAGTAGCACAATAGTTAGCATAAACTTGAATTGTCCTGTTGTGTAAAAGGTTTGAATACAAAATCAGGTCCTTTTCTCTAAAAGAGCAAAATTTCATGTGCATAACTGAATAGATGATCATTAAGTAGGGAGTAAGATACGAGCTGAAAGAAGAGGGAAGTCACTGTGTAGGTCATAAAGCGTAGCCTTCGCAACTACAACAGAAGTAGGTATGTCAGTTAAACTACCCTGCATTGCAAATTCTGAGCTTCCTGTAATATGGAGATCTGCATGTGACTTAAAACATTGCAGGACCTTTTTTGTGAAGTTATTTTAGTATTGGTTCAACCAAGTTAAATCTCATACTTGAAGAAGAAGAAGAACTCTTCATATGATTTTGTAAATCATGAGTGAAAGCTACTTAAACAGTTTTGTTTTGTTTTCTTAACATAACAAAATTAGAGCACTTGATCTGGTTTTCATGTTAGTGAATTTCAATGAAAAGATTAACAGAGGCCAGGCATGGTGACTCATGCCTGTAATCCCAGTACAGTGGAGAGACCAAGGCGGGCGGATCCCTTGAACCCAGGAGTTCCAGCTTGGACAACATGGTGAAACCCATCTCTACAAAAATAAAAATTAGCCAGGCGTGGTGGTACGTGCCTGTAGTCCCCACTACTTGGGAGGCTGAGGTAGAAGGATCCCTTGAGCCCAGGAGGTGGAGGTTGCAGTGAGCCGAGATTATGCCACTGCACTCCAGCCTGCGTCACAGAGTTGTTTTTGTTTTGTTTTGTTTAAAAAAAAAAAAAAAGGTTAGCAGATATCCCTACATGGCCCTTTGTTGATATTGCTATGTTGAAAAGCAAAAGATGATATAAGCCAACGTAGCTAGCTTTGTAGTTTCAGAGTTTAATAGAATTAGAAAGCTTGACTAGACCTCTGGTGAATTCAGTCAGGCACTTGTGGATGCTGCAGAATCATGTGATTTTTTTTTTTTCCCCCACCAAGAATCCACTTCTAAAGTGTCTTCTGAAGCATTTTAATGTACTGATGATATGAGTTTATTTTGGTAATGATTAATTCTCTTAGCTCCAGGAAATTTTGTATCTCTGGTTTCAGTAGAATGTAGACAGGTTCCATTTTCTTGCATGAGCTAAAGATAAAGAGTTCCCATAAAATGAAGCCTTTGGGTTTTGAGAACTTTTAAGTTAAAGGGTTAAGTTTTAGAATAATTGAAAATAAGTATTCCAAAAAAATCATTTAAAAAATTTCTTCTCCTAATACATTTAATCAGTTTTTTTGTTTTGTTTTGAGATGGAGTCTCGCTCTGTCACCCAGGCTGGAGTGCAGCAGCGTGATCTCAACTCACTGCAACCTCTGCTTCCTGGGTTCAAGCAATTCTGCCTCAGCTTCCTGAGTAGCTGGGATTATAGGTGCCTGCCACCATGCACAGCTAATTTTTGTATTTTTAGTAGAGACAAGGTTTTGCCCTGTTAGCCAGGCTGGGCTGTTCTCGAACTCCTGACCTCAAGTGATCCTCCCACCTTGGCCTCTCAAAGTGTTGGGATTACTGTGCCCCGTCTTAATCAGTTATTTTTGAGGGTTATGGGTAAACATACACAAAGGTGACCTTAATACCAAATGTGATAGAGTGATCTGCATCTTACTTATTTAAAACTATATATTCTGAGAGAATTTGGTCAGAGAATTCGATAGGATTATCCAGGAATGATTAAATCAAATTGACATGGTCTTTACTTGCAGACAGATAAGCTGTTTGTATACATATGTCTATGTGATACTAACTTTGAACATCAAGACTATATATTTGCGTGCATATGTGTATATATCTTTTCTTTTCTTTTTTTTTTGAGGTGGAGTCTCACTCTGTTGCCCAGACTGGAGTGCAATGGCGTGGTCTGGGCTCACTGCAACCTCTGCCTCCCGGGTTCAAGTGATTCTCCTGCCTCAGCCTCCCAAGTAGCTGGGACTACAGGCACAAGCCACCATGCCCGGCTAATTTTTTGTATTTTTAGTAGAGACGGGGTTTCACCGTGTTAACCAGGATGGTCTCGATCTCCTGATCTCGTGATCCACCCGCCTCGGCCTCCCAAAGTGCTGGGATTACAAGCATGAGCCACCGTGTCCGGCTAAATTATCTTTTCAAATGTATAAAGCGCTTAACTGCATGCTGCCATATTGTTCCATACTGTTCTAACACATTTTTTATGTTCCTTGGAATGATTAAATATATTTAAAGTGTTAATATCTACCAAAATATTTTGGTAGATTTTACTCTTCATTTTTAGAGAGTGTAAGGTGATTTGTAATCATACATTGATAAAACAGAGTTAAATACATTAAATATCCTAATTTCGGAGCCAGTATTTAATTTTCAAAATTATGTATTCACTTGTCATTAAGGAACCATAAAATGCTATGGAAAGAAAATTAAATATTTACAGTAAACTTTTCATGGTTTATTTATTTATTTATTTATTTATTGTTTTTTTTTGAGACAGAGTCTTGCTCTGTCATCCAGGCTGGAGTGCAGTGATGCAATCTCGGCTCACTGCAACCTCCGCCTCCCAGGTTCAAGCAATTCTCCTGCCTCAGCCTCCCGAGTAGCTGGGATTACAGCTACTGTAATTACAGCTACTGCATGCCACCATGCCCAGCTAATTTTTTTTTTTTTTTTTTTTTTAAGTAGAGATGGGGTTTCATTATGTTGGCCAGGCTGGTCTTGAACTCCTGACCTTGTGATCCGCCCGCCTCGGACTTCCAAAGTGCTGCTTTTCATGGTTTTATACAAATCAGAACTGTATCTGAAACTACATATATTCCAAAAATCCACATCACAGAGTAATTTGTTTATAAGAATGAACTAAATTAAAGTCAATTCTGTTTTTTCAGTTTATACATGTAGTTGATATTCAGTAAATGCCCAAGTTGATTTGAGCTGAATTTTGCTGTAAGTTTTCCAACTGCCTCTTGAATCAAAGCCTTATGTTAAAAATAACTTTAGTTTGAATAGTAGATCATCATTAGCTAATTCTTAAAATTGGCAATTCAATAATGACAGTGGAATTCATTGTCATATAACTTTAGTTGGAATATGAATATACCTCATTCCTTAACCATGCATGATAACAGAAAGGTTATCATACTTGGATGTCTGGATATTACATTCTCCAAAAAATGATAATTACAATTACAGGGACAGAGCATTGTGTATGTTTGTGATTCTCACAGTCCAAATAATGTAAGTTGTTTACCATGTTGCCCTTATTCTAGTTACCCACAGATATGTGTTTTTTTCTTATTTTACAAATGAATGTTTTATAAACAGTGAGTTTTCATAAGTAGATCAAACTTTATACTCAGATTGTAGTTTTCAGTATCCAGTGTAGTTTTTGGCTACTTCATACTAATTAGACCAGAAATACACATAGAGTATTCCAAATATGAAGCAGAAAAGAGCTGCTTCAGGTACGTGAAATACTGGTTCAAAATAAATAGATATATAGTCATGCTCTACACAATGATGTTTCAGTTAAAGACAGTTAAAGTCAGTGACCCTGTAAGAATATAATACTGTATTTTTGTATTTAAATATGTTTAGCTACACATTACCTACCATTGTGTTACAGTTGCCTACATTATTCAGTACAGTAACATGCTGTACATGTTTGCAGCCTACAAGCAATAAACTATACCATATAGTCTAAGTGTGTAGTAGGCTATACCATCTAGTTGGTGTAAGTACACTCTATGATGTTCACACAAGGACAAAGTTGTCTAATGATGCATTTCTCAGAACATATCCCCGTCGTCAAATAATGTGTCCTCGTCGTTAAGCGAAGCATGACTGTAATTGATTTTTTAGCTTGGGTCTCCAGTCTTCAATACTTTTAAAGATAATTTTGTTTTTAGGTGATATTAGGCTTTCAGTTAAAATGTATGCTATTTTTGACCATTTAGAAATAAATATATTCATACTTGATTGACTGAAATGGTTTCTCCAGCAGGTCTAGATCCTTTTTTTTTTTTTTTCTTTTTTCTGTTATTTTAATAGCAACATATAGTGCTTTTTCTCTTGGTTTTCATCACGCTTATAATGCTCTAATTTAGACATATGCTGTGGTAGGCACTGTACATTTTAATATGCAAGCCCTTTTTCTCTGCCACACTAAAAATCTCTTTCAGAGCAAAGAAAGTAAAGTAGAAAGTTTAACCTCTGTGTAAATGTGGGAGCTTATCAAGTCCATTTATTAGCATGCAAATTTAAGATTTTAGCCAGATTTTGGCTGAAAATCTTTCTCAACAAATGCATGTTTGTAACATCTTAATATTGACTTCTTTTCTCCCACTCCCCAAAAGTGGGATATCCCCAAGGCTTACTTATTCTTATCTCACCTCAAAGATAATTCAGTGTGTACAAAGTCAAAAATCAATCCTTGTCTTCTCTCTAAGCTTTCTGTTGTTTCCTGCACCCATGTGCCCAGACATGAAGTAGTCACTCGACATGTCACATATCACATTTTTGTACCTATTAAATCATCTTGTTAACTGCTTCCTCAAAATGACCTTTGTATTAATGATTCCTTTGGCTGCTCCACTAATCAGTTTTGTATAACCAGATACCTAGATGGATTGATTAAGTCCTTCAACAAATATTTATTGAGTGCCTGCCTAGTACCAAGCATTGTGCTAGTATGGGGGTATATAAGGGTGAATAATGTAGTCAGTGCTCTGAAGGGTCCAAAAGTCTAATGAAATAGTCAAATAACTAAAGAGACCATCCATGATAGTTTACCTAATGAATGCTATGTTAAAGATAAGCATAGGGGTCTGGAGATCACAAGGGGGGGCATCAGCCACTTAGTTGTCCCTCTTAACTAATATTATAAGCATTCCATTTCACATTCAGCTTATTTTCCTTAGTCACTGCTTCCTTCATGCCCCTTCTGTGATCAAAAATATGATTGCTCCTTAATCCATCTCCCTTTAGTTTGTCTCATCTCCCTATCACTTTTCTAACTTTATGTTCCATGCCACCCTAAAGCGAACTTGTTTTTCAGTTCAGGCTCCTTGTATTGCCCCAGGAACATGCCATTTTCATTTCCAATATGGTCTTGTATGAACGATTTCTCCTTTTGTCCTCCCATCTGCTTATCCAAGTCCTGACTATTGTCTAAGGTTTATCTTAGTTCTTAACCATTGCCTCAAAACCTTTTAAGCTTATTGAGCATCTACTTTTCTTTACCTTATAAACATTCAGTTTTTAATTTAGTACTGACTTACATTGATAGTGTTATTTTTGCCACTCCACGGATATTGTGAACTCCTCAGACCAGGCATCCCATTGTGTGATACTTTCGTATACTTCATAGAGGCTAGCACAATGCTGAGCTCAAAAACTAGTTGTTGAATTTCAGTAAAAGTAAGTAGAGCATTTTTCCCAACATTAAAAGTTAGTGGGCATGAGATGACATTCTTTTGGTCTACTGGGAAAAGGGTATCTGACTAAAAGTTAGAAACACTTTTATTTTGCATAAAAATGTAACATTAAAACACAGAAGGAAAAAGAAAATGAATTCACTGAATTCATTTGTCTTTTCCATTGGTTCGTTGTCAATGTCTGATGTCCTGGCCATAATGGAAAAAACAGTTGGCATAAAAGACATGGGTTGAGACTGGCTCTGTCATTTAATATTGGGTTCTGAAAAAAGGCCAATCCTGAGTTGTAGCTTTCTCTCTGTAAAATGGAGTTAATATTACTCTAGATTATGATGAAGATGAAATTAAGTAGTGGATATGGAATGCTTTGTAAATTTGAAAGTAATGTAGAAATCTTGGATAGTGTTGTTGTGTTCCCATCTTGGATGATAGCTGTGAGTTTGCATTTTACAAAAATAATGGATATCTAGAATCACTATAAATAATGATCTACTGACAGTAACTGCTTTGATATTTCCAGGTCAGATTGGCTTTCTTGCCTCTCAGGAGGAGATAGACTTTTACTCTAACAAAGTGATGACCTGGGGGTTTCAGGGCATGCTTCCTGAGGAAGTGACATTCAGACCTGAAGGATGAGTAAAGCTAGTCAGGGGAAAGTATGAGGGAGGGGATAAGGAGATGACGGAGAAAGAATAACTACACTCTGGGAACTGAAAGAAGCTTCATCTAGATGGCTGAATGTTGTCATCTGAAATTGATTGCTTAATCCTGTTAATCCTTTTGATTTTAATTCTTCATGGAAGTGATCTATTAACATTCCTTTATAGCAACAATTGAATAGAATTTATTAACATCTTTTTTTCCTTATCTAGCACAGGTATATTTACTTACTAAAGCCAAAGCGAGAATCTTTTTCTTTAGACATTGTTCCATTGTATTGTGTTCTCTTTAGTTGGCATTTCCTCTGTTGCCATCAGTTACCTCCTTCATGTCCTTTTTGTAAACTATTAAGAGAATTAGAAAATTGGTGTTGGACAGGTTTTTGTTTGCTCTTGTCTGTAAAAACATGGCATGGTTTGAGATGTTTGGAATGGGTTCATTTGGTAATGTTAGGGACCGCTCATTTCTGCTTAAGAAGAATGGAGAGGAAAAACTGGGGAAATATTAGGGTTGGGAGTTCTGGAATAGAAAGCATTCAGAATGGCACTTAGCCTACACAGACTCTAAGTAGGTAGGGGCTGGATAAATGAATGTTCTACATTAGTATAGGCAGAACACATTAAGAGAAAGGAAGACAATGAAAGTGAACAACAAGCTGGTAGGTTAAGGTCCATATGCTGATGATTAGGAACTAAAGCCTCTAAAGAAAACAGGCATCCATGAGGATGCGGGAGCTTAGAAATCTCTTACTAACTTTAACTTTGCTAATTGATCCTTTGATATCATATAGTTTTATATTCATGTATCAGAACTTGCTAACAACCTCAGTAAACTTCATTCAGTTCAGTCCCATAAACAACAACAAAAAAATTGCTACTTATTTCTTGTAAACCATATAGAAGATCTGAGGGATACTTTACAGAGGGATAGGTCAGGCCTGGAAAAAAAGCCCTACCCTCAGGCACTGAGCTAATGGAAGAAAGACCAGGCATTCTCAGTATTTGGCTTGACTTGTAAAAATGCCATTCAGAAACTTGTAGGGAAAATCTGCTTTTAGCACATCACTAGTTGTTGCAGTATTTTTCTGCAATAATCAAAAAAGGCAATTGAAGACAAGGGTTAATCGTTACCAGGTTCTTTAATGCCAGTAAATATGATTGGTGTTAGAAATGTATGCTGACTATAACATTTATTTGTTGATTTTTTTTTCTTTTTTTTTTTTTTGAGATGGAGTCTCGTTCTGTCACCCTGACTGGGGTGCAGTGGCGCGATCTCTGCTCACTGCAACCTCCACCTCCCCAGCTGAAGTGATCCTCCTACCTTAGCCCCCCAGGTAGCTGGGACCACAAGTGCGTGCCACCACACCTGGCTAATTTTTGTATTATTTGTAGAGATGGAGTTTCGCCATGTTGTTCAGTCTGATCTTGAACTCCTGAGTTCAAGCAATCTGCCTGCCTAGGCCTCCCAAAGAGCTGGGATTACAGGTGTGAGTCACCGTGCCCGGCCAGGGAAGTTTTTTTAAACATTTTATTAGTAGTACTGGGTTTATTTTGAGCTATTTATTTTTTCTCTACATTTCCTTTTGAACCAACCACAAATTTGTGAGCCAAGTGATCAGTGGTAGAGGTTCTCTTATTGTGGAATAGAGTTTTGCTCCTGGTGAAGTATAGAGCTCTGTATAGCTAGAATAAAAAATACTGTGAATATCTGAGAAATGTAAAAGATTCTTTGTTATTTTTTAAATCGCCTTAAGAGATAACTGGCTGCTTAAGCAAAAATAGTAACAATGTATTATGTTGTTTCTAAGCAATTTAAAAATATTGTATAACAGCAGCCCAAAAAATGAATGGGAAAGTGGAAATACATATGCAAGGCTCTTAAAATACATGTGCAATGGGCTAATATCACTTGAAGACTGACTGTGATAAATTAAAAGATGCATTGGAAAATAACAAAGGAGTACAGTTAGTAAGACAATAAAGCAGATAAAATGGAATTGTAAGAAATAATATATAAAGAAGTAAAAAAAAAAGTGAACAAAGTGTGATCATTGAAACAAGGAGTTAATGTTCTGTGGGCTGTTTTTTCTGTTGTTGTTGTTGTTCGTTTAACTCACTCCCTACTCTTAGAGCTGAGCGTGAGGGTGGCCTGTATTCCTTTGTATCCAAAGTATTGGTAGGTACCCTTTCTAGAAGAACTCAATTCTGTACTGGAAGTCTTTCGCCAGTACTCAGGATATCTCTCACTTTCTACAATACGCCGTTTTACAGCCCCCACATTCACTCTGCACCTATCTCTATCCCTTCATTAGTACTTTAGGTGAAAAAAGGTTAGTGCTTTTACTTTGTCAAATCTAAGATATTGCATAATGAAGTAGAATGATCTTTGATTTTTCTTCAGTGCTGTCTCAACATACTTTATTTTTTCTTCCCCTTAATTCAGAGACATGAAAAATGCTGTAATTGGAAACAACAAGCAGAAAGCCAATCTCATTGTTTTAGGAGCTGTTCCAAGGTATGTTTGCTGTCTCACCCCTTTCTTGCCATTCATACTAGTTTCTAATGTATTTCTTACTCTCAATTATAGAACCCATTTTTCCTGTATTGTCTGTCTAATTCTTAAAATAAATCCTATTTTTAAAAATAAATGTAAGTATTTAAACTATCTTTAAGGAAAAAAATTATAAAGTAACAGAGAATGTAGTAAGAAGTGAATGTGTTAATACATTTTGGAAACTCAGGAAGACCTTTGACCTGATGACAAAAGGGTTCGTAAAGTACATATGCAATGTACAACAGCCTGATACTTTCTTCTCCATTTCCTTAGAGCCTTGGCAGTTTTTTGTGTGAGTGGGTAATTTATTAGGAGCCTTAAGACCTTTTTGAATTTAAAGGAAAAAAACCCTGCTTGATTTTTAATCCAGTTTCATTTTTTAACTTCTGATTTTTACAACTTGCTGTTTTTTAAGTTAACGTAAGAAGTTTAGGAAGTTTAATTTCTTCTTTTGATGACCTAATAAGCTTCCTTTAGGCAGGCAATGACAGTTACATAACTTCCTCTTTACTTTTGCTCCTCAGAGCTAAGTTTTCTGTGCAATTGCTATTAGCTTTTCATTCAGAATTATTTATTATTTTGTTTTTTTCTCCTTATTTTCTGGTTTTGATACAGAATTAATGGTTTAAGTGTTTTAACTCACCAACCTCAAACATATACTTTAGTAACTATAAAGCTGTCAGCAGCCTTTCTTAGGGGATTTATGTTTGGTATATATAAATAGTGCTTTATGGAGCATGAGGGTCCTGTCTTAGAACATAAGGTAGATGGTTATAAGTGGAGGAAGGTTAGGGTTTGGGGAGTATTTGTTTGGCAAGCTGGGCTGGAGTGGAAATGAGAGGATCTCTTCCTTTTCCAAATGAGAGAGCTGGAGAAAGAAGAAACTACCTTTGCTTGAGGAGCTGCACAAGGGCTCTGAATATTCCCTATAGGCTCGATATCTACAAACTGCACCACTGCTCTGGATTCAGAGCAGTAGCATTTCTAGTTTGAGTTTAAGATCTGGCAGCACATGGCATTTGAGAGTCTTCATATTTTGGAGACCCAGCAGGAAGTGGTAGATGACATGGACTCTGATGACGCTGTTTCTACAGAGACTATCTGTGGACAACTTTCAGATTTACACTTTTTATAAACTCTAAGAATATGATAGTTCTTTTTTTCAAAACCTCTTCTAGATTTTTTTTCCAGATGTTTCTTTAATTAGCAGATGAGATAAACAAATGACCATTGGATTCATATAAACTCAGCCAACCATATTTTTAGTATGTGGACTGCACAGCCTTTTTTGGTCACATTGAGTCTTGTTTAAATTTTTTAGTCTCTTCGTTTATTAAGTTCCTTCTTTTTAGATTGTTGTACTTGCTTCAGCAAGAAACCTCAAGCACAGAGCTGAAAACTGAATGTGCAGTGGTGTTGGGAAGTCTTGCTATGGGTACTGAAAACAATGTCAAGTCTCTACTGGACTGCCATATTATCCCTGCCTTATTGCAAGGTATGTAGGGAAGCCATTTTTGCTCAATTAAGGTTAAGAATCAGTTTGCAGTGCTTTAAATACTGGTTGAAAGGATTAGTCCTAAATCTCATTTCTGTTAATAGGACTACTGTCCCCAGACCTGAAGTTTATTGAAGCTTGCCTCCGATGCCTGCGTACCATCTTCACCAGTCCTGTCACTCCAGAGGAGCTACTGTATACAGTGAGTTTTAGATGTATTTGAGACATTAGTTACATTTCACCAACAGCCTACTCCTAATTTGCTTAGCATCTTCAGACTCATCATAACTGTGTTATGTAAAAAAGTCTCAGTTGGTCATGGTGGCTCACACCAGTAATCCCAGTGCTTTGGGAGGCTGAGGTGGGAGGATTGCTTGAGGCCAGGAGTTCAAGATCAACCAGAGTGACATAACAAGACTCCATCTCTTTTTTTTTTTTTTTTTTTGAGGTGGAGTCTTGCTCTGTCACCCAGGCTAGAGTGCAGTGGCGCGATCTCGGCTCACTGCAACCTTCACCCTGCCAGGTTTAAGCATTTCTCTGCCTCAGCGTCTGGAGTAGCTTGGATTACAGGCGCGTGCCACCACACCCGGCTAATTTTTTGTATTTTTAGGAGAGATAGGGTTTCACCATCTTGGCCAGGCTGGTCTTGAACTCCTGACCTTGTGATCCACCCGCCTCGGCCTCCCAAAGTGCTGGGATTACAGGTGTGAGCCACTGCGCCCGACAACAAGACTCCATCTCTACAAGAAAAAAATAAAAATAAATTAGCCTGGTGCAATGGCTCATGCCTATAGTCCTAGCTCATGAGACTGCAGTGGAAGGATTGCTTGAGCCTAGGAGTTTGAGGTTATACTAAGCTATGATGGTGCCCCTGCACCTCAGCCTAGGTGACAGAATGAGATCCTCTCACTAAAAATAAAAAATGATAAAAGTCTCCGCTGGGTACAGTGGCTCACGCCTGTAATCCTAGCAGTTTGGGAGTTCAAGATGGATATATCACCTGAGGCCAGGAGTTCGAGACCAGCCTGGCCAACACGGTGAAACTCCCATTTCTATTAAAACTACAGAAATTAACCGGGCACGGTGGCACATACCTGCAACACCAGCTACTCGGGAGGCTGAGCCATGAAAATCACTTGAACCCAGGAGGAGACGTTGCAGTGATCTGAGATCACACCACCCTACTCCAGCCTGGGCGACAGGGCAGACTGTCTGCTTTTAGAGACTGTCTCTAAATAAGTACATAAATAAAGTCTCAAAAAGTATTTGAGTTCTTTCTTATTTCCAAATATCAGATGCTCTCAGCTTTGTAAGAAAGTGAAAGATAGTCTCAGACTTTGAGGAATTTACAAGCTATTTTTAAAAAGACCCATTTTTATCTCTCTATATGTAGAACTTAAGTTTATTTTACGCTAGATGAATGATAGGGAGTTCAGCTGACTTTCGGTTGAAATCCAGCAGAGTAGGCTTTGCAGAGAAGCTAGAATTTAATCTGGGTTTTGAATAATGGATAAGACTTAGAGAAGTGGAGAGGAAGGCATGAGGCACCGTGCTCAGCCCAAATTCATTTCTTCTGGCTTTTTTTTTTTTTTTTTTTGGAGACGGTGTCTCTCTCACCGAGGCTGGAGTGCAGTGGAGGAATCTCGGCCCTGCAACCTCCGCCTCCTGAGTTCAAGCAATTCTCCTGCCTCAGCCTCCCGAGCTACTCAGCTGGGCCTACAGGCATGTGCCACCACGCCCAGCTGATTTTTGTGGTTTTAGTAGAGACGGGGTTTCACCATGTTGGCCAGGATGGTCTGGATCTCCTGACCTCATGATCTGCCCGCCTCGGCCTCCCAAAGTGCTGGGATTACAGGCGTGTGAGCCACTGCGCCCGGCCTCTTCTAGCTATTTTTCAATATACAATAGATTATTGTAAATTACAGTCACTTTACATGGGGCTTTCTTACTGACAGTTAGGCCAATATTTTTAAACACTCTTATTCACAGTTCACAGCAAGAAGCATATTTTCCATTGCCTCACTATACATGTCAGTTTGTGTATGTGTGTGTATATATGTGTATGTATGTATGTGTATGTGAAAGAATCCTGAGACAAGTTTCATGACATTGTTCCACAGATGTAATGCCCTCTGGTTTCTATGCTATCATTTTTCATTCTTTAAAAAAATGGTGGTTGTAATTATCTGAGCTAACACAACGAATCATATTGTCAAATTGTACACACAGGAGTCAGAGATCTTATCCAGAATCAGGCTTTATAAATATTTCAAGACTGTAAGTAATCGAGGAATAGGCAAAGCAAGCATGGAGAGGAGACATGTCACATGGCTCCCTAGTCTGTCCTTCCTACATCAGACACATACTCCTCTGGCACTTAATGATACATAAGGTGGTCAGTAGGTGAGATTTATGGGTCACCTCACACAGTAGGGAGCACCTAAATTATGAAACATTTTATTTTCTTTTATTTATTTTTAAGATGGAGTCTTGCTCTGTTGCCCAGCCTGGAGTGCAGTGGCTTGATCTCGACTCACTGCAACCTCCACCTCCCAGGTTTAAGCAATTCTCCTGCCTTAGCCTCCCAAGTAGCTGGGATTACAGGTGTGCACCACCATGACCGGCTAATTTTTTTTGTATTTTTAGTAGAGACAAGGTTTCACCATATTGGCCAGGCTGGTCTCGAACTCCTGACCTCGTGATCCACCCGCCTCGGCCTCCCAAAGTGTTGGGATTACAGGCGTGAGCCACTGCGCCCAGCCTAACATCTTTATTTTATACCTCATGGTTTTGTGTGACATTCTTCAGGGAGTCATGCCTCATAAATCTATAGAGTGTTTACTGTAGTCGTTCTCAGACTTGAAGTTGCACTAGTATTACGTGGAGGGCTTGTTAAACAGGGTTTGCTAGACCCCACCTCCAGTTTATGATCCAGTGAGTCTTGGGTTTTGCATTTCTAACAAATTTGCAGGTAACTCAGATGCTGCTGGTCTCAAAGTACTTTCTTTGAGAACTGCTGGTTTACTATAAACATCCTGCTCAAAGGATCCCATAGAGGGCTTAGTTAATATCAGTTTATTTTCCTGTAGTTCATATTGTAATGTTTGCAAAGAGAGTAAGCCAGTCACCTGTCTTTTTTACCCTGGAAGTTTCTCACCTACCCTCAATCCCATAATAAGGGGAGAAGTTGATCCTGGCCAACTATTTAAACTCCTTCCACCTCACTCTCTAAACTGATTGATGACCTACTAATGGATCCTGGTGCACCATTTGGAAAATTCTGATCTATGCCAGCTGTTTTACATGAGAAAATTGAGACCCCTGGAGGTTAAATTTAGAGTATCTAAATTATGAAAGATTTCAATTTTGTGCCTCAGCTATTTTATGCCTCCGATATTTTATGTCTCAGAGACAGTGGAGAACTTGTGAAGAGTTGAATTGGGGAAGAACTAGTACAGTGTTTCAGTGTAATTAACTGACTTCCATGAGTTGGAGTGTGTAGAGGCCAGCTGTTTAAAAAGCTGTTTGAGCAACTCTGGCAGTAGAATAGAGATGGGGTAGGTAGTCCAGTAAAAAGACAGCAGGATTTCTAGTTTGAAATTGTGTTTATCAGATGGGTGATTTTGGGCAAATTTCATATTTAATAATTGTTATTTGCCTTAATCATCTGTAATCTGCAGATATATAGACACAATTGACAGAAAGGTGCAGATGGGAAGAAATGGGATGGGGGCTGTTGTAACTGAGGGAAAGTGAGGAATGTGAGAACATAGAGAAAAGGAAGGAGGTGGAAATAGCTTTAGGAGCCCAATAGAGGCTTTTTAATCTACCTATTTGCCTTTTCTATCTTAGCTGCTACCTGCTTCACTATCCTTTGCCAGTGAAACCCCATTTCCCCTTCCCCGACTTGACATTTTCCTTTTCTTTCTGTACACTTAGTATCTGACTTTCTTTGAAGTTTTCTAAGTTTTCCATTTTGTTTTTAAACTACTTGTGTAAACACAAAGGGTTATACTAACAAACGGGGAAGAGATTCTACTTGTAGGGAATCAGCAGCCTTCTGTTTTCCTACTTGGCTTTTACATATCTTGGGCATTCTTTTTTTTCCCAAGGAAAATCCCAAATCTTATTCCTCCCAACAAGGGTGTTCTTTTAAGTTTTTTTCTTTGTCCTCTGTTGTCTCTGGTGAGGATCCTCAAAGTATGGTCTGTGGACCAGTGGCATCAGCCTCATTTGGAAGCTGACTCAGGATCCTACCCCAAACCTACAGTATCAGAGTCTGTACATTAAGTACATCTCCTGGGAATTTGCATGCACATTCCTTCTTGAGAAGCATAACTTTTGTGATGTCATTGACTGGGAAGCTTGAGCTAAGTCTCCTTTTTTATCTGTGGTTCCAGCCAAATACCTTTCAACTTTTAACTCCTTCTGCTTTCTTTTGTTGTTTGTTTTTGTTTTTGTTTTTTGAGACAGAGTCTTGCTCTTGTCTGTCATCCAGGCTGGAGTGCAGTGGCGTAATCTCACTGCAACCTCCGCCTCTCCGATTCAAGTGATTCTTGTGTCTCAGCCTCCCAAGTAGCTGGGATTACAGGCATGCGCCATGATGGCTGGCTAATTTTTGTATTTTTGGTAGAGACGGGGTTTCGCCATGTTGGCCAGGCTGGTCCCAAACTCCTTACCTGAGGAGATCTGCCCGCCTTGGCCTCCCAAAGTGCTGGGATTACAGGCATGAGCCACCGCTCCTGGCCTGCATTCTAAATAAAAGGAAATTCTTGGAGAGACTTGCAGCAGAGTGGGTTGATTATTTTCTCTTTTTCTGTGCTTTTACATAGGTTCTTAAGTGTCAGCAATAGGCAGAGAGTGGGCTGTACCTGAGAAGCTGCCAGTCATATAAATTGTCTCGTCTTGTACAGATTGAAAATAGCTAACTACAGTCTTTATGAGAGATTGTTAGTATTTACTGGTGCTTAACATCTCGGAGATCAAAATTTTCAAATTTTATTTTTATACAATAATTCTTCCTTATAAACTATTTACTAGTGCATAACGTACTAGTTACCTCACATTTTGGTTTCAGAACTGATTTCTGTCACTTCTTATTGAAATGATTTTATCATGAGGATGTAGGCAATTTTTGAGAGAGTTATTGAGAATTTCCTGTTCTCATATTTTGCTACCAGGGATGAATATTGAAGCCTCTTTCTTTGTCATTGGCCTAGACAGTTTTCATGGCCTCGTTGCTTTTGTTTTGCACTGTGCCTTAAGGAGACTTGATTGACTGTCATTAAGATAAGAGATTTGACTACCTTCTTGTGGAAATATTTTATATTTTATCAAATGTACTCATGGTGCCTGAGTTTCTTGTTGCTGTGTTCTCCTTCCCTAGGATGCCACAGTGATACCACACCTCATGGCACTGCTTAGCAGGTCCCGCTATACCCAGGAGTACATCTGTCAGATCTTCTCACACTGCTGTAAAGTAAGAACCAGAATAAATGTTATCTATAATGTAAAATCTTATTATGCCTTTAAGAGATGTACCTTCTTTGTGTACCCTCCCAGGGGTAGTCATACATATATAAGTAGACCTGTGTGTGTGCGTGTATATATATATATATATATATATATATATATATATATATATATATATATGTATATGTATATGTATATGTATATATAAAATATATATATATTTAAAACACAAATGACAGCATACCATACATACTGTTCTGCACCTTAACATTTTTCACTTGACATATCTCTAAGGCTATTCCATATCAGTACATAAGGACCTCTCCCTCATTCTTTTTTTTTTTTTTTAACAGTGCATAGTATTTTAGTGTGTAGATTTATTTGTCCAGTCCTCTATTGTGGAGCATTTAGTTTGTTTCCAGTCTTATGCTATTACAAAACAGTGCTGCAAAAAATACCTTGTATATGAGGCATTTTATAAGAAATAAAATTTTGGGGTCAAAGAATATATGTATTTGTAATTTTACCACATTTTTAAATAAAGATTATACCACTTTATACTACCAGCAATGTGTGATCATGACTGTTTCCCCTCACCCTTGTTCCCTATTACTGGAAACTGGTTTAAGTGATCTCATATAAGGAGAAAGGAGAGAGATTCTTCTCATTGTTGAGTAAAGTTTCTCTTTCTTTTCTATGAAGTGCCATTTAGTTTGCTTTGTAGATTATATGTTGAATGTATCATTTTTGATAACCATGGGTGATTACTTGAGATCTTTCTTAATTTCTACACATTTTCTAACTTCTAACCAAATAATTATCTTCTGATGATATTGTATCATTTATAATACATCCTATCATTTATAATACAAGTCACAAGTAAGGAGCTTTGGGAACTATAGGAAAGAAGGGATAAGAGAACACCTGGAAGACACAGGTCTATGCTGTTTTAGAACAGCCTTCCAAATAAATGAAACCTAAATCACCCAGTTTTAGGAAGAGTTTCTACATTGTAATTTAGACATCTAAACCCCCTTCCAAACAAACCCTAGCTGATTATCACAATCTATTCAGTACTATTTAAGATTTTTGTGAAAAAGTTTTGAAGTTTCTCTTCTTGGATTACGTTGACAAAGTGTGGGCCAACTCATAGGAGCAGAGATATCAAACAATGCCTTATAATCTTTTGAGGTGGGGAAAGAAAGGCTTTAAGAAAATGACAGTTTTGTTGCAACTCACTTGCTTAAAATGAGCTGAATCCATCAAGGGCTAGAATTTCCCAACAACAAAATGACGTCTTATAGCCAGCCTGGCAAGTTGAGGAAGATGCTCCAGAACTGTATGCCTCATTAAAAATTTTTCAGGGGCTGGGTGCAGTGGCTCACACCTGTAATCTCAGCACTTTGAGAGGCCGAGGCAGGTGGTTCTCTTGAGCCCAGGAGTTTGAGACCAGTCTGGGCAACATGGCGAAACCCCATCTCTACAAAAAATACAAAAGAATTAGCCAGGCATGGTGGCGTGTGCCTGTAGTCCCAGCTACCCCAGAGACTGAGGTGGGAAGATCGATTGAGCACAGGTGGTTGAGGCTGCAGTGAACCAGTCATTGCACCACTGTACTTCAGCCTGAGTCACAGAACGAGACCCTGTCTCAAAAAAATAAATAAATAAAATTCTATTACTGAGTGTTGAACAGAGCACAGCATCTACTAGTCATAAGCACAGTAATCCCAAAAGGCTACTGAAAATTGGACCTGGAGGAATAACTACATGTTAAATTATTTTAAGCTATGAGAAGTTTGAATAATTCCATTCCTGAAGTTACCTAAATAGCTTTCAGGATTACTCATCAGAAACTCTTCAACATAGGGATTGCTCATCTGAAACTTCTCAATGCTGTTTTAGCTGAAATTATAGAGTACCATTAAATCACTATTTTTTTGCTGGAGAGAAACTTAAACTGAGGATAATAATTTAACAGCCAGCCTCATACCACTGACAGAATGGAAGATGTTATCAGAGAAAGTCACCTTTACTCACCTTTTAATTGGATAAGTTAGCATTTGCCACTACAATTAAATAACCACATTTAAATATTCTGAGACATAGCTAGGCTTCAAGAAACAGTATAGCATTTATAAATCCAGTGACGTTAGTAAAAGCCTAAAATACAATATTAACAACTTTACCGATATACTGACAACATGTATCTTTGAGAACAACTGATCCAATGGTCCATGTATTGTCATTAAATATAAAACCCTTTTATTTTCATGTTGTTCTTTTTTTGCATATAAGTAAAAAATAAGATTTATAATAGAATTTTAAGACTCATAGGGACTCACATTAAGCTAAGATTAAATGACAAAACTTAAAATTACTAATTTGCTTTGACTGGTATCAATATTAAATAAATTTACATACTTTGGGGGAGGGAAAAAGGGAGAGCTCACTAAAGCATTTGTGTTGCAATATAATCATAATTATATTTTTGAAATTTTCTGATTTATTGAGCAGAAAACACTCACTAGAAATAGTATTTGTTGAAATTCTAACTTCTAAACTGTTGCTATTTCTTAAGTATTTACTCAGATTTCTGAGCCTATTTTTTGGAGTTTAAGACCATGAGAGCTAGGCCAGGTGTGGTGGCTCATGCCCATAATCTCAGCACTTTGGGAGGCTGAGAGGATCCCTTGAGCGAGAGGATCCCAAGCGAGAGGATCCCTTGAGCTCAGAAGTTCAAGACCAGCCTGGGCAACGTAGTGAGACCCCCCATCTCTGGGGGGGGAAAAAAAAAAGACCATGAGGACTTAGGTGCTTCCCACCCAGTGGATGCTGCCTCACTAACCACCAGGTTCCTGCAGGTTGATTTGGAGAAAGCTGAATGAGAGACCGATAAGTCTCAAATGACAGATCCTCCTCACTAGTTGGTTCAGCCACTAATTCTTTCCTTGCAATTGCTTTTTTTTTTTTTTTTTTTTTTTTTTTGAGATGGAGTCTCGCTCTGTCTTCCAGGCTAGAGTGTAGTGGCGCAATCTCGGCTCCCTGCAACCTCCATCTCCTGGGTCCAAACGATTCTCCTGCCACAGCCTCCCGAGTAGCTGGGATTACAGGTGTGCACCACAATACCTGGCTAATTTTCATATTTTTTTTTAAGTAGAGATGGGGTTTCACCATGTTGGCCAGGCTGGTCTCGAACTCCTGACCTCAAGCCATCTGCCTGCCCCGGCTTCCCAAAGTGCTGGGATTACAGACATGAGCCACTGCGTCTAGCCCCTTACAACTGCTTTTACACAATTTTGTGTACAACCTCAGAGAGGAGGAAGAACTTCTTTTGTAACAAGTATTTGCTGCCATCTTTGAGGCAAAGAATTTGACGGAAAAAAGTAAGGTATCTTGTCAGCACCAGGGAACAATTATATATAGAGAGAATTGCAGTGTGCTTGATCTTTTCCCCATCCATTGTAAATATAACTTAGAAAGAATATGCCATAAATTATTCAGATCTTAGAAAAAAAGTTACAAGCACATGGGTATACACTGAAATGATGTTAGTAAAAGACGGAAAACAATCTAAGTGTCTAACTATAGGGTACTAGTTAAAGTTTAGAACATTCATATAATAGAGTAAGGCCAACAGATAAATGAGAAAACTCTTTTTGTGCTGATATGGATGATCTCTGAGATAAATTGTGAAGGAAGAAAAGGTTTAGAGCAGTGTATATAGTATTCTACCATTTGTATTAAAATGGGGGAAGAATATATTTACGTATCTGCTGTATAAAATGTCTTGAAACATATAATCTATTAGGTCACCTTAAGGCAGGAGAACAGATTGGCTGCAGATAGAGGTGGAAAAACAATGAGGTGCAAGAGGCTGAGGCAGCACCCTGCCTACTTCGCTTTTGCTAAGCTCTGCCAGTGTCTAAACTGGGTTGTCAAAATTGATAAGGAACTTAAAAAGCCTTAGTGTGATGACATAAGCTGAGGCTAATTTTGGCTTATCTTCATGATTTAGTAACTAGGTAAGAAAAAAAGGGTCGAATCCTTACGAGACCCCTGTTTTCTTTGGCTCCCCTACTTCAGTCTTCACCACTGTGTTTATAAGCCAAGGACTCCTTTGTTTCAAATGAGACAAATGCATGTGAAGTGTTTAGAGCAGTGCCTGGCACTGGTATCCAGTATCCAGTAAGTAGTACCTATGCTTATAACTGCAGATGATGCATGGATGAGGTGGGAGGAAAGGGAGCACACTTAAAACCAATGCCCTGAGAATGTCAGTATTTTCAGTTATGACAAAAACAGGTTTGCACCATTCTGGATGGATATGTAACAATAACTATATCACACCATTTTACTCTGGGAATTTATCCTCATAACCTCAGGATCTGTACTGAGATGCAGCTTCAAATAATGTTCAACAAAACACTGCTTATAGCAGTAAAACATTAGAAACTACCTAAAATATACAATGGGGGTTTGTATGAGCAAACTATGGAGTACTGTATTGTGATTAAAAATAAGAAACTCAAAGTTAGAAAATATATGGAAAAAGAGAGAAATTGCTGAGTTTTTTACAGATTCTTTTAATAATACATAAAATATTTGGGGATTGTTACCTATAAAGTAGAATATGATGGTCGTGCTATTCAGAAGTACGAATGCTAATTTCCCCACTTCAAATGATGGGTGTTTTGGCTCAAGAAAGAACGAGCATCTTCATGACAGTTGTTACTTGCTTAAATAATGGGTTGGAGAAATTGGTTTGAGAGCACTTGCTGGACCAATAACTGGTTTCTTTTGGGGAGCCCAGACCGATAGCCAACCTTTGTGATATTTTTCTCTTCTGAGTGATGATAAGCATGAAATATCATCCCTGTGTTGGCTTTAGCTGATTTTTCATTAATTGATTGGATAAGGTTGGACATAAAATGAATGAATAAGAATTATGGCAAATTTGAAGCTTTGCATTAATTTTAGCTTCTGTCACTTTGAAGCTCTTTAGTACATTGATTAGTAGAAAACAGAATTGATGAAAAAAAACCCTTCATTTTCCTATCTCTTTACCTTCCTACTCTTTTAAGAACCAATACTTTTTTGTTTTTGTTTTTGTTTTTTTTTTTGAGACGGAGTCTCGCTCTGTTGCCCAGGCTACAGTGCAGTGGTACGATCTTGGCTCACTGCAGCCTCCGCCTCCGCCTCCCGGGTTCAAGCAATTCTCCTGCCTCAGCCTCCGGAGTAGCTGGGGCTACAGGCATGCGCCACCAAACCTAGCTAATTTTTGTATTTTTAGTAGAGACGGGATTTCACCATGTTGACCAGGATGGTCTTGATCTCCCAACCTCCTGATTCACCCCCGGCAGCCTCCCAGAGTGCTGGGATTACAGGTGTGAGCCACTGCGCCTGGCTGAACCAATACTTTTAAAAAGAAAAATGAGATAGAAATATGGAAACCAAAACACGTTGTTGTTCATTTCCCAGTTATGGAGTGTTGTGTTTCCCACTATAGCATTATTCAGACCTCCCTGATGTGTTAAGGTAGGTTAGTTTGTGGTCCAGTTCCTTTTACAATTCATTTTTAGAGTTCCCCTGACTAGCTCATCAGTTCTAAGTTGTAACAATGACTCTGCCACTGTTTCCTGTGGGCATAGGGCAATAATGTGCACATGAAATGCAGAATTCATCGTGGCTCTATTGCTGTGGTGGCATTCTATTTAATAATTGCAGAGGACTTGGGCGTTCTATTTAATAATTGCAGAGGACTTGTGCCAACATAGCTTCTGGGCCCACTTCTATATTTCTAGGAGGTAAAGAGGCAGCATTTCTAGAACTGGAATGAGTTAAGATATGGTAGCCCTTTGCAGGACTAAACACAGTGTTTGTGCTGCTTTTTGAGGTTTGAGTTTATTTAAGCAAAGAGTAACAGGATTCTGTACTGTAGTGAATGTGGTTTTCTACATTTAAGTAAATGTGGTTTTATTGGAATGAGTCATTACTCTTCTAAATATATTGTTGTATTCTTTTTTCTTACAGGGGCCAGATCATCAAACAATTTTATTTAACCACGGTGCAGTTCAGAATATTGCTCACCTACTAACCTCACTGTCCTACAAAGTAAGATGTTAAAAATTGTGGCCAGATTTGTATACCTTGTTTGTGATTTCTAGAAACAGACCCACATATTTTTATTGTTTCTTTGATAATTGTGATCAAAAGTAGTATTTTATCAGTAAAATGTTATAGGGCATCATTTTAGCTATAGAATGCTCTTTAAAAAAAAAAAAAAAGCTGCCCTTGCATCTCTTTTTTAGGATACAGTTGTACCATGAGTTCTTATTGATTTGCACCCATTAAATTTAAAATCTTTTTTGGATAGCTACCAGTGCCATGATGCCTTGAAGTATAGAAGCAGTGGCTTTCTATATCAAGAAGGAACAGAATTTCATATTTGAGACCTTTATTTAACCACAGTGTCTCAGACTTAGCATATTCCTGCATATACATCAGCATTTAAAATGTGTTATGTTTTGTATTTTTAGTTAAAAAGTAAAGAGTTTCCAGACTTAACTAATTACGTTTTCTTTTATATATGAAAGCAAGCAGTGTCATATTACCAGGTGTTGAGTTAAAACCTTCGCCATTCATTGTTGTCCATCTACAAGTTGTAGCAAATATTGGCATGTAGTCTTTAATTGTGTAACATTAGAGTTGGGTATTGCAGGAGTTACTTGCAGAACAGGGAAGCAGTCATTTTTGTCTTCTGTCCTCTTGCAGTGACTCCATTCTGTCCTTTTAGTCTTTTTTTTTTTTTTTTTTTTTTTTTGAGACAGAGTCTCGCTTTGTTGCCCAGGCTGGAGTGCGGTTGCACGATCTTGGCTCACTGCAAGCTCCGCCTCCCACGTTCACGCCATTCTCGTGCCTCAGCCTCCCGAGTAGCTGGGACTACAGGCACCTGCCACCACCCCTGGCTGATTTTTTCTATATTTTAGTAGAGACAGGGTTTCACCATGTTAGCCAGGATGGTCTTGATCTCCTGACCTTGTGATCCGCCTGCCTTGGCCTCCCAAAGTGCTGGGATTACAGGCGTGAGCCACCGTGTCCGGCCTGTCCTTTTAGTCTTTAAATTTA
Source organism: Homo sapiens (assembly GCF_000001405.40). Taxonomy (NCBI): domain Eukaryota; kingdom Metazoa; phylum Chordata; class Mammalia; order Primates; family Hominidae; genus Homo; species Homo sapiens. Next base: position 138,236,129 of record NC_000003.12, read on the forward strand.
TTTCAGGTAGGGCCTACTAATGTGTATGTTTTCCCTACCTCAGCTATCTAGTTTAGTCTTGGTAAAGAGCTCATAAGGATAGGAATGGAGAGTGGAACTAACTTCAAACTAGCCAGAGGCAGGGGAAATAAATATATACTGAAAGGTACCTCCTCTTTCCTGTGCCATGCAAAGGCTAAACCAGTCAGCACTTGCACATCAAGAAACAATTGTTTGGGTGGCTGTTTATTGTTCCTTTACTTCATCTCCTCTAGCTTCATTAATTCCCCCAGCTCTTCCTCCATTTCTCCTATCTTTTCTGCACTAGACTTCCTTATTTACTATAATGATTTGAAAAACCTACAGGTTGTGGAAAGGGGACTAGTCTGGTAACATTACTCTTCTGCCAGGGTTTGCTGTATTACCAAAGTGCCATTAATGTATTCTAGGTTCCTCCTGTGGGCACATGCTAGTGCTGCAGAGCATTGCCCAAGTGAGGGGCAGGGCTTCTTCATACCCCAGCTACCTATCCTGTGAGTGCTTGTCAACCTCAGGTTCCACATTAAAACATCATGTGTAGACTCAGACTTAGAAGTGAGGATTAGATTGGATTAGAATGGAAAGAATTAAAAAAAAAAAAAACATCTCTTAGGAGCTTCTGGAAATTGTAAAGCATATTATATATGGTTAAGGATTGGGCCCTTGGTATTATCCCAAACCAGTAACCTAGTTTTGAGGAATAGTAGCACAATTCATGGGTGTTTTAAAAGTTAGCGCTTCTTAAATTTTATTGTAATATTGTTTCCTCTCCTTCTGTTCCCTGTCTCCAATCCATACATAAAAGTATTCTATTTTTTTATTCGCTTTGAAAGCCACTTGGTAATTAATTGTTACTAAGTTCTCTTTGTCTTACCAACTGTATTTTGTATAGTGTTCTTTTAATTTTGATTAGGGATTTATCTAGTTAAATTTAAATTGCTACTTCCTGATTTTTTTCCTATTCAAAATTAGTTCTAACTTTTATAGTTAATTTTAACTTACTGTACTCTGCAGCTGTACAGGTGTTATTGTTATTTCTTTGAGGCCTGTTAGTATTTTAAGCAGATTTACATAATTTTTTAGAAGAGTTTAGATTCTGAGACATTAAAATTTGCATTTGCAGAATTAAACACATTTTTTGTTTGTTCATTTATTTTTACAGGTTCGAATGCAAGCACTGAAATGTTTCTCAGTTTTAGCTTTTGAAAACCCCCAGGTATCGATGACCCTGGTAAATGGTAGGCTGGAGCTTTCAGTGGCACCTACATGATTTAATTGATGAACTTTTTAGATTTAAAGAATTTCCTTAATCATTGTTGTTTGTTTTATTTCTAGTTTTGGTTGATGGAGAATTGTTACCACAGATTTTTGTGAAGATGTTACAGAGGGATAAGCCTATTGAGATGCAGCTCACATCAGCAAAATGGTAAAAGTCAGGACAATGTGGGAAGAAAGACAGTGCTTTATCAATATCTTAGAGTATTTTTGGACAACCAAATTTGCTTGCTTCCAATCCCCATTTTATTTTGAGATTTTGAAATTTGAAAGTCAGGAGTCCATCCCACATTTTCTTAAATGGATGTGAGTTTTTTATACTCAGCTTATTACTAGTAATATGCAGAACAGGAACTCTCGTATAACATCTGAGACTGTCTTCAGAAAATTACTTTATTACATCCTCAAACTACTGTCCTTCTACTTCAGTTGAAATAATACTGAATTAGATTAGATTTAACCAACATATACTATGCTAAGTATTAGCCAGGGAAATACAAAGATATAGAAATATGGAATGAGAATTAGTTGAAGTTGATAACCAAGGGATGATTTCAGAGAACGTGGCTTCCTCATCTTTTAAGGAAAAAAAAAAAACACAAAATCTTCAAAAGTTGTGATGGTTTAGAAGATACTTATGCAAAGGTTTTTTTTTTTTTTTTCTAGACGGAGTCTCACTCTGTCACCCAGGCTGGAGTGCAGTGGCAACTATCTCGGCTCACTGCAACCTCCGCCTCCCAGGTTCAAGCAATTCTCCTGCCTCAGCCTCCTGAGTAACTGGCATTACAGGCACATGCCACCACGCCTGGCTAATTTTTGTATTTTTAGTAGAGACGGGTTTCACCATGTTGGTCAGGCTGGTCTCAAACTCCTGACCTCGTGATCCACCTGCCTCGGCCTCCCAAAGTGCTGGGATTACAGGCATGAGCTACTGTGCCCAGCTGCAGAGTTTTTATTAGCACAATTTCTGGCTCATGTAAGCATTCAGTGCATGTTCTGTAATTATCAATACATGAATGGGTGTGTTGAGCACTTGTGTAGGGTTCTGTGCTAAGTTTAATCTTAGTATTTAAGCTGTGGTTCTAACATTTTGGTGAGAATTTGGCATTTTCAATGAATTACTCATGTATCGTGAATTGTTTGGTTTTTATTTGTTTGTATCATTTTTTGCTTTTTGTCTTTAAAACTGAGCATTTGCCTCTGTCAGTAAGGTAATGTTCTAAAGTAAATGGTTTCAGAAAAACAATATGGTAACAAGCCTCAAGATAATAACAACTACAAATATTTCAGCCGTCTACAATATAAGTAAAATGATTTTACCTGTTTATAACTTTCGGTAGAAGCCAACGTGAGATGTTTTAATTTTTTTCCCCCATCTTGCTAAAGGAATGTAATCAAAAAGGAAATTCATTAATTTAAATTTCTGAAGCGCTTAATGTTCAGCGCCTGCCTGGGGAATAAAAATTAATTATATTCTTATTCAAAGGCAGCTTATAATTGTTTTTCAGTAGAACCAAATTATTGACTCGTTCCCAAAGCCCCTGCTGTTAACCTCTGAATAGTTCATTTCTGATGGATAGCTGTGTTACAAGTTAAATGCCTCTTCTGTGATACTTCTACTGCATTTGGAGTTAGAATATTCCAACTTCATTTAAACTGAGATAATGTGTTCATCTTATGTTTCATTTTGAACATTTTTCCCTTTTTATTATGGAAAATTCTGAAGTATAAAGAATACAACATGTGCCCAGCACCTAGCCTCAAAATGTGTCCATCATTAGGTTATTTATTTTTAAAACTATTTGGTAGGTTTTTGTTTCATTTTGTTTTTTTAAATATCTGGCTTACCATCTGTATTTGTCAGTTAGTTTTCTTTGACTATTAAATTGACTGAACCTCCGAAAAGCGAATTGTCAAAATCTTCACTCTCAAGATAAGTGATATTATTTGGTTTTCGATTTTTTAATAAAATCTTAAAGGCAAATAATTTTTCATTTAAAGCTTTAAACTCCAAGCAAAAACTTATTTTCTGCTGTCTTATTCCAGTTTAACTTACATGTGTAGAGCTGGAGCAATTCGGACAGATGATAACTGTATTGTATTAAAGGTAAGCTAATTAATTATCTTTAAAATGTGAAAATTATCCAGTTATGTGTTAAATATCAGTATTGATACTCATATTTCATTTTACACATTTATCATTATGATATATGTGCATGGCGTAGAATAATATTGAAAGACCATGCTTTCTTTTCAGTGGATGTCATATAGTTTTTAAAAATTGATTTTAGATGTGTTTCGAAAGTCAGCGTGAAATAATTATTTCATTGTCACAGCCTTTCATTTTATGGTAATTAGGAGGATGTGGAAATTGTAAAAGTGTACAATTCAGGTGAAACAGAAAATATATTTCGTTCTTGATTGTCATTAAATTTGTACTACAGTTTTAGAGGCAGACGATTTGCCACTTTTGCAGAAAAAGACTTTATATCATTCTCATAGCTGATAATCAAAAGGCATAATGAAAGAGAATAAGTAGATAACACATGAAAACAAGCATTGTCATTGTGATATGTCATATACAACTTGAATTTAGAAAAACCTGGAGAAAAGACCAGCCCTAAAAGTCCTAAAACCTGGATTCTGGTTTTAGCACTCCCACCTCTGACTGTACATCCTTTATTCTTTTGATGCCTCGGACTCCAGATTATGAAAATTGAAGCAATAATTCCTGCTCATCTATGCACAGGGTTATTGTGAGGATAACAATATATTAAATACATTAAAATGTCTTATTAGCTATAAAAAATTAAGTATAAGTAAATTGATGATGTGTCATTTTATAAATATGAGATCTCACATTATCATTGTTCAAAAGGTGATCCCAAGGATAAAAGAGCACAAAGAAGACTAATATTTGCTTTAGTCTTTGGGGAAGAGAATTAATTTAATGAGATCTGAACACTCCCTAAGTAAACAACTCTTCATAGAGTGCCACGGACTTCCATAGCATTTATCTTGATTTATTTACTTCTCTAACCTTCCTCTTTTTCTGCATTGGTAAAATGTTAGTAGTATATTCTTCACATAGTAGTCATGAGCATTAGATTACATAATTCATGAATTTATGGTATCAATAAATATTAGTAACTAGTAATGTTAGGGAAAAAAGAATAGGGCCTTCCCCTTGGAAACCTAGGGTTGAATTATAAAGCTTCTACTAGCCTAATAGGAAATTAGTAGTGAACGATGAAGTGCTAAGCTCTGTGGTAAAAGATATAATAGGAACTTATTATATATAAAAGAGCAAAGCACAGTTGCCTGCAGTATTTGAGGAAGACTTTCTATAATGATAACATTTCAATTTATACTTCCACATTGTCCTTTCAAGTGGATCCGTCAGGCTTAGAAATAGTAAATGTCGTTCGAGACCAGCCTGGCCAACCTGGTGAATCCCCATCTCTACTAAAAATAAAAAATTAGCCAGGAGTGGTGGTGGGTGCCTGTAATTCCAGCTACTCAGAAGGCTGAGGCAGGAGAATTGCTTGAATCCAGGAGGCAGAGGTTGCAGTGAGCCGAGATCGTGCCATTGCACTCCAGCCTGGGCGACAGAGCGAGACTCCGTCTCAAAAAAAAAGAAAAAGAAATAGTAAATGTCTGTAATATTTTTATTGAGAACCTAATGTAGATAAGTTACCAAACCATTGCCAAGATTTTTGAGGGACCTCAGAAGTAAAATTGGACTCATGGATACCACTGCTAATTCCAGCAAGTTACTGGGAAAACCTAGCAACTGTGATACATTTCAGTTGCATTATAGTAGAACTGGTGGAATCTGAGTAATGGTAAGATCACTGCAGTTTTAAAGCTGTATTTTGTTTTGGCAACTGTAGGTATGACTCCCCAAACCAAAAAATAAACGATATTACTCACTAAGGAAGAGATAGCATACTTTTCCTAAGGCAAAATCATTCCTGATTAAACTGCTGGGTCTTTTTTAGGTAAATAAATAGATAGATAGGGCAGAACCATCAGACATGATTTGTTAGGGATTCTTAAATGTCTTTTACAAAGTTGTACAATAAAACTTGTCTTATCGGTCCCAAAAGCCTAATTAGAATTTGTATTAATATACTTTGACGTACGAATAGAGTTTAATGTGCCAGTACAAATTATTAATGTGTACTGAATTTTGCTTGTTTTTGCATTTTAAAAAAATCTTTTATTCTCTAGAAGTCAGTAAAGGAAATATATGATCATAAACATTACTCCTGATAAAAGCTATTGAGTTGATTCAGTCACTATATGCTTAAGCTTTTACCTTTACCAAAAAGCAAATAATTAATCTCACTACCTTTCAGACATTACCTTGTTTGGTTCGAATGTGCAGTAAGGAGAGATTACTAGAGGAGAGAGTTGAAGGAGCTGAGACACTTGCCTATCTGATTGAACCAGATGTTGAGCTACAGAGAATCGCTAGCATAACTGATCACCTCATTGCCATGCTTGCTGATTATTTCAAGTATCCCAGCTCAGTGAGTGCCATCACTGATATTAAAAGGGTATGTTATTTTCCTTTTTTAGCAGCTCAAGGGAGATTTTTCTAAAGTTTTTCTTACTGTTCACAGTTTTGAACCAATTGATAACTACAGCTTAAAGCCCTTTTAAATAAAGGTTCTTTTATCTTTGGTAACATAGATAATATTGCTTTGTGAATTTTTGAATCCAAGTTGTTTAATGTTTATTGTCAGAAAGTTTTTACTGAGCAGATAAGCAATAAAGAAAATTGCATCCTAACTCCCCAACTAAACCTCAAAAGTAGTGGATTCTCCAAGCTGGGTATTGACATAACCGTATAATCTTATTCTTGGTCATGGAATCATCTCTGTTGTTACATTCTCATTCTTTAGGTCAGGAGTAATCTTTTTGTTACAGGAGACTAAGTTGTCCCATGTTACTTTCCACCACAGTCTATTTTGTTACCTTTCCCTATCTTCTCTTTTTCCCAGTTTCATACTGTGCTTTGGGCCTGCTAGTGACAGCTAAAGCATCATTTAATCTTGAATTTGGGACCAAAAAGGCCAAATTGTGCTTTTTCTGAAAACCTAAGTTCCTTAGAATAGATCGGTATTTATTTTGACTTGTTGCATCTCAGCCTGTTTGCCCTATCCATTTCTTTAAGCATAGGAGATGAACATTCTGTAAGAGAAAGTTTATTCAAGGAGGTCATGGTAGAGAGAACATTGCCTCTTAATTAGTAGCCAGTACTGTTTCATGAATGTAACTGTATTTTTCATGCCAGTGGTTCCAATGGTAACTATTCTCCTTTTGACCTCTCCCTCATGCTTTTGAGTTTCAAAAAACCTCATTTGGTAGGCAGTTGTTCATTTGGCTTTTAACTTTGAAAATAAAGCAAACTATTAAGGGTATATCTTTACTCTGTCTTAAGAAGGGCCTAAAATAACCTTCACTGGTATTTGTATTAGTAATGTACTCTACTCTCTGGGTATTAAACTTATGTGTCTGCTCTTCTTTCAGTAGTGGTGTTTTTCCAGTAGAAGTGATGGGTTACATACATTTAACCAGTTGCCTTGTCTGTTTTCCTTCTGGTCATTTTTTCACACTGACACTGTATCTTACCAATACAAAGATACATGAGCAACCCTTAGCTACTGCCTCATGAACGCCCTGAGTTGACCACCCCAGGAAGGCAAATAAAATGTTTTGATGGCCATGAGAGTAAGGAAACAATTTTAAGAACATGTAGCCTATGCATATGCAAATCATTTAACTAGTACGTAGATTATCCCTTCTGTTAGTTTTTCCATTTCATTTCCATCAGAGTAAAACTGTAACAACAATAATCCTTAAAAATGACATCGTAATACCAAACTTGAGTAATAGTTTGTTTTGTCATCTTTATTTTTGATGATGGATTATCCAAAGGTTTCTGACCCGAAAAGTATAGACACTAGACCCGTAAAGAGAAATCTTCACATGTTAATAAATTTGTGATTTTCATGATATGTTAGTTCAAGTCAGTATTATATCTTAATTTATGACTAGAATGTAGTTAAGACTTTAAGAGTAGATACTTTTAGAACTTATCAAAGTGAGTATTCTGTATTGGGAAGTTCTTCCTATAATCCATCAGTGTCTGCTTTGAACAGAAGTTTTGGAACTATTAAGAATTGCCTTCAGAGCCACCCCAAATTATATATATATGTAAAATATATATATTGTCTTTTGCTTTCTGTGGAATTTTTTGTTACCTACGTTATATTACCCAACTGAATTTCTCCATCTTCACACACAGTCAGTGACAACTAAAAGTCTCATCATTGATCAAGCTATACCACTGTCAGTGTTTTCTAGCTAATAATACCAGTTAGCTCTTTAGGAAGTTTCAAAAGAGGGTCTCAGAATGTTATGAACAACACCTACATCATTGGATGAGTGAACCTTTCCAAAGTAACTTCTTTGGGAAAAGTGGTATTCATTTGGATGATTACATTAAGGCTTTTAGTTACGAGGTTATTTATATTATTGGTAGACTTTGTATAGTTACTTGGTCATAGTCAGTCATTGAAAGTATCCTGAAAATATGCTTCTGTTTTATCTTTACAGTAGTTTGGTGATCAAGTTTATAGAAGAGTTGATAATTAGTTATGCATGTTTAAAGATACCATTAATTGCTTCATGCTGATAATTTTGATAATGTTCTTGAAAAAACCCATACCCAACATAAATCTCAGATAACTGTAATAGATAATAATGGTTACCATAGTATACGGTTTGTTAAGCATTTTCACAATGGGTTCTCTGTTTCTAAAAGCTTTTTATTTTATTTATTTTTATTTATTTATTTATTTTTGAGATGTAGTCTCGCTCTGTTGCCCAGGCTAGAGTGCAGTGGCGCGATCTCGGCTCACTACAACCTCTGCCTCCTGGGTTCACACCATTCTCCCGCCTCAGCCTCCCAAGTAGCTGGGACTACAGGCGCCTGCCACCACGCCCAGCTCATTTTTTTGTATTTTTAGTAGAGACAGGGTTTTATCGTGTTAGCCAGGATGGTCTAGATCTCCTGACCTCATGATCCATCTGCCTCGGCCTCCCAAAGTGCTGGGATTACAGGCGTGAGCCACCGCGCCCGGCCTCTAAAAGCTTTTTAAATGCCAAAATTAGGCCAGCACTACTCTTAATGTTTCAGAAAATTAAGGGAACCCTCCTAAAGACATTGTTGCGATTTCATTCAGGTTATCAGCTGTAGTCTGGGGCTAGAGAAGTCCAGGTGTGCCTTCTTTTGAAGGAGAACATTTCAAAGAGCTGCTGCAAGCAAGCATTAGTGCCAGTAAAGCTACCATTTAGGAACACTGAATTTTTCGGAGTCAGAGATTCACAATGGTTTTTCATATATCAGTGTCAAATATAGTGTTCACTTTTAAATGGAAGCATATTGTGTGCATTTTAGGTCACATTGATACGAACACTGCAAAGTCTCAGTGCTATGTGAACAGAATCCAAAAATAACTGGGAAATGTAGTTAATGACTGGGAAATTCACTAAAATCTAAAAGTTGTAAACTTTTTTTTTCTTCAACTCAGTTAATGTTATTGAAAGTTGAATTTATGGACTGAGTTGGAACATATCCTTTTTTTCCCCATAGCTTGATCATGATTTAAAACATGCTCACGAACTCCGCCAGGCTGCATTCAAGCTCTATGCCTCTCTTGGAGCAAATGATGAAGACATCCGGAAGAAGGTGAGTCTGGGAGAGGGGCGTCCCCCAGTCCTGACAGCCAGCAGGCAGGGAGTGACGTCAACCTGAAAGTCGTGGTGAAGAGCACTAACAGTGACTGTTTGAATATAATAAAGCAGAGTGACTAAAGGCATAATTGAAGAATGAATGGGACCCGGATTTGGGGGGTTGTTTGTTTGTTTTTAGAACATAGAGTGGCATGGCCGTGCTGGAATGACAAATAACTGGCGTGCTTTTTTTTTGTGTCATTAATATGAATTATTATGTTGCACATTTTTGCATGTGTTCTGATAAAAATCAATTCTAGCACTGTGAAGCTTCAGACACCTTGAAAGTCCTAACATTAGAATTGTAAATGTTATTTATGGAAATACCTTCCAATGCTATTGAGAAATTCAAATCTCTATTGTATATTGTTCTTTGATATGTGGCTTAGTTTTATGTTTTGATTTTTTTTGCTACTGTGCAAGTTTAATGTGAATAAAATCTTTGTGGAATGATGATTTTATGTTTAGTGAGTGGTCATCTGAATTTTCCAGCTCCCCAGAAAATGTATGCACTGGTATAGCACCCTTATGTTACTAAAGCCTAGTCTAACACTGAACTCATGTTCTTGATGAGAATACTTCTAGATGAGGAGTATAGTGGTAAGTAAGCTCTGACTTGGCTCCTTCCACAAACCAAAAAGCTGGAACTTACCACTCAAAAACATGTATAACCTAATAAATTCTACACAAGGCTTTCAAGACCATCAGAGAGCAAAACCACATGTTCTGTCTTGAGGAGCCATAGCAGAAAGAGCAAATTAGTCATTATTTACTGAACATGATGATTTACTAAATCTCTCCATCTGCATTAGTATTTTAAGGAGCACTGTGAGAGAAATCACAAAGTATTAGAGTTTACCATGATTCAGAGAAGTTCTTCAGGCCTGTAGAAAGAGGAGTATGGAACAACCTTACATTTGTTGAAATAACTTGAAAAGGAACCATTTCTTGAAGAAACTGAAGTAATAGCAATAAGATTTGATGTGTGAGTAGCTTTGATTTAAAATCAATGCAAAAAGCACAACTAATAAATTGAATGTTTCCATGTACCTCACTTTATTTCAGTTAACAAGATACTTTGACTTGAAGTGTTTTTAGTGTATCCCTATGAAAATCATTTTTGGTACATCTAAGTTTTCACTTATAAACTGTTATTTCAAAGCAAACATACTAGTGATATATATATGATTTATGGATGTTGACGCCAATGTTCAGTTTGGGTACGTTGGTGTATTGCAAGGGGAGAGGCTTTTATAACAATAGATTTGAACATTTTTAAAAAATTGGACTGTGTAACTTAAATACACAATTATTTGGTTTAGGATGGTTATTAGGGCCCATTAGAAACAGGAGAAGTATTTTACCCATTCTTAAAGCTCTAAAAAACCATCTCATGGACTGAAAGGTAGATAGACAGATGGACCACAATGGGAAATAGGATGTCCATTTGTACTTCTTTGTACTTTTTTGTTAATAAACTGTTTTGGAATTAATGGCTTAATTTGTGATATCATGTTCTAGAAATACCTGCAACATGACAGTCTAATCAGTAGTCTATTAAAACTTGTATTCATAATGTGTATAATTTCCTGGTAAGGCTAACTCCTGATCGTTTCTGTAGAAAGATGACAAATAAAGAAAAAGTTATAATTATTAATTATAGTTTTTTGTGTGGTAAAGCAAAGATACTGTGATATTATGTAATGGGGCTTATATAGCATTTTAAGGAAGATATTTAATTTCTGGGAAATTAAGTGTTTGAATAATTTACAGTTCATAGTAACTACTGAAGAGATAAATTGTAAAATGGAAACTATAAAGTAATTTTGTGATAAAATCTACTTGAAGACTGGCCATAGGCGTGGAAAAATTTTATTTTCAGTGTATAAAAAATGATAAATAGTAGCACTTTTCTTTTGAGTGCATTTCTTTTCCTTTTTTGTTGTTGAAATAATTATTTGGGTAGATTTTTATTTACTTTCTCCATGAAATATTTATTTCTTGTTTACACTTATGTCTTATGAACTTGACTGTATTTTTTGTGTAGATCCTTAAAGTACAATGTTTATTGTTTGATTTTTTTAAAATGCAATGTTTATGCTTGCCAAGATGGAATTTCAGTTAACTGAGTCAATAAGTAGAGAAACTGAGTTAATGAGTGGAGAGTCTCTGAAAGAAATTTAAAGGACTGTAGATCTACTTCCCTCAATCCCTACTTCTCCCCCTCAAAAACCAACAAAAAGTTTGTTTGTTTCAGGAGAAAAACATGAAATGTTCAGTTGGTCTGCCATTTAAATTAAAAATGAGAACATAATTCAATACATTCGGTAAATAACATGTATTCTAGTGCCCTATTATGGCCAGTTAAGGAAAGGAGGCAGAATGAAGAAGAGAAAATAAGCAAAGTAGAGACAATGAGAGGTATACACAGTAGTAAAGGAGAAGGACGCTGGCCTCTCTTCATATAATTGTGTCTCTTTTACTGCTTCTAAAGACTTCTAAAGGTCTGCTGTGTTTTCATTTCTTGATACCTTCTCTTTGGGCCAGAGAATATTAAGCTGAAGATGGAATGTGACTTGTAGATCAGAGATTTACCACCCCTGCTTTGAAGCAGTGTTGGTGTATTCCCACTAAAATAAACCAACTGTATAACATTCCCTGGAACTTAATAAGCACTCAATAAATATTTGTTGAATAAATATAGAAATGAAAATGCAGAAATCGTACACAGAGTGACTTTTTCTTTAATTTGTTTGGACCTTTATCCTGCATGGAGCAAAATTGGTATTCTAATTCCGAGTGTTGCATCCTTTATTACTCTATGGCATACTTGAAAATTTCTTAATTTATTGTGGTGTCCTGTCAGCTAGAGTGAAGGAGGATGGTGCTGGTGGAAAGAGTTGTGCAGGTGAGAGTGAAAAATACTACCATTGACTGTGACATGAAGAGGGAGAAGAAGCCCCAGAAAAGATGGAGGATCACTGAGCCTGGCAACAGTTGTGGCCTGGCCGTGTTAAACTTAGAAGAATTCAAGCTACCTGTAATAATTGATCCTGACTCTGAATGGATTTTGGTTAGAGAGAGTAAGAGCATAGGCAGGAATTGAGAGCTCAGTGGAAGAAGGGTCCAGAACACATTAGCAGTAACTGCAATGACAGCAATGCCAAGTAAAAATTAGCTCTCATCTCTGCCAAAAGGAAAATCTAGTTTCTAATGATAGCCTTTACCATATATTAATGCTGATTAGGAAGCAGAAGTCCAGTTAATGGGATATTAAAAATGGAAGAAGTTAAGATACGAAGCAAAATAGATCAACAAACTATTTCAAGTACTGGCATCCCCAGTCAGTGATTAAGTCAGAAGAGGCAGCAGTGGCAAACAATCCTGTAATTTTGAGATAGATTCTTCTATGACAAATAATTGCTGTTATGAAGACCATCACTTGATTAGGACCTGTCGATCACCAGTTAAGTTGGAAGTTGAAAAAGGATTATCCTCTCTTACTCTTCAAGTAACTAGTAGAACTTGTTAGAAATGTTAGTGAAAATTAAGGGAAATTAGAAGTAAAGTGTAAATTAAAATTCAAGGAAATTGGTATACTAACCAGGATGTTGGTTTTATTTTTGATAAAAGTAAACACATTGCAAATGTTAAGTACGTATTGTAACCTTCATTCCCCTGGGGCACCTGACTAATGGAGCCTTGGGGAAAGTTTTCTGCTTCAATTTGAATACGTATATTTTAGCTGGAGATTTCTTTCGAGGAACTAGAATGTAAGCTCCATGAGGGCAGGGATTTATTTGTGTTTTGTTCATTAATGTATTCCCAGCATCTACAACACTGTCTGTGCATAGTTGACACTTAATAAATAATTGATGAATGAATGAATGAATGAAAAAATGAACACACAGACAAATGGATGAATGAGCAATATTGCATTATTAAGCACCCATTATCTTATATGCTCTTGTCTGCATTAGGAACTTTCCTAACCTCACTAGCAATTCTGTCTGTGTGTAAAGACAGGAAATTTGAAATGGAGAAAATATACCTCTGGTCATATAGTCAGGGGTTTCACTGTTATACTTAGCATAGAGAAAAATGCAGGAAATTCCCATTTTTTCAAGAGGCAGGCAATCCTGAGGGCTTGTCTTCTGCTTGCTTGGCTATCAATCAAAGAAAACATGTTTTATGGTATTGTACTTGCTTCATTTCAAAATAATTTTGACCATTATTTCTTAATTAGAAAATATAGAGTTTTTATCTTTCTAGATGTATGATTTTTTTAAAGTTTGTATCATTCACACGTGTGAATCTGGACCAGGTTTTCTAAGGATAAAAGTATGATTTGGTTTATAGAAATTAACCTTTCAGGAATCAACCTATTTGCAAGGTTATATATACTGATATAAAGTATTTTTCCAATTAGTGTCTGATTTTTAAGATCAGTTACTCAATTCTGCATAGACTGATTGAACTACCTGCATTGTATAATATTGCCCACTGGGTAGAGGGAAGGAGAGGCAGGGAGGGGAGATAAAGATCAACAAGGCATAGCCTTAAACCTCAGCATTTATAATAAAACCTCAATAAGTCAGAGAAAAGTAAGGAATGACCAGTAAGAATTTGCTGAGGTCTCAGAGAAGTATTTAGAACCCATTAAAATGGACATGTTTATCCATGGAGCTATCCTTGAGTCAATTTGGAATTTAATAGCTTAATTTTTGGTTACTTTAAATACTTTCTAAATGCTTTTCATTTTACATTTTCAAGAATTGAAAACATGAACTCTTAAGTTTTTGTTCCTTGAAGGAAAAAAAGTTGTCCAATCACAGTGGCTTTATATGACATGTGAAGAAAGCGAAGAGTGAGATTAAAAAAAATTTTTTTTTGAGAAGTGTAGACAGAAGAAAAAAGGAAAGCAAAGAACAAGAATTTGTCTTCTATCCTCTTTTTCCTAGCAAAGGAAGTTACAACTGCAGATCATTGTAAATACGTGATATAATGTACTTAAAATGTTTAGCACAGTGTCTGCCACATAATAGGTGCTCAATAAATGGAAGCATTTATTAGAATATCTAAGTAATTCATTGGGAGATTAAAAAAATATATTTTTAAGTATATTAAAAGAAAAGATGACCAACATTGAAGGTGTAAATAAGAGGTTTGCAATGAAGAAAGTGATTTTATGCTGTAAGTTTCTAAAACTTTATTCCAGTAAAAGAAGTTATGTTTTAGAAACATAGGCTCTTTCTGTAGAGTATTTCTTGGTAACAAATTGTCTTGTTTATAATTTTATTCTAAAATTTAAAATACTAATTTTTAAAACTATTGTCATAGCATGCCCTCCAAAGTGTATTAATAATTGGTTAAAATCTTAGATAATAGATGTCTTAAGAAAAGTAAGGAGGCCAAAATCTACCTAACTTTGATGACCTAATTGTTACTGCTTATGGTTGTCATGGATGTCATTTCTTCAGAGTCATCATTCATACAAAACCATATCCCAAAAATATATGTTCACATTTTGAACCAATGTAATTTTTTCTGTATTTTCAATGCTGTAAGATTTTAAAGCATATTTGTAAATTTAGGTCAATCTTTCTTAATATCTTTCTGCTGTCTCTAAAGATTGCTGGCTGGGCATGGTGGCTCACGCCTGTAATTCTAGCACTTTGGGAGGCTTAGGTGGGAGGATTGCTTTAGCTCAGGAGTTCGATACCAGCTTGGGGCAACATAGCGAAACTCCGTCTCTACAAAAAAAAATACAAAAATTATCCAGGCCCGGTGGCATGCACCTG